>NC_000012.12:23334650-23959650 GCF_000001405.40 Homo sapiens
TGCTTTCTACCCAAATAATAATTTTTTTTATTATACAGCTTTAGCATAATTTGGTCGTAAGATATTCCATACTGCCAATTGCTCATAATTTATATAATCATCCTATTCGTGTTTTTTAGCTTGCTTTTAATTTTTTCTTGTTCAAGTTAATGCTTTAATAACTTCAAGCACAATGCTTTTTCTTTTCCTTCTGGAGAAAATGGAGCTCGATATTGATAAGAGAAACCTGAAAATCTGGGGCTTCACTAGGGAAAAGATTTAGGATAGTATCCTAACGCAGAATTAAATGTGGGGAAGGAATGCTGTCAGTACCACTAAAGGGATAATTTTCTGTTTCAAATAAGACGAAATTCAGGGAATTAAGTACAGATGAACATCATTAAATTTAGAAAGTCATAATGATACATAAGCCATGAAGACAAATCAAGATATATTTTAAATACAACACAGCATATTATACAATACAGTATTCATTAGCAGTCATGCCCAAGAAAATTGCTTTCTGTGTCTCTTGGATTTTGAACAGATCCTTGAGTAACCAGTTGCTGTTTTTATCTGGGCTACAGCATTTAGGTCTATTTTCCCAAGCATTCCACATCTCATTCATAATTTCAAAAGCACATGAGGCATGGATGTGCAAAAAGTGCAGGACATGACAGACAAGGATCTTGCCACCAGAGAAGACCTTTTCCACCCTTGCCATTTTCAGGGACTTGCAGAGAGAGCCCTTTCCTCTCCCTCAGGACATTTCCATTTCCTCCAACTCCCCTGCTTGGACGTTTCTTTTTCTAAGTTTAATTGAGTTTTACTTATTTACTTATTTGTTTATTTTAATATTCAGATCTTTACAACAAAACAATGTTGTGATCTTCTTTTTGATGGGAATATGCTTTATTCTTTCTAAATAGCAGCCAAAAAACCAAAATGCATGTTACCTTTTCTTGACCCTTAGTAACTCCTTGTGACATACTCATCAATAAGCCACCACAATGTCACCTTTCTGAGTGTTTTAAAGAAAATGTAAAGACAACTTAAGTCCTGGTTAAAAATCAAACTAGGTATATTTTGTTGATGTTTTTTTGCCTGAAAGGGATCTCTTACTTGCCTCCCTCTGCTTTATGTAACTTTGTCCAGCTCCGCCCTGGAGGTTTGCACAATGTCTACAATCAAACATGACAGAGACTGTGGATTTTAAATAACATTTCCCTTCATAAAGGAGCTGAGAAAAGAACGCCATTTCAGCCGTTCAAATGTGCTGTTAGAGCAGGTAATATTAGCATTATCCTGGGAGGAAATCTAAAACTTGGTGGTCTCTTGAGTCACTCAAGTTAAAGTTTTAGTGGATTCAACATTAAAAGGGATTTGGAAACCATTAAGGGACTACAGTAGTGCTGCTGTTCTCAGAGTCTCCCTGCTTTTGATGACTTTTCTCTTTGCCTCCATGACCATGTCTCCTTCCTGGTTTCTTATAAAACCAACGTAAAAATAATTTTAAAAGAGAAGATACATACCTAAACAAAAAAGAATAAACTAGGTAAAAAATAAAGATGATTAAAACAAAGTTGACACCATAAAATAAAAGTTAGAAAGGCGAGGTAAAGAAATAAAATGGGATACGAGAAGAGTAGTTAACATTTGTAAGTTGAGGAATAAAATAAGCTAAATGAAAATAATATAATGGGTAAAATCACAATTTTATTCTAGAGCAAAATCAAACAAACTATAAAATCTTGGGGGAAAGGTTTAAAAGCATACACATTAACAATGGTTTACAATGGATAAAACTAGTAAAAGATAAAACTAAATTACAAACTAAGAGATTGAGAACAAGAAATAATTTGAGTAATAAGGTATCTTAAAAAAAGCAAAACTTTTTATCCAGCCCCCCAACTCAAAACCTCTTTAGGTAATTCTCCTGTTCTCTATCTTGTTAGCCATAATATGGCTGGCAATGTCTTCAGAGGAAAAAAGACCATTGTGCTCTCATCACTGCATGTGCTGTCCATTCTTTCCAAGAGTCTCATCAGGCCCAGCTGCACAGGGGGTTTGCCATACTGATGCTTTGGTTTTCACAGTCATGTCTGGAGGAACATAGTTTCTCCTCAAACTGAACTCCCCAGACTGCCATTACTTCTCTGTCATCTCCCTCCACTTCCCACCAACCTTCAGATTCCATATGAACACAAAAAAGGGTGAGAGCAGCACAGACAAATTCTTACTAAGGTGACCCTTGGGAGACAAACTACATGCCATTGCCAAGAGGAATCTGCCACTGAGAATGACAGTCCTGACTCCTGAGTTTCTAGGAATGGAGTGAGTTTGGAGGAACCAACGTTTGCCAAAGAGCACCGAGGAATGGGTTAGTGTCTAGAGATCATTTCATAACCTAAATACAATGCTCTGGGATTGATTGCAGCCCTGAATTAGTCCTGCAGCTCCACCAGCTCCCTAAGCACACTGGGATGGAGGCTGCAGAGTCTCAGATCCCCCCACCCACTTGTATCCATCAACTCTTTCTCCTCCAAAGGCATGCAAGGAAACATGCTATCTGGATGTAAATAAATACATGCAAAGCCTCAGAGCAAATTCCCAAGTTGCCACTTCTCCTCAATAGGTGTGCCCAGATAGCTCCTACGGGGATATTCTGGAGCCACCATAAGCTCCACTAGACAATTTCTAGGAGGCCCTGGAAGGCACCACCCATGGTGGCAGCAGTGGGACCTCCTCAGGGAGGCCCTCAGCACAGCGATGTCATTTCAGAGGCTAGCCAGAGAGTGGCAGCTTTGACACTCTGAAACAACCTCATTTCTCCTGATCATAGGAACCAGCAATAGCGAGAGTGACAATATGCATATTTACCTATTGATATTTAGTGGAGAAAGTGAAGAACAGCTGTGTCAATTTGTTCATGGATATATGTCAGACATCTCCTTAGGACCCCAAGGAATGAGTGGGGGGAGGGTACACGGCAGGGCCTTGAAGACCTGTAATAATTGGAGGGTTGTAAAACAAAGAGCCATCAAAATATTCCTCTCTATTCCATTTTTACTCCAAGTTTGCTGTGGCTAGGGAAAATGTGCAAAGGCATAAAGAAGGTAACTAAAAATGACAGTAGCCTGAAGTTCACAACTGAGATGAAGTCTGATATAAGTTGAACATCCTGTAATAATATCTCAGCCCTCGATTCTCTAACTCTCCTTAAGGTTTTATTCCTTAGGGCATCACTCTCTGTCATGATATAATATCGTCTCCACCTTACCAGTTTGCAAAGAAAAAGGAATGTCATGCTTAACAGATAACTTGGAGAAGGTCCAAAAGATCATAACAAAACTGAGCAGGGCTGTTAAAATGAGCAATTAGAAAATGTTAAAGGAATCAGAGCGATGTGTCCTTGAGAAAAGAAAAATAAGGATGGCTTCGTAAGAAGTTCAGGAATTTCCTTTTCAGACCTGAATAAAAGTTTTTGATTAGATAGAGGGGATACAGACAGGAGATGTAGAGGAATGTCAATGGAGGTGTACACTGAAGGACAACTCTTTGTAGCAACCAGCGGAAAAAAAATGAAGCATCAATAACAAACACAACAAAAAGTGTGTGTGCAACAATTCATCTTTAAAAAATACACATTAAAACTCTACATTAAATTCAACCTCAAAATTTAGAAAGAAGATTAGATAGTATTTGAAACTTGGAGAGAGAGGTATTCTGTTACTAGGAACATATTAAGTAATATGAATTATTATTTGTCTTTGGACCTGTGAGAGGTGCTGTAGAGAAACATCTAGAACAAAAACAAAAGGCAATGTCTGAGACAAGGCAGAAAGAAATGTATTACTAAACTTATTCCACAGAAAATCATTTGATATATGTAGAAAAATATATGAATACAATATCTAGAAAATAAAAAGAATTTCTGAACTGCCATAAAGTTCAGAAGCCTGGGGCTTAGCAAGCCTGTCAAACTTCTTTTTAATATAAAAGAGAAGGAATTGGTCATGGAATGTTCTTCCTTAGGCGATTATATATTTCACATGACTGCTAGGCAGCTGTCAGTGTCAGTAATGACACTATGAAAATGGAAATCTTAAAAAAAGGTCCTGTTTATATTGATAAAAAAACCTGTACTAACCAAGTGAAAGAAACACAATAATGAGAAAATATATGAGTAGTGATCCAAATAAACAGTTCTTTATTATCTCTGAAGTTTCCCAAGAAAATTCTGATAAAAAGAAAGTGAATCTGAATTTGTCAAAGAAGATAAGAGATAATATCAGATTTGAGTCAAAAGAGGATGACCTTTTTACTCCCCTCATTCTTTAAAACAATGAATGAAAGTTCACCAATAAAGATTTACAGCAACACCTCATTTTTTCATTTTACTTATTTTACGTATTTTACTTATAGCATTAGGCAAGGAAGGAGCATCAAGTAACAGGCTTGCAATGGTCTGAATCAAGCTCTGGCCTCCGTAGACAGGTAGATTTCTGCATTAGCTGTTCGTTCATCCAGTTTTAAAGATATCCATTGTTACAACTCCAAAATCTCCTCAATAGTACATTCCCATTTGAAGAGTTCTCCCTTTGGTCTAACTAGTGTTTACATATACAAATCAACCATCTTTTCTTGATTAGATACAGGCTGGTCTTTGTTGTTGGTCTGTAATATTCTCTTTGCCAGGTCAAATAGTAACAATTCCTTTAACCTTTCTTTTGTTGTTCTTGTCTGGACCACATACTCATAGGACGTCACGGTTTTTAAGGAAAGAGACTTTTACAAAACGATTACACTGTACTACCAAAGGGTTCAGGGCGAGACAAATAAGGCAAATAGCTTCCCACTATTATGCATTTGGGTTTTATTTATTTAAGGGTGCCATATTAAGGGTCAAATTGAGCTATCTTAAAATAGCAGGATATTATTCATAATGGTTGGCTAATAGGTCAGGTTACCTGGAGAAGAGGTGTTCTTTGTAAAAACAAAAATTCACACTCTCTTAAATCATGTAACATTGAAAATAAATAGGAATCAATTCATAAGAAACATTTATATTCATACACAGAAATAAAGCATTAATTAAAGCTACAAATTGTTAACTACAAATTATTATTTGTTAACGGTAATCAAAGTGGGAAATAAAATTTAGAAATGTCCTTTTCCTTCCTCCTGCAGTTTTAAAATTCTTTATCACTCCAGATATTCCTGTCTTCAGACTCCATAGCTTAGCACTGAAGCATAGTCAGAAAAAAGTGGTCAAATTTGGTTCACAGCACCTGCCAAGGACCTACTTTCTCCCTTACCTATGCTACCCAGAGGCGAAATGGCAAATCAGCACCCGACAGCCACCTAGCTTCAAGGCAGGAAATAACCTACACTATAGATATATTCATTCATGTTCCAGTATAATAAAATGCTGGAGCAAACAAACACAGACTGGGCTTTCATTTTCAATAAAGTGGCATATAGCTATAGTCTCTTTTCTCCCCCTGGGCTTCAGGCCATGCCCTCCACTTGGCCAATGTCAGTTTGTCCACTACCCCTTCACACAATGCTTGACCTGGTAAGTCTATGATCCCCACCACTGGTGCACTCTCCTTCTCCTAGTTTGCCAACATCACTCATCTGATACTTTTACATAAAGACCTCTTCAGGCTCTACCTCCATGGTATGACTTTTTTTCTCATTAAATAAAAATAAAGCTTCTTCTCAATTAATGGCATAGAGCAACTCTTTATATCCTAACCTATTGTACATGATAACCCTTAATTTTTTCCTTTCTGTTTGCTGTATGCTTTAATTCAGCATATAATCTAACAGTGGCTTGTTATCAGTTTCCTCAGCCTATTGTCATCTGTTTTCAATTGCAAACTTTAAAGAGCAGCAGGGAGCATGTCTGTGAACTGCTCTGTATGGTATCCAGCACAGCACTACACAGAGGTCAATGTCGACTGGATGTTCATTAATGACAGTGTGCAGGAGGTTCTGTCTTCCCAGTTCCCTCTTTTATTGAACTGTCCACTAGTGAAAGAGTGTTTAGGAAAATTTTTTTTGTTAGAGTCTAATCAGAATGCCACAGCACTGTTTCCCTCTTTGTGCCATGCCCTACAGTGGCTCTGGCATTTGAGTGAGGGGCAAAGGAGAAAGAAGGCCAATGTTTCACGTTAGGCTATGATATAGAAGGTTTAGAACATGGTGTTTTATTGGTGGGGAATTGCAATTCCATTTGAATTATACAAAATGCTCCTCAGCAAAGGAGCTTGGTTGCTTCCTTCTTTCCTTCTTTTCTTCCTTCCTTACTTTCTTTCCCTTGAACCATTCAGCTTTGAACAATTACAATGCAGAAGATTTTATATCACCAAAGACATAATTACATGGTGAATGTAAGAAATAACAGTTTGGTACAAGTTTCTATAGAAAATATATTTTGCATTGTTATTTCACATACTTTCACCTTACCTTGAAAGAAAAGCTCTTTCAAAGAAGCGTTTGGCTTTTCATCATCTATCTGTTTAGCCATCGCTCCTGGCATATGCATATATAGGTTCTGTGAGTTAACAGAAACAACCCTTTTGTTTCTCTTAAAGATGTCTAAGTAAAGTTTCAAGTAGCCAATTAGCTTTTTGACCTAAGCTTTGTTGGCTGCAGAAAGCCTGAATCCCAGGAACATTTGGTTCTCAAGGCATTTGGATCCCATAAGAAAGATTCAGTGCCAGCACCAATCAGAATGGCTGCCAGTTGTTATTCTTCTTCACAACTGGCGGCCATTTCCAGCACTGTTACGGAGCCGTGATCAATCTCTGCACCTGTCTATCAGTGGATGTTCATAGAGAGAACAGTGTGGGCTGCATCTGCAGATACCACATGTAACTAAAGGGGAGAAAGGGGAGGGAGACTGTAAACCCCTGAATATGTAAGTGAGAAAGGCTACAGGGAGAGAAAAAAATGCAAGGAAATATGCAACAACTAAGTATATGCCATTAAATAAAGTCAAAATAAAAGAGGAAAAGAATGATCTATAATAGGATGTTTTTTGTTGGAATACAGTTCCCACTCCATGTGTAAACTTAGTCTTAAACCTTGAACAATTATCTGAATGTTTCATGTATTTATCTTGTCTTTGCAGCAATATTTCAAGCTTCCTACCAAACCACAGAGTCTTATTATATTTACATACCCTATATCCTATGTTGCCTTCTGTGCCTATAATTGTGTGTTACTGTGTAAGAACTTGGCATGTTCATTGTTTTCTATAGGTCTTTTTCTTTTAGTAAATCTATTATCAACCTATTTCTTACAAACAATTTAGCTATAATTGTGACAATTAATAAAAGAGATTGCAATATGCCTTTAACCAGGAATCTATAAAGTGTTCATGATATATACCTGTATTTTATATTTGTGAATCTTATAACTCTTTCTTGAGACCTCTAACAGGAAATTCTAAAGAAAATATTAGACTTCAGCCAGGTGCGGTGGCTCACGCCTGTAATCCCAGCACTTTGGGAGGCCAAGGCAGGCAGATCACCTGAGGTCAGGAGTTCAAGACCAGCCTGACCAACATGGAGAAACTCCGTTTCTACTAAAAATACAAAATTAGCCAGGCGTGGTGGCACATGCCTGTAATCCCAGCTAGTCAGGAGGCTGAAGCAGGAGAATTGCTTGAACCCAGGAGGCAGAGGTTGGTATGAGCCGAGATTGCACCATTGCACTCCAGCCTGGGCAACAAGAGTGAAACTCCGTCTCAACAACAACAACAACAACAACAACAAAATATTAGACTTCATTTAAAAGTATTGCTTTTTTATCTTTGCAAATGTATATATTTATGTCTTTCATATATTGAGTACAAGGTGCAATGTATGATTCCTGAAGCCCTTTAATACTGTGTTGAAAGCTGAGCTCACATTGCATGAAATTTCTGTTTAATTGCCCTGCAATGAACTTCGCCCCTCAGCACTTCTCTCTCAGTGAGCTTAGAATGCTTTACATAGTCAATCAATAAAGTTAACAGTTTAATGTTCCTTCTCTTATTTCATAATGCTGTTTTATAAGTATTCTTTTCAATTTCTGTATTCAATAAAACTTCTTTGAATAAATGGATTTGTGTTAGTTTAAAATTGGAATGGGGAAAAAGCATTTTCTAAAATCTTAACTCTAACAAGATGTCTCATATAGTTGAAAGATCAAACAGTCTGAAAGAAAGAGTGGAAACACAGACATATTTCAAATTTAACAAAACATTAAAAATATTCCACATATGTCTAGGGATCTCAGCCCTCTGTGGTACCAGTTGAATCAGATCAAGGAATAGGCATTTTAGAGAAAAAATGTATATATGTAGGAAAAAAATCTATATCTATATCCACCTATCCATCCATATTTCTTGAGATTATGACCATACGGATTTTTAAATGGAAATTGAGAATACAGGAAAAGATATCTGGAATTCTTGTGTCTAGGATAGTCAAAGGCTGTACGCAGATATATTATTTGATTGAATTCACAATATCTGTAGACTCTTGTCTTAAAAAAAGGCTCAGAAATATATATTATTTTCAAGACAGCCTACAGCTCAGCTCATCTGATAAAACTTAGTCCAAAAGGATGGCAAGTTTTGTATCTTCTAAGGTTAAACAATGTATTTCTTCTACAATAAAAACACTGACTTTTATCAACTCTACCAGAGCCTAATGTAAATTGTGACAGAATTCTCCTTAATAAAGTGTCATTACTTACGGATTTTTCTCATATTTTCTAATGAAAAAGTAAACAAGACTTCTCAGGACTCAGCTGGGAAGAAAGCAAATGATTATATTTCTTGAGTATCATTTTAAGAGATAGATGCTCAATATTTCTGTTTTGGAATATAGTCTTTTTATCTGGATGACAATAAAGACATGAGCTATCCCACAGAGTTAAGAATTCTGTAATTAATTTGCTGACTGCTATAGCCTGAATGTTACTGTCCCTCCAAAATTCATATGTTAGAGCTTAACCCCCAAGGTAATAATATTAAGAGATAGGCCTTTGGGAAGTGATTTGGTAATAAGTGCTCTACACTCGTGGATGGGATTAGCGCCCTTATAAAAGGGCTTCTGGGAGCAAGTTTAGCTCCTTCTTCCATGTGAGGAAGCAGCAACAAGTGCCATCTATGAAACAGCGAGCCTTCACTGGGCAACGAATCTGCTTGCACCTTGATCTTGGACATCCCAGCTACCAGAACTATGAGAAATAAATTCCTATTATTTGTGAACTACCATGTAAGGTATTTTGTTATGGCCCAAACAGACAAAGACATTGACCATTAAGTGTTTCAAACTACAGTCCTGAGATAATATAGTTTCATGATCACTTGAAATTGATCATTTGAAACACAGCGTAGAGGAAGCCTCTGGGCAATTTGGTGAAGTGGTGAAGTTGGTCTTCAGCATCCTCCATTGCTCTTTCTGTGCACACACTTCCCTTTTACTGCTCACTATTATAGTATTCTTTGTGGGCAGCCCAGTGATCCAGATTTTGCTCTCATCTTTCTCAATGAAATCTCCCTCTATCAAAACTTGGCAGTTTCATGTCTAAATCCCTTGTCTCCAGTAGGAAAAGTAAAGTAAACTGATCAATTAACTGACTTTAACATTTGAGTGGTTCATAACAGTTTTATCTGATGTTCTTCCTCTCAGATGACCTGACCATCATAATAATAGCAGAATATGTACCACGGAGACTTTAAGCATGTTGCAAGACAAGTGAGCAGATACTTGGGGCAAGAGTATCAGTGCCCATGAAATCAAAAACATAAAGAGGGCTACTCTTTCAAGAAGTCACACTTTCTACATGGATGTTGGGCCTTGAGGAAGGTGAAGACTTGGCAATCCTCACCACTTCTTGCGTATTGCTTTTGCTGCTAGTCCAATTTCTTAAATAGCAACCAGTCCAGTTGACTACGTCTAGCTATCTTACTGCTCCTGGAGTTTGGAGGTAAAGATTCCTCCAGAACTAACCCATAATGTAAAACTTGAGGCTTAAAACCGTACTAACAAGTTTTTCCCCTTCCTCTGGCTTTGATTCCAATCTTGTAGGCGTGAGTTTCTGACATCGTGCTTTCTTCTCTGAGCACCTTAGCTTCACTTTCTTCACCTAACCATGAGAAACTGGCTGGCTGCTGATTGTCCCCAGAGGTTTGCTAAAAAGTGAAGGATGAAATAGCGTAAGATTTATTTTTAGACTTTTGCATGCCCTTAATGAGGAAAAGAGAGTTTTGTATAACACCACAGGTCCATATACTGACAGCAAGGAAGCATACCTCCATATGGCATCAAATTCCTGCTGCAAGCAGAATTCAAGCAAATAAAAAATAGAAGAGACAGTCACCTTTACTGTAATGTAACTTATCGTCATTTTCTTGCTGGAGTATAAAAGTGGCAAGCAGAGATAAAGCCACAAAGTATTATTTTATGAAGTCAACATTACTACTTTCAAGCCAAGTTAACATGCAATGACTGTAACAAATTCACATTTCAGTGTCAATAAAATGTGAGATTACAAAATTGCTTTTATTATAAAAGAAATTCAATAAAAAGTTAAGTATCAATCTGAAAAGTGCAAAGCAGAAAGGCTTCTAATCGATCAGTCATGCATTCACTAAATATCAATAAAACACCTACTTTGTACAATAAATAGTGTTTATGATGAATTTAGATACACTAACTCATTTAATCCTCAAAATAACCCCATGAAATCAACATGAGACTGAGAGAAGTTATGTAACTTGCCAGTACTCATAATTATTTGGGGTATAGAGATACACGAGACATGTTTCTTGTCTTTGAGAATTTTCATTTTGGGAACAATCTCATTGAGAATTATAATCATTGAAGGCAGAAGTCATGCATGTTCTATATTTGATCCTCCACTACCAGCACAGTGTGTGGAACCTAATATATAGTAAGAAAATATTTCAGGTAGGAATAAAATAATTAGCAGAATTCATCTTGAGGAGAGTGTTAAGTACCTGCAAAGGGCATTTAAATTGTGAAGGGTCTCTGTGTGGGGGTAGATGAACATAACTTAATTTAAAATTTCATTTTATTTATTTATTTAGAGGCAGAGTCTTGCTCTGTCACGTAGGCTGGAGTGCAGTGGCTCAATCTCAGCTCATTGCAACCTCCTCCTCCTCCTGGATTCAAGCAATTCTCCTGCCTCAGCCTCCCGAGTAGCTGGGACTACAGGTGCCCGCCACCACACTGCGCTGATTTTTTGTATTTTTAGTAGAGACGGGGTTTCACCATGTTAGCCAGGATGGCCTCGATCTCCTGACCTCGTAATCCACCCGCCTAGGCCTCCCCAAGTGCTGGGATTACAGGCTTGAGCCACCGTGCCCTGCCTAAAAATATTATTTATTTAAAGTAAATATGATTAATATCAAATGTGTTTTGATGACCTTGTTTTTTAAAGCATCTTTAGGATACTTTGACTTTTAAGTTCTAGTTTTTACTTGAAAGATAAGTCAAGGAATCCAAAATTTTGTTATGAGATTATAAGAGATCATAATCTAAATATCAAATTGTTGGAGGAAGTTTTAACATAGAAAGTAATTGCCCTGGTGCTGTGGCTGACGCCTGTAATCCCAACATTTTGGAAGGCCAAGGTGGGTGGATCAACTGAGGTCAGGAGTTCGAGACCAGCCTGGGCAACATGGTGAAACCCCATCTCTACTAAAAATACAAAAAATTAGTGGGGCATGATGGCAGATGCCTGTAACCCTAGCTACTCAGGAGGCTGAGGTGGGAGAATCATTTGAACCCAGGAGGTGGAGGTTGCAGTGAGCCAAGATTGCGCCACTGTGCTCCAGCCTGGGCAACAAGAGCAAAACTCCATCTCAAAAAAAAAAAAAAGAAAAAAAAAGTAATTAAAGAACAACTTAAAAATTATGAATCAGGGTTTTGGATCTTGTCATTCTCTGCCTTTAAAAATGATGACTCTTTTCCCTTATGGAAGAAAATCAGATGTCTTTGCTTTGTATTCAAGTTCTGCCTCAACCTAATACCATCATTCAACACCAAACTCAAAAGCTGCCTGTCTTTTAAAGTCTTCCTAGATTCTCCCAGAGAATTAATTTTCTCTCCTCTCCTTGGCACAGCTACTTACACTGATAAAGATAATAACAAGAAAAGAAACGGTCATATGGTAGCCAACAGCTTTAGGAAACAATAATAATGGTGAACCAGAATAACCTTCACACTGAACCATACACCTCTGATTACCTAAAAACACAGGATGATACAGAAACATCTGAATGACGTGAAAGGAGAAAATTGTAGAAATGACACTTGGATAGGATCATTGAAAAAAAGAAATGACAGGAAGGAGCTCTGCCATGTCATTTCCCCCTGTAGATCTTGGGAGTTCATGTTTTGAACAAGAGTGGTTTCTATGATAACCAATGAAACACTCACTAACTATTGAGCCCCTGCTATGCGACAAGTTCTGTTAGATTTTAAAATCACCGAAAGGTTTGGCCGCAAAGAAAATGCTACTTAGGTTCCATCAAAGACAATATGTGAATAGGATTTACGGACACCAACTCTGTGATCAGAATCTCTTCTCATATTAAGGACTGCTAAACTAAATACAGCTGCATTTGGCTAGCACCACTATGGACTTAGGCAAAGTTTCATTGATACCTAAGAAGACAAAGAGAGAAAATGTGAGAAAGAACTCCTGAACAATTTTTAAATGACACCTAATATCAAAACATTCTTTTAATTTTTACCATAAGTCTCTTTTCCAGTCAAAACACTACAAAAGTTATTAAAATATTTAAATTGCCTGATTTTGGCATTGGCTTTTCCCCCATTTTTTGGGTGTGTTTCCACTTAGTGCCTTCACTATTAGTTACATAAAATGAGAATAATATCTGCCAAATTTCATTATGGTATAGGGGAGGAAAAGACTTCTTTTTCTCACCCTTCACTAGGTTCATACCTGATGCCCCTATAACAAGAGACAGATTAACAAGAGAAAAGCAGACACATTTATTTAATATGTCTTATGTGACACAAGAGCCTTCAGAAATGAAGACCCAAAGAAACAGGTAAACTTGGATCCGTTTATACTGAGTTTGATGAAGTGGATAGGCATTGAGAAGTATGAATGGATTTTTTAAAAGTATAATTTAACAGTAATTAACTCTGGGTAACTTAGAAAACCTTATTTGTTCAGATTCTTTCCTGTGTCCTTGTGTCTTCTGAGATAAGGATGTTCTTTTCCTCCATAGGAAGGGCACCTCTGAGTTAGGGTCTTACGACCTTGCCTTAGGGAAGAGGTGTGAAGGGAAAGTAAGAGTGATCTTATTACTTCTGCTACTTTCCCAAATGCCAAGGGTGCCATATACTGGGGTACTATGTCCTGAACCTCATCACTAGCGTTGTAGTGGGAACCAAACAAATATGCAAATGAGATAAATATGCATATGAGAGAAATTTTCAAAACACAGGAAAATTACACTCATTTATACTGTAATTTATTATTCAAACATACTAATGACCCCAAAAAGGAGCAATAGAATGAAGCAAGAGATATAAGTAATTGAGAAATTATTCAATTATGTCTCACTTTGTTTGGAAATAACCTTATAAAGAAACTGAAATATAACATTGTCCAGCGAACTTATGGATTAGAAAAATGAGCTTCATCCTGGCTCAAAATTATGAATCAGGCTATTTAAATATTCATTCAATTATTTGGAGGGCAGGTGTGAAGCCTTTATTCTGTGGCTTCCCATAAAATATAGAAGCTGATATGGTAGGGCTTCTTATTTCATATGGGAGTTAATATGAAATTTAGATTACTTCCAGAAAAATCATACCCTATGCATCTTTGAAGGAAATAATAGAGGCTTAAAATCATGAACTTTTTTGTTTGCCAATGGAAACTAACCTTGGGCTGAGGAAAACATTCGTTGTGTTTATACATCACCATAAAAGGCTACCAATTTTTTAAAAATCAGGTAAAAAAATTACTTAGCATTGTTTAAAACAAAAACAAACACAATTAGTTTGACTAATCCTCTGTTTCATTTAACTTCATTTTCATTTCGCTTTGTTTCTTAATTCAGTCAACTCGTCCTGGTTACATAAGTTGAGTGAACTTGTCCTAAAAGGAAAGAACTTTAGTGTGGTAGAAGGATGCGGCAGGAGGCTTCACTTCCACACAGTCTGTGATTCAACCCTGCAGGAAGCAGGAACTACCTGGCTCTGTGAGTCTTGAAAAAGCAAGACTATTGCACTGTAACAAGAAATGAAAAGAAAGACAGGGAATTGCCTGAGAATGGTTTTCAATAAATTAATGAGGAAAAATACAAGGAAAGGAGGGCATATTGTAAAATTTGGAGAGAAGTCATGCTCTTTCTCCTCACATAACAATTGTTATGTTAATGATTGCGTTCAGTGCAGTTAGAAAACGATTGAATAATCTATCACAAGCTAAGAAATTGTTGATACCTCTTTCTATTAGGAGAGGTTTGTCTACTGCTGGTTTTTAACTTTTGTTTTTTAAGTTACATGTTAATAAATGTAGGAGGATTAGATAATATCTATAAATGTTTTGAATAGGAAAGGAAATGCATAAATAAAGCAAACAAACTTGTCTCTTAAGACTATTTTTTTTTTTTGGTACTTAACCTCATAGTCCTGATTTTAGAATAATAGTTACTTTTTATGTAATTTATCCTTCTTGGCTACAGTTGTGGTAATTCAGAAAAATTGAAATGAATTTTGAAGATGACGCCCACATCGATCTTGATGATTTAAGGAGGTTAGGAGGTTGGCTTACCCCTCCTTTCATGCAGGATTATCTCTAATGTTTTCCAGGGAACCCAAGTGCATCCATGCAGTGGCTCCCTAAATCTTTTTCTCTACAAAATAACCAGCCAGAATTCTTGGGATGGGCGATGAGAGAGGCAGAGACATTAGGATTCTCCAATACACTAATTGATTTAGCAGCAGTTTAAAACAATGTTGAGCATTGTCAGAGATGCTCCTTTGAGCTATTAAATCAAGTTTGCCAAGATGGATTGCATGCTAACCACATACTATCTAAAAATCTCCAGGGCTGTTTATTGTTCTGCAATTTATGATCGCCTTGTTAGAGGGTTGCACATCAGCTTCCCTAGAGCCTAGGAAGAAACAGAGACAAATAGCATGCAAACTATATTGAACAATTCATTATATTATACTGTAGAAACGTAAGCACAGTGTGGAGATAACCCTTTTATGCACACTGCCTTACTGAACAGTAATCACTCTGCAATGCTTTAGATATTTAAATCATATTTATAATAACACATATTAATGTAACATCCCTCATAAAATTCTCAAGGCATTTTATGGGATATATAAACCATGGAAAAATACAAAATTTTAAAATGCAGATATACCTACCCTGGGGTCTTTGAGGCAACCTAATGAGGAATATATACAAAATCCCAGGCTGACAGTTTAACTATTTAAATAGCATATAGAATAACTCAAACACATTTTAAGATATTGCTGGTTACGAACTCATTCTTTATCTAAATATTTGGCCAGGTTGTGTAAATGCTTATTTTCAGTTTTACTGTTATGGGTAGAAAGGAAAAGCGATTAAAAATGTTTAGAACATTTTCAATCAAAGCTTTCAAATTCACATGCCTGAAAATCAATCACTGATTTGGGTTTATGTATTCTGTAAAATTACATTATTAGAGCCATGGGGTTAATTTTAAGGCAAATGAAGGCATTTATCTTCGCATGGCTTGCCTAGATTTAGTATAGTGCTATGCATTTATGTGTCTGATAGTTTGATAATTAGTTGTTGACTAATTAATCTGTTTATCTTCAAGGAAATGAAGAGTCTCTGTGTTTAATGGGGACATTCTGTCCCTTTCACAGTATGTGAGGTAGATCATAGGAGGTCTAAACTGACCTAGTTCCTTCACTTAATTTTTCTTTCGGTTTTTTAATGTGGTGGCATATGTATGCAGCATTGCTAGAACGACTGCTCCCCAGTCCTGAATGTTCCCACAGCAAGGACATCACCATTTGGTGGTCAGTTTGCAATTGATGTAACTATATACCTGGTAGTATTTAAAGCATTGGCGTCATTTTTTAGCATTTTCTTATTTGTAACATTCGAGGCAGAAATAATATGAGTTAAAGCATATACTACTTTTGTTTATAGTGACCCTGCTTTCATATGAATAAGACATATAATTCATTTTCTAAAACTTATCATGTTCAAAATCATGGAGGAAAGAAAATAAGAAGAGAACATCCTGAAAACAAGCCAGTCATACCATTAGTAGTTTTGCTACCAGTTGTAGCCTTTCACTTCCCTTTACTGCACTTGGCTTGGTTCTATTGTATACATCCTTTATTCAGAGGCTAGGGACATATCAAGTGTTGTGAGAAAGCAACAGAATAAATGCAGAATAACCCAAGTTGGTCAGGAGTTGTTCAGGGTCAGAAACCTTTCTCGACAACATCATCTGCAAGACATTATACAACTTAGAATGTTTCAAATGAAGGACACATTACAGTGTGAATAAATGGTTTCCTTTTGGTTGGGAAGGAATGGAACCCAGAAGGAATCTGTTATTGGCATTGACATTCAATTGTTTAGATACAATGGAAGTTTTTGCAGTGGTATCCTTGCAGGCTGTCTGGTTCTGTGTTCTTAATTTTTTAGAAAGCTGTTAAATCCAGAAGTCTGTTAACTAGCATTGCCATAATCTGTTTAAGTTGCCGTGCAAACCTCCTTTTATGAAATTAGGGCTTTCTGGAAAAACAGCTAAGTTCAGGTCTAACTGTAAAAGAGAAACTCTTTAGAATAGACGGGTAGCTCTGCTGTTTTAACTGGCACTCTCTAGACCACTTATCTTCAATTTCCTTAAGTTTGGAACTCAAGTCTTTGGCGTCAAAACATGAAATGACAGGAAAGATTTAAAATACTTCCAGAGGTCCTGAAACTTTAATAAACTCAATTTATTCTGGCTGAACATTTTTACATAATTCCTAGAAATGACTACCTATTGCATTTACTGTGATCCATTCAGCAATTATTTATTGAGGACCTATTAGATGTGGAGTTCTGTGCTAGTGCTGGGAATTCAACTGTGAACACAGAATCCTTGACTGAATAGGTTTCCCAGCCTAAGCACTTTACATTTTCAGATGATTAGACAATTGGCGGACTGGGGAGAAGAACAAAGATATAGATATAGATGTCCAAAGAAGTTATGCCTGTTTGCTTCAATGAAATAGACAGATATGGGCTGACATGTGCTCTTTTATTTTAAGCCATTAGTCAAACTTCCTCATGCATTGTAATTGAGAACACCTCCAACAATGTTACCTGAATTAGAAGGAGTGACAGTTCATCGAGCACTCTTCCTAGTGCACATGCTAAGGGTGCTTGATGGGTTGAGTTCCATGCAAATCTCCCTGATAAACTCTGATTATCAGGGAAAACTCCCTGATAAAGCTCTGTCTTCTTCCCATTGCCAGTGTTATACTGATTCCTTTTAAAGTTGCCTCCAACAACTAATACAGACACTATTTTCCTTCCAAAATAAATCAGAGAGACTTCTTATTTTTTATTTATTTATTGTACTTTTTTTAGAGACAGGATCTTGTTCTGTTGCCCAGGCTGGAGTGCAGTGGTGTGGTCTTGGTTCACTGCAGCCTGCATCTCCCAGGCTCAAGTGATCATCCCTTCTCAGCCCCCTGAGTAGCTGAGATTTTACAAGGGTGTACTACCACATCTGGCTATTTTTCTTTTTAATTTTAGTAGACATGGGGTCTCCCTATGTTGTCCAGGCTGGTCTCTAACTCCTGAACTCAAGAAATCCTCCCGCCTTGGCCTGCCAAAGTGCTGGGATTACAGACAAGACTTCTGATAATAGGTTTTTATCTAGTATCCTGTTTGTGAACAGCACTCCAGAGAAGCTACCCATGATAAGGTGTTCATATAAATGGTTGCAACAGACTAATTCCAAATCTGTCTCCACACCATAAGTTTTACTAAAAGCCCTTATTTGTGTCTTTGGATCAATCCAGAGTCAGCCTCCTTTATCACAGAATAGCTTTTAAAATGTTTTAACCCAACCGTAATATTTTTTCTAATCTCATCACAAGACCAAATGCATCCAGTTTCAACTACATCATTTGATGTCGTTCAGGGATTTCCCAACATTATGGTAATCCCTTTCTCTCTGACCCAATTTAGGTACTTCCTCATTTCTCTACTCTGGAGGGGTAATATTGTTGAAACTTCTGAAGTCAAAAACCTTCCATGGTGCTTTAGATTTTGTCCAGTAATCTAGAATCTTTCCATAAGTTTCCCATAATGATTTCACCAATAATGACAAATGTGTGTAGCAGCAGTTATAGATGTGGGTCTGGAATTAGACTTTCTGGATTCATATCTGAGCTCTGCCAATGACTAGCTCTGTAACCTTGAACCAGTTGATTAACTTCTTATGGCTTTGTTTCTTAATGCATAAAATGAAGATGATAAGTACGGTGCCAAGTTCACATGGTTGTTGAGAGAGAGCACAATAAATGAAATACATAAACATCAGAATGGAAATTGAAATACAGTAAGAATAGGAAGAGCTGTGAGCTATTTTATTAATGTCAAGAATATTTCCAGAAATGGCAAATAATCTGATACTTAAATCAGATAATCAAGTTTCTTTTTTGGCTCTGATTTTTTAAAATTAGAATATCTGGATTTTTAGACATAATGTCTAAAATGATATAGGTCGTATGTGAAATCAACTTGTGATTTACCTTAATATTTGAAAGCTCCATTGAACTTTGAACATGATAGCTCATTCCAAATGTGACAGCATCATTGTTTAAAATGTCATTGTCCCAAATGTGTACAGGTCTGATTCATATGTCTTAAGTATATATGGTTCTTTTAACAAGACTAGAAGAGATTTAGAAACACAATTTCATTTTCTTCCAAAATAGTCCTTGAGTTTAAATGAAGAAGATGGCAGTAGTCCATATTTACTAGGTGGAGAAACTGAGGAATTGAAGATTTAAGTGAGTTATGACCACTCTGCTACTTAAACATATAATGGATATTATAAAAAATGTTTCCTGTTTCCTGTGGAATTTGAGTTCTGTTGCTCCTAAGACTATTTTGAACAAGAAATCATATATATCCCATAAATCCTGAAAGATTAGCTTATAGAGGAAGTGAGCAAAACATCAGGTAAAGAAATAAAGTAATTGGCATTGGTTAAAGCTGAAAGGAAATGGGACACAGTCTGCCAAAAAAAAAAACAAAAAGCAAATGACATAAAAAATAGTTAAACAAGGGGTATTAAAATACCATCAGTAACGGCGAGCACAAAGTGAAAACTGAGTGTGAAATTTGTGTGACTTTGAAGTGGCCAAGATATTAAACTAATTTTTTTAAAAAAAAAATCTCTTTAGCATAAAAAAAGAAATTAGGCTGCCAAGTCATGAAATCTTGCAAAAATATATTTCAACTGAAAGCCTGTTTGCGAAGTACATTTTCACTTAAACATAGATCAGTATGTCCAGATGACAGGGATCTATGGGTATTAGTGTAAATGGCAAGTGAATTTTCTAAGCTTCTTACAATTATGTTAGAAGTCTCATGCAGTCACAGAATATGCTAAGAAATGTCTTGGCTGCTTTTCTCTTCCCAATCTCTCATATTAAGTATTTAGGTGGAGGTACCTATTTGGAGTCATCTAGTGACTGAATAAGAAATTTAGCAGGTTAAGTAACCCAGAGAGCTCACTGTTCCTGATATTTAGAAAGCTTCAACACTGCAATTTTGTTTATATATGAAATGACTTCTATTAGTAGATTAAGTCTTTGCTCATTTTAATACCCAAGCTGAATCTTCTTTTAATTAATACACACTTTCAATTCAATCAAAAGACCCAATTATTTTGTATGTGAACATATATAACACATGTGCATTAAATCAGGTTTTGCTTAATTTTGAGGTTCTTGGGGAACCAAATTATCCTGGGTTGAGTTTGCAAATTCAGGATAGAAGAATCAGAAAACTTGGTTTACAACTTTGTTATGTTATTTTGAATGAGTCACTTCATTTCTCTTAGTCTTTGTTTCCTCATCTTTAAAGAGCTGTATCAGTCAAGATGGGGTAGGCTATGTTGCAGTAACAAATAATTACTAAAACATAATGATTCTTCATGGTAGTCACTCAAGGAGCCAGAATTATGGATGGTATATTCCCATGCTTTCATGATTGCTGCAGCAGCAGAAAAGTTGCTCTGGTGATTAAATGTTCCTGTCTGGAAGTGATATATGTCCTTTTACTCAGATTTCATTAGTTAAAGCAAGTCACATGGCTGTATCTAACGTCAAAGGGGTGGGGAAACACAAACCTACCATATGCCTGAAAGGAGAAAAGCTAGATTATTTATACTTAGTCCTATTCACTACCTAATAATTAGCTCTCTAGAATAAATGAAATTACTTATTTGAAAATGCTTGAAATATGCTTAATCAATGACTGCATTTTGTTTGTATTTTTAAAGAAAAGGGAAACTGAATATCCGAAGAATTGTAATATACGAAATAGAATGACTGAACATGTTTAATCACATTTTAAGTTCAGATTTTATTATAATTTATCACCATTCTTAGGCACAAAAGTTAAGGTATACTTGAGGTTCTCTAAAAACATAAACTGGAGCTCTATTTTTTAAATTAAAATACATCTTTTATTTTTAAAAATGAAAAAATAAGAACATTAATGTTAAATGAGGTAAAAATTTTGAAGAAAAATTCAAATTTACTTGTATATGTGGACTTACTTTTTTACTTCCTCATGGTTTACATTTATCTGTGAAGTAAATTAGAGAACAGAGGTAATTCAAGCAAAATTTACTTCTGCTTCATCTTCTTGCAGACAAAATTACTAGGATAAATTACAGCAAAAATTAGTCAGAAGGCTGTGTTTAAAAAGAAAATGAGTTGCTTTCCTTAGTTTGAAAGTCATCAAATCCCTCCTATTTCTGTCTCTTTAGTTTCCAGTGCAATGAAAGCTTCAAGCATGTAGAGAGAAAAACAACAGGACATCTCACCCAAAGAGATCAACCTCCGCAGTGGGCAAAGGTTGCCAAAATAGGCAACCTTCTACCTGGATCAATTTCCACAGTAGGCGATGGAGCCAAAGAAGCCATGGAGAAGTTAGTTTCCACCCAGTTATTCCTCTCCTGGCTCCATCCTTGCTTGAAAATTTCTTAATGAAAATAAGTCCTAGCTGAGCATAGAGAAAGCATGTCAAAGCAAATTCTGTCTATATTAAACCTATACACATTGCTAGCAAGATTCCACTATTTAGTGGGAAGCATACCTCTGTCACTTACAGATGTGTGACTTGAGCAAACTACTAAATCTCCATTTTCCTTTCTGTAAAATGGGTAAAACGTTACTTATCTACACACCTTGCAGGATTTAGGAGAGAAACAAAGGAGACGAAGTTTGTAAAAGTAATCTGCAATGATGAAAATCAAACAAAAAATAAAATAAGATCATGTTTCTCTATCAGTATGCCCTCTATGCTTGTTTATTTTTCTTTCTATACATGAGATGACATTGCCTAGTTCAGCACAATCTTTGTATGTGGCACAATATCCAGGGTAATTGATAGCTGGATATTTCTTCCCATTCAAGAAAACCCAGCATAATTCAAGTGAATACAAGTGGTATTATTAAAGAATAAACTGGATTTCTGTAAATTCATTTTTTAAAGTACATAATTTGCAAATGTGAGTACTTGGGTTTAGTGAAAACCCTTTGTGGCTTATCTCACAACAGATCTAGAGTCTGTGGTAAAAAGCCACTTTTTATTCACTTAGAGAAAGATGGCTTTCTTACAAATCAGGGTCATGCACACTCTCTGTTTTGGCATGAAGAGGTGTGTAACATCCGTCATTGACTCAGACGGTGAACAACAGCAGAGGCCACAGTGGTAATAGTGAAGGCAGCATCCCAACACAGGAAGCTAACACCGACTCCTAAGATAGTCAGTGTTTGCCCAAGCATAAGAATCTGGCAGGTCTCCTTACAGGTTGAATAAATGATAGTGTGTTAGAGAAAGCAAGAATGGATAACAGACTTGTGTATGTCAGATTGTAGGTACCGTTGGAGCTCTCACAAAGGGCATCAGTCATGAGGGGGGACAAATTACAGAGAAATTCACCCATGACTTTCCACATCATTTCCCCAACACTTCTTCACCTCTCGTCAAATCCAAAGAAAATGACTATTTTAGATCCTAACCTGAATGGAGTGTCTCCCCTTGCATCTTGTTGTTGTACCTTTTTCCTGTCTAGTCATAGTATGCACCAAAAACAACATGTGAGGAAAACTTTTACTTAGGATATACCCCGTGGCTCGAGCACATGGTTCATTATAGAGCTGCTAACAGTCAGAGGTTGGCAGTCTTACTTAATGGAATAACAGATAGAGAGCAAGAATAATAGCTCCCTTGTCTCTCAGTCTATTAATAGTGGAACCATTAATATTGCAAAATGACTGGTAATAAGAATATTTTAGGGGGGAAAAAGCCTTTGCAATAAATGAGCTTTTATAGCTAAAAGGCTTGTTAGAACACAAGTCTAATGCTTAAGAAAACAGAGCACCAGTTTACTGAATACACATATATTTATTATTTGTTATTATTGTTTGTTTACTATGTCATTCTTCCTTCCTAAAAAATATGTTTAGTCATTTCCCCCTTAGCGCCAATGTCCAAAAAATACATGGCAACTCATGACCTAGGAATATATTTATATAACATCAACGTTTTCCATGGCAACAAGCCTCGTCAAGCTGTCAGATGCCATGAGACCGACTCCTGAACAGTTCCCAAACAAATATAATTCTAATATAGAAATGAATAAGATCCCTGCCGCTTTACCGTAATATCTAATGCTGAAACCCCAAACATATAGGACTGTATATTGAAAAAAATAAAACTAAAAAGAGAAAAATGATTTACCTCCAAGACGCATGCCACATAAACATTGCCTCCTTAGGAGATGACATGTTGTCATTATCTGAACTCCACTTACTTGAACAGTAGTTTATTTTCAGAAGATTTTGACTATTGTCTTGAAATTCTGGTGATTTTTCTCAAGCAACCATGTTTCTTGACCAGTTAAAATTCAGTAAAAGTTTTAGACACTCAGCGGTGAAAGTAACATTGGTGTCATTGATATTTCCCTTATGAAAATTGTAAAGACTTAAAATTAAGATAATAATGGCAAAACTTTGCATTTTCCATCTCAACTCTCCTATACTTACTCATGGGCCAGAAAGCCACAGAGTAAAACAGACGTTTGATATAGAATTGCAGTCTAGTTCATTGGCCAAAAAATAGATGGCCAAAAAAATAGAAATGGGTAGATAATATATAGGTGAAATGGATATGGATGGATGGATGGATGGATGGACAGATGGATGGATGGATAGATGGCTAGATCTGTCTCATGGCTAAATGACAGCAGTCATTAAATCCAGGATATACAGTACATTTTAGTCAATAAGTTAATTATTATGCAAATTGTGCAGTTGAGAAAACTGAGGTCAAATAAGCCCAGTTATTCATTCTGCATTAAGTTTTTATTAAAGAATAAGAAAATGATGTGGCACATATACACCATGGAATACTATGACGAGTTAATGGGTGCAGCACACCAACATGGCACACGTATACATATGTAAGAAACCTGCACATTGTGCACATGTACCCTAGAACTTAAAGTATAATAAAATATATATATATATATAAAGAATAAACAGTATGAGTTCCTTGCCCTAGATGACCTATGTTCTAGAGCTCAGAAGACATGGATTTTTGTCCTGATTCCTCCACTGTTTTGATTAACTAGTGCTATGTAACAAATTACCCTTAATCTTAAGGGCTTTAAAAAATTAAATTTCTTATGATTCTGTGGGTTGGCAACACTTAGCTGAGCCCAGTCTGGAGGGTGATAACCTACGTGCTGCATTTATCAGGGGGGTCACCTGGGGTTGGGACACTGGGTCAGCTGGATGCTGTCTCTCTCTGTGATGTGTCATAACAACTCCCTCTCTTTGTGGCATCTTCATTTGATCTCTTTTACAGCGTAGCCAGACTTCTAAATGGGGTTAAGGGATTCCAAGAGCACAAAAGCAGAAGTTTCCAGGTCATCTTAAAGCTTAGGCCTGGAAGTAGCACAGTGTCACTTTTGCCAAATACTATTCATTACTGTGAGTTGCAGATTCAAGGAGAAGAGACCACACTACTTTATCACAAATAGTGTAACCTAAATAATTGTTTCCTCAAGTGTCAAACTAAGACATTGGACTATGTTAAAGTCCACCTTTAATAGTTCAAAGTTCCCTGAGCTGTTCAATACATTATTTCATGAAAATGATCTCCAAAACCCATAAAGTCTTAAGCTTAT
Organism: Homo sapiens; assembly: GCF_000001405.40. NCBI lineage: Eukaryota > Metazoa > Chordata > Mammalia > Primates > Hominidae > Homo > Homo sapiens. The sequence goes on from NC_000012.12 coordinate 23,359,156, forward strand.
TTTCAAATCCACATTGAACATCTTTGATGTCTGATGGAATTGGCAGGCATCTCAAATGAGCACATTTTTAACTGCGATCTTACTTTTATATCTGCTCTTACCCCCATAGTCCCTATTTCAATTGATGGCACCTCACACTCCTAGTCATCCTTGTCTGGAAACTGGAAATCATTCTTGACTCCTCTTCCCAAAAACATCCACTAATCAGTAAGTAATAACCATACAACGAAGAAGGTACTATGATTATCCCCACTTTTTAAATGAAGAAAATAAGACACAGAGAGGTTATAAACTGCCTAATGTCACAGAACTAAGCAGAGAAGCCTTGTTCTTAATTATGATGTTGTTCTAGGAACAGTGACCTCAACAGCTCCCAAAAGGATGAGAAGATTTGAATTTCAACTTCATTATTGTAAAGACATGAATTTTTTTGGAAAGTATAATAGACACACTTAGATTGTGTAAGAGATAATTCATAAAATTTTTCAGTTAATAGTGTAGCTCTAGGAGCATGACTTTAGGAAAAGAATCAACTGGCCATCTTAAAAATACTTTGTAGCCAATCATCACACACACAAACATTCACGCGTGTGCACACACACACACACACATATCCCAGCACTTTGGGAGGCCAAGGCGGGTGGATCATGAGGTCAAGAGATGGACCATCCTGGCCAACATGGTGAAACCCCATCTCCACTAAAAATACAAAAATTAGCTGGGCATGGTGGTGCGCACCTGTAGTCCCAGCTACTTGGGAGGCTGAGGCAGGAGAATTGCTTGAACCCAGGAGGCAAAGGTTGCAGTGAGCTGAGATCACGCCATTGCACTCTAGCCTGGTTACAGAGAGAGACTCTGTCAAAAAAAAAAAAGAAAAAAGAAAACCACATTTTGCTTTAGTTAACTTATTAATTATATGGAGGGGTATAATATAAATTCTGTTTCACAGATGAGGAAGACTAAGATGTTCACGTTAAATGACTCAGCCCAGGGGAGCTGGCACTAGAATCAAGTGTAGAAACTGCTAGCAATGAGTAGCTAATAATTAATTAGCTGAAGGAACTGGACATATGGCCTAGGTTAAAATTATTCAGAAGGCCATGATGCTGAGGTCAGACTCTCAGTAACACAATTAATCTGTTACTTTGTATCTATTTTAGTTAAAACCATTGCAGAAAACTGAAGAATGTTAAGCAAGGATCATGTGCTACAAACTTGAACTAAGAAATAGTTTTGAAACTATTTTTAATACAATGTTTGTGTTGGGGGTGTAAGATAAGGTTCCTGAGACACTTGAAGTATATATAAAGGCTTTTCTGGAAATAAGGGAAACTATTCTTGGAAATGTTTCTTCTCCTGAGAGTGAAATAAATCAACAAATTACTATTTAAAGCATGCGAATAATCCCCTTCCCCCAACTTTTTCAAATTGCTTGTTATGGCTTTGCATATTTTTTTCCACAATTTTTCACTGCCAAAAGAAAAATACCACATTGGCAAGGATAAGGAAATTTTCCTTGCAGCCACTGAATGGTTACAGTGTGGCTTGTCACACTCTCTCTCTTCTTGTCTTCTGGCTGCCGTTTGACAGTAGGACCCTCCCTTAGGACAAGGAAATAATTTCTTCCATCTTTGGTGTCTCCTGATGATATATATCAAAGACAATCAGGAAAGAACTTCACAAAGACTTAATAATCACTTATCTATATGGTTTCCCCAAATTCATGAGCTTTCGTTTCACTCAAAGATTGCTTAACTTCCTTAAACATTCCTCAGAGCTGCCCTCTGTTTGTGGTTCCCAATTTCATCCAGGCTTAATGTAAGCTACCATTTAGTTTATATTACCTTCTCCTCCATCCTAGCCTTCTGGCAGTCCATAAGTCTACTATATCTAAATTCATCCATTGCTTGCTATTAAACTCCACTAAATTTATATGTCAAAAATACACATTCATTACAACGAAAACAGAAGAATACAGAAATGTCCATTCCTCCTACTGCCCCAAATTAAGTGTGGAACATTTTTTTTTCTTGCCACATATTCATCTAAAGCCAAGTCATGAGGAGACAGCAGAAGAGGGTTATGAGGATGCTTCGATCTGAGGCTCAGCGTAAATTGTCCACTTCACAACCCTATCCCAAGTGACCCAGTCAGAGTGCTTTCTCATGACATTTCTGGCCTCATCCCAGGGAAACCATAAAATCTTCTGTATAATGCGTAGTTCAGTTGTGTTTTCATCTAATAGAGATAAATTATCTGAGTTTATATTTAGGAAAACAGAAACATTTTACTAATATATTTGGTCCAAACTCTAAAGCCAAAAAAGAGTGAATAAAGGGATCATCAAATTTTAGGGCTGAAAGTGACTTCAGAGAGTATTATAGTCCAAGTCCTAAAGATCCCTCAAAAATCCATCCTCTGTTGTCTTTCTCCACTGTTACTGCCTCCATGTCAGTGGTGTCATCTCCCATGTGGGCTACCGATTCCTCTCCCACTTTCCTGACATCAGGCATCACCCCCTCTCCCCGCCAACCACCCCCCCGCCTTCCACCACCACACACACGCTCGCTGGCAGAGTCCTTTTACTGAGACAGAGGCCTCACCTTATTCCCTGGCTTACAAATCTCCAATGATTTGCCATTCCCTGTTGGATGAAACCTAAACAAAACAGCGTAGGCTTTCCAAACTGTTCCAACATCCCTTACAAAGCTTATCTCTATCCCCTTCCTTCTACCCTATGTTCCGACAGGCCAGACATTTCACTGTTGCCCCAAAAGCATCATGGCTCTTCACAACTTCTCACCTTTGCACAGACTGTAATCTCTGTCTACCTGCCCTCTCCTACTCCTCCCAATAAACTCTTTATCTTTAAAGACCCAAATCAAAATCTGTCTTTTTATGGAGCCTTTACCATTACTCACAGGGCAAGTCGGTGTGTAGTGACTCTATGCTTCACTACCACTTTGTACATATATGTCCACAAGACCACCTGCCATGCTACATCAGGACTGAATTTACCTCCCCCTACTGGACATCCAGCATAGGGGTCGTATCTTTCTGTCTCGCATCTTTCTGTCTTGATTAGTGCTTGCGTAGCAGAGGCACTATACCATTCTCTCTCTCTCTTTTTTTAATATTTAAAATTTTAATATTTGAAAAAAAAAAAGGAGTCTCGCTCTGTTGCCCAGGCTGGATTTCAGTGACACAATCTCGGCTCACTGCAACCTCTGCCTCCCGGGTTTAAGCAATTCTCCTGGCTCAGCCTCCCGAGTAGCTGGGACTACAGGCACCTGCCACCATGCCCAGCTAATTTTTTGTATTTTTAGTAGAGACGGGGTTTTGGCGTCTTAGCCAGGATGGTCTCGATCTCCTGACCCTGTGATCTGCCCACCTCGGCCTCCAGAAGTGCTGAGATTACAGGCATGAGCCACCGCGCCCAGCCAGCACTATAGTTTTCATTCATTCATTCATCTTCTGAATAAACATGACTGATATACACAGTGTTAGTACTGAAGAACATATCAGACATGGCTTCTGCTGTCATATAGATTATAATTAAGTTGGGGAGACAGACACTAGACAAACACAAATGAATATACAATTACTGTCTGTGATATGTACTTTTATAGAAAAGAGCAGAGCACAAGAAAGAGAATAAGGAATGGATAGAATAGCTAATTTAGATGGGGGGTGTGGGTGGCAGGAAAGATATCTCTGAGAATGTGGCATATAAGCTGGAATCTGAAGGATGAGGAGAGGGTAGCCAAGAAAAGAGTGAGAAAAAGCCTGTGTGAAGGTCTCGAGGCAGGAATGAGCTTGTGAAAGGAATTGGAAATAGGTCCAAGCAGCTAAAACCGATTGAGCGAGGGGAGTAGATGGTGGAGAGGCTGGAGGGACAGGCAGGGCCAAATCACAAAGGGTGGGGAATGTATCAGAAGTGCCTTGGGAAGCCCTCCAGGTGTTCATAAATGTTGAATGTAAGTTCCATGAACAGAGGGCACATTACCTTTGGAGTAACAAAAGACTTCGTTCCTCAGAGATACTGGATGAGAGTTGAATTGAGCTAATGCTAGGATACAGGGCCTGAGCAGGGAAGAAGTTATCACTTATTCTTACAGAGTGAAATTATTGCAAGTACCCCGTGGCAAGCTGACTTTATTTGTCACCAAGACCTACAGTTCCAAGTATCTGAAAAATTATGAATCACCCCCTTATGACTGAGAAAAGCATGGAATATGTCCTCAAAGGAGCAATATTCTGATGAAGTACTAGGTCACAAGTGTTGTATAACTAGCACATAATAAGCAGCACAGTAGACAGAGATCTTCACTCTAATTCAAAAAGTCACTTCCAACTCAATCTGCCTAAGATGGAACATACCCTCCTCAGTCTCCCAACCTCCCATTGCTACTTATGTCCGTCAGGCCTCCTCCCAGCATTCCATGTCTCAGTGCATGTCAGTCCCATAAATTCCAGATATCAGCACTGATACTTTCCTGGCCCTCATCACCCATAAACAATTCATCACTAATTCCTGCTTATTTTACTTCCTAAAGATCTCTCAAATCTGTCAACATTCCTCCACCTCCACCACCATCACAGTTAAAGCTGTTATCACCTCTTGCTGAAACCACCTTTGTAAAATGATGACAGGATGAGAAATCTGACTCTATCTTGCTTCTGATCTCCAAGCTGTCCTTGGTCATTCCTGGGCATAGACCAAGTTAACTTTGGGGGGAATTTAGTTGATAGTTTAACGTGAAAGCAAGGGTGATAAGAGTTCCTCCTTAAAACTCACCCCATCTTTGCTCAGGGACCAAAAGCCACTTTTGTAAGACTAATCAAAGTTCTCAAGAATAGGATTATGGGAGGGGCCTGAGCTCTACAAAGATGTAGGTGTAGCTTCTATTATCATTTACTACTCAGGAGTCATGTGGCCAGAGGTCACAAGATTTGTGACTTCCCCAATCGCTTCTATAGATAACATTGCTATTGCAGAACCTAAGATGGGCTTTTTGAGATGTTTTTTGGACTGACCCCACCTGGACTCATGACTCATGGCTCAACTCATCCTGTGTCACCACCCAGAGGCTGACTTGGTGCATGGGGACAATTTTCTACATCCCTCCGATTTCATCTCTGACCAGTCAGTAGCACTCATTCCCTAGCCCCCACCAAATTGTCCATAAAAACCCTAACCTTTGACTGTCCAGGGAGAGTGATTTGAGTGATAACTCCAGTTCTTCTATGTGGGTCAGCTTCGTGTCAATAAAACTTTCTCTACTGCAATGCCAGGGTCTCAGTGAATTGACTTTGCCTGTGCAGTGGGCAGGAAGAACCCGTCAGATAAATACATTGCCTGGACTTCTGCAATAGCCTACTAATGGATCTCCACTCTCAACTCTTCAACCCTCATATGTTTATTCTTTATCCCGAAGTCAGAAGAAGCTCTAAAAATGCAAGCTGGTGGCCAGGCATGGTGGCTCATGCCTGTAATCCTAGCACTTTGGGAGGCAGAGGTGGGCGGATCATGAGGTCAGGAGATTGAGACCATCCTGGCTAACACAGTGAAACCCCGCCTCTACTAAAAATACAAAAAAAATTAGCCGGGCGTGGTGGCAGACGCCTGTAGTCCCAGCTACTTGGGAGGCCGGGGCAGGAGAATGGCGTGAACCCAGGAGGCGGAGCTCGCAGTGAGTTGAGATCATACCACTGCACTCCAGCCTGGGTGACAGAGCGAGACTCCATCTCAAAAAAAAAAAAAAAAAAAAAAAAATTCAAGTTGGTTCATCCTCACCCTTGCCAGTGCTTAAGACAAACTTGCAGAACAAAGTTTACTGTGTACTGTGACTTTGGATACACTAACTTGTCTAGGTTCTGTGTGTTCTTGCTTCTGTATACCTTTCTAGCTTCATCCTGTCTTAAGTTTCCCCCAGCCTCTGTGAGCCTGCCACATTGACTGTCATACAGTTTCATGAAGGCAGTGTATTCTATCTTTCCACCAAACCTTTATACAAAATGTTCCATCTGTTTGGAAAGATCTACCCACTCTTTGCCTTGCTAACACATATGATTTTCATAGGTCAGTTCAACCACTACTGAACTAAGTAAATCTTCCATTGCATCTTTAACTATTGCAAGTCCCCTGGGTCAATCTGAAATCATCAGAAGAATTAGAACCCAATTTAAAATAATTTACTGAAGCACAAAGCTGATATACACATCTGGGTAACACAGACTCCAAAGGAATGAGGTCAGTGCTCAGAAGCTGAAAAGTTAAGGTCTTGCTTATATAGGCAGAAAACAAAGAAATTTAACAGAATAACACATTTCCAAATAAGGCTAGTTCATGAATTACAGCAACTTCATTAGTTACAGCTTGTTTTCTCTTTTTTTTTTTTTTGTTACAATTTAACAGAGTATATTTAACACTCCATCTTAGACAATGTGATTAGTTGTGGGGTCTTTGTATAAGGGAAGTAAGAGGGAAGTTAATCTGCAAGGAAGATCAACAGTTAAGAGAGAAGAAGTCTTCTCTGGCATCGATTAGTCTTTCACAACATCTTAAAAAACAATGTAGGTAAAGAAAACACTAGTCTATAATCAGTGGAAATAAGGTTACAGTTCTCTAGGTTATAGCTGCCTGTCACATCACTCAAGTTTCTTAATTATATTTCTTTAAGGCTCAAAATAATTTAAAGATACAACAGCTTTGATTCTGAATTACTTATTTTCACACCTGTAGTACTTTGTCATAGAGCTCTATGTACCCACCTTGCATAACCTGTAGTTGATGTTTTAGATTTGATTAAGGTGTATGTCTCTCACTATACCACAAATTCTAAATAGCATAAATCCTGTCTGCCTTGATTCTTTATTACATCCTGATTGCCTAGAATGTGGTAGGTACACAAAAATATCTATTTATTGAAGAAGTTAATGCTTATCAGTAGAAAATCATTGCCTGGGTGAAATGAAGTGCTCCTCTTCCCCACTCTGTGCTTTACCAGCCTCTAAACCTGTTTCTTCTCTGGGGTCTCTAAGAGACCTCTTAATAAGTCTGGGAGGAATAAAACTCTCCTCTCACTCAATTTTTTAAAATTCATTAACATACGTCTGCTGATTTCCTATACTAAATATCAGGTAATTGTACCATTGCTGAGTTTAGACAATCAACTTATATTCACTTACAGCGATGCAGAGTTGACCCTCTCCATGCCCACTCTTGCCCCATTTTTCTTGGTTCTCTAGCTTCCCCAGAATGCATCCAGAGATGACTTTCTAAAATGAAAAATTACCTAGCTCCACAATTTCACTCAGGTTAATGTACAAACTCTTTCTAAGGCCTTTTATGAGTTGGCCCTACCTATTCAACCCCACCACTCCCCCTACCTCCTACTCCACACTCCCAAATCACCTTCTCTGACTCACTGTAGCGCCTTTAAACACTCCCTTCCCTCTGCCTCAGCTCTCCTCTCTAATCCATAGTCTACCCATATCACAGGTCTCAACTTGGATGCTACCTCTGCCAGCCCTTCCCATTCTCCCAGACTTTGGATAAGGTGATCCCAGAACACTTGTGAACTTCAATCTTCCAGCTCCTTTCATACAATATTGCAGGTGCTATGTAGTAGACGTGGTTTTGGCCTGAGTCTAAAGTCATTCAGACTTGGCTGGGTAAATTGGATGAACAATGATCGGTAGCCCTGTAAGATATCTTTATGTTTGAGTTGAACACAGTGTTTTTCTGCTAAAGAATGAGAAAATAAGGGTGCATGAATGTTTGAGTAGGATATTATGAGAAGTTGGTATTAGCATCCAGTTCCCTTACAGGATTCATACACAGGTTTTGAGAACTGAAGGCATGGTAGGTAGCTTTATGGCTTTTGTGGGCTCTAGGCACTTTTGTTTTCATGGGCCCCCTCACACACACACACACACACACACACACGCACACACACAGAGACAGAGAGAGAGAGATCAAGAAATATATGTATGACTGTGTTGACATAAAGACAAATATATCAATATTACATAATAAAGCATTTTCTTTAACCTAATAGTTCACTTTTTTCTTCTGATTTAAAAAAGAGAAAGGATGTTCCTGGGCCCCTAATGGTATTATGGGCCCCTAGGTGCCATGCCTCCTGGGTGAGTCAGTCCTCACTGAAGGTCATGCACGCTGGTTTGGCGCCTGGAGTGTTTCACAGGTCTTGAATGGTCTCGGTGGAGTGATGGTTACCGAAGTGGTAGGACACTAGTGGGAGAAAGCAGATGCTCCAAATACGCAACAGACACTAGAAATGCCAAAGGGAGGCTGGGAGGAGGAGATTAGCCCGAGGGGCATGAATATGTTCTTGAAGATGTGTGAGATGGTTTCTTATGAGACCCATAGGAAAGGTCTATCTTGTGCGATTGTCAAGGTCCCGACAGGAAACAGATGGCACACTCAAATAGGGTAGTGCACAGAGGGTTATTTATAAAGGTGGTATTTACAAAGGTGTGGATGTAAGAGAAGCAGAAATCAGAGGGAATGGAAACTGTCAACTTATTCTATATGGGTCAACCTCCAGGGAACAGAGCAGGGTGGACAGGAATGGAAGATGGGTCTGCAGGGGCAGTGGGAAATCTGATCATTTAATGCTAACATGATTTACATTTGTATTCACAGGGTAAAGCTATCTGGGATAATTTAGGTTCAGCCCATTCATTGTTTATATTCTTCAGTAGACTGTGAAGATGGAGACTGTGTCAGGCAGCCCACATTTGTATCCTTAGCACCATTCTCAGTGTGTAGCACATAGTAGATGCTTAATAAAGATTTGTTAAATAAATTAATAAATAAAAGAAACACATTTCTGAGGGTTTTCCTACTAAAGTCAGGGTTGCTAAAGATAATCAGAGAGGTACACATTTTTTCCAAAAGAAGACAGAGACCCAAATGTGGTTTGCAATGTGGTCAGAGGGAGCAAAATGCCTCCCAGACAAAGCACCCATAGCAGAGACCTGGAGCAGATCTGAGGATGGAGCTTCAGACTGTGGAGATTCCGCTACAGTTCTCCCATCACATGAGTATGTTTCTAGAGAAAGTAGTGCCAATGTGAGCATTTACTAAGTTGTTTTTGCCTGTGTGAAATGAAGTATGCCACAACTGATGCTTTCACATGTGAATGGCCTTCCTTTGTAGCAGCTACTTTACCTAAGGGCTGAATATCTGTCCTGCCTCATATGAACTCCATCCCAAGAAATAGTGAAGCAGCACAGATGTGGGCTGAAGTAAGCTGATGATATTACCCTTGGATATCTGTGTGGTTACATGTAGCTGAAATCTCTTAGGCTTAGGTCAATGTGAGTCTTTGATACAGAATATATATAAATGTTTTTCTGAATTGCTATTCAAACTGTGAGCAATGTTTTTAATGACTATTTCTAAATGTGTGTATGTAGTGAACATCAAGTAACCATCCCCTTGAAACCCCATGAGAAGCTCCACTTCAGTGATAGACAGAATGAGCAGAGGAAGTTACTCATTAAGATAAATCACGCTTTGTTCAAAAAAGAGCAGTCATTTTGATATTTTTGTTCCTGATTAGTTAGAGCATGAAAACAGAGTAATTGATACTTGTGTTATGACAATTACTATATTATATTTATTTTGTATTATTTATAACATATTATTTACATAATAATATAGTATTATTTATTTAATAATATATTATTCATATCATAAATAATATAAATATATAATAACATATATAACAATGTGAACATAATACATATATAATAAATAATATAAATATATAACCAATATGTTATTTATTATTACATTATAGTATAAATATTATACTGGTATATTTTGGTTTTATATTTATAGTATCAACCAATAGGTTATTTATTATTAACACACGTTGTATTAATAATAAATGACCTATTACATATCCCAGAAAAAGTAAATATATGAATGATAATGGGATCAGATTTTTCATGTTTGGAAAACAGATTATAAGTATTGAAAGCAAGATGCTAGAATAAGTGGTTTTTTTATTAGAATTAGAAGTATCTTTATGAATGCATAGGATAGAAATAGAGACAAAGAGAAAAAGACACAGAAGTTTATGTCTAAGTATGTATGTATAGCCATAAATACATATACATACATATATCTCTAACTTTGTCCACTGAGAAGACTTGGGAGCAGCACATCTCAGTAATAGTAAACACATTTATCTCCCAGATCTTGGCTTCTAAATAGCATTCTGCACCACAAGGACCAAGGATCTTTGGAGAAAGAGTTGAGTCCGGGACTGCAGCAAAGGAAGTATAAGATTAGTCTGGAATAGCTTTTTGCGCTGGAAATCAAGGAACTATTTGTAAAATGATTAAAAACATGTCAAAAAGGATGTGGAGGGCAGCTTGAAAGGATTGCCATTGATCAAATCTGGGATAATTTAACATTAAAATAAATAACACTTATAACAAATTATAACTCATTGAACAAATTTGGAAACCATGAGTTCAAACAATTATATATGAACGAATGAAATACAAAAATAATAAATTTAATATTTGATGAGAAACAAGCTATGTTACAGCACTTCAGAGTTCCCATAAAAATGCTTATTGTCTAAAAAGGAGAAGAGTAACTTTAAAGTAGGGAAAGCTGGCAGGCAGTGCTTTAAACAAGTGATCTAGATAAATATGAAGAGTGGGCCTGTCAAAATCATGCACCCTTAGATAAGATGCAATAAAAACAGAAGAGCATCATTTTGTGATTCTTTTTGTCAAAGATGCATAATCCATTCCTAATCATGAGAAAACACCAGACTAACCCAATTTGAGAGATATTCCACAAGATACCCAGCCTGTCATCTTTGAAAGTATCAAGGCCATGAAAGTTAAAACTGACAAACTATTCCAAAATGAAGGGAATTAAAGAGGTAAGAAAAAGAAATCCAACTCAAGATTGTACATTGAATTCTTTTGTTATAAAAGACATTATGAGGACAACTGGAAAATTTTGAATGAGGTCTGAGGATTAAATGGCAGTAATTCATCAGTGTTAATTTCCTGATTTTGATGGTTATATTGTGGTTATGTAAGAGAATGTCCTTATTCGTAGGAAATACACACTAATGTTTCAGGGGCAATGGGGCATAGGTCAAAAATTTATTCTTCAATGATTCCAGGAAAAACACTTATCTTTGCACTATATTTGCAACTTTTTGTAAGCTTGTGAGCCTTTTAAAATTTAATCTAAAAAGTTTTTTATCATAAGCACTCTTCAATGAGTATATCAGCTGTGACACAGGGTTATCATTAGCTTAGGATATGCATATCACAGGACACAGAAGTAGATCAGTATATGAAACTAAACAAAGCAAAGAAATGAAAAGGGTTCAAACCAGAATCCCCACAGACACTACCCAGACTGTGCTGAACTAAGAGATGTTCTGTTGATACTCTAGTAGTTAGGGATTGATAGTTACTGGTATTTGTCCTGTAAAATTATATTTGAGTAACTGTTCAAAATTTACTTAATGGTGAAGGTTCACTTAATCTCAACTTCTTTTTGTTGAATTTTTGAAGTTCTGTATGTAGAAGATGTCAACTTGCAGGGATTCGGTGGTTCTTGCTCTTCTGGTGAACAAGTAGCATGCCTTCACAAATGATCACCGAGTAGAAAAAATTATCAGGAGTTCAACCCATTGAATTTGATGGAAGCCCAGTCTGCCTTATTCAAAAAGCCTATATGGCAAACCCTAGCTAGGAGTTTAAGTGAAGTACAATTCTATTCATTTTTTTGGGAAAGGGAAACTCACTTCCAACTCACTCTACTTCTAATCAGTAGAAAAAACACAATACACATAATATATACACTCAGACACACACACATAATATATATACACACACACTAAATATATATACATGCTATATAGCGTTATTAAAAAAATAGAGTTGAGAGACTCGCAAGCTACCCAAGTCTATTGAACCTAAGTAAAAAAATATAGATTTTTTTGCAAATTTCTCAATTTCTAATTTGTAAATATTTACTAATGTAAAGTCATAATTTATATAATTTTATATCTAATGCAGAAAAAATCTTATAAATTTATTATTCTACATTCCATATTTCTAAATTATTGTCTTTTAAAAGTTGATTTGCCTTTATTTTTTTTTCATTTGTCAAATTCCTTCTCTATAAAAATAGGGTTTGTTTGGTGTTTCTCTACAAAATGGTAAATATAATAAAAATTTTCATAACTATGATAACTAAAAATGTAGATATGTGAAATCATTGACATCTGTACCCACAGTTTACTTTAGCCTTTTTTATACCAAAGGGGTAATAAATCATGGGTCCAATGTAATTTAAACTGCAATGTAGAATATAATGAAATATTTACTGTATTTTTTGCCTTCATATTGTTGATTAATAAGAAAAAATGTACATTTCCCTTTAAAATACATTGTGTTTTTAAAGGAGAATAATAGATTTTTTTCCCCAAATGGAACTCAAGTACAGAATACTAATTTCATCAAAGGTGCTAGCTAGTTGTAGTTTTTTTCCCCCATTTTTAACCTATAAGTGGCTTTCCCTGGCATTAATCACATCGTTCCATGTATCTATATTTATAATTTTAACAGATACTTCATAAATATGGAATCAGGCTATTATGTTGATAATGTGCCACTTTTCTATAAATACAGAGATAGGGTAATTACCACTAGAACTATTTGATAAAATTCAAAAATAGATAAATAATGAATAAGTCTTCCATTCAGTCATTAAAATTCAGAAAACAAAACAAAATATATTTAGCCATTATCCTTTTGATGAATTTGGCTCTCTGCCTTCAAACCACTACCAATTTCAGCTGGCATATAAGGAGCGTTTTATGAATACTGCCCAGTATGCGATGAACTGAACTGGAGACACTAGTCAATAACAGCCCATTAGCATTACACAAATGAAGAGGCAAATTAAGCATGAAAAATATTTTAAACAATATAAAAATTGATGTGAGAAATACAAAAATCTATGAAATTTTAAGTGAAATTCAGCCGTTTTATAATCCAAATTATGTTTTGAAACTAGAATACAAGATTATTCATAGATATATGTCAGTTGATATCAATTCCCATATAAGTATTGCAGAATGATAACATGATTGTTTACCTGTTTAAAACTTTATTACTGTAATGTGATATGGCCACTATAAAGGGCTGATATGTTTTCAGGTTGCATTAGTACTAGAGGGTCCAGTTAACGTGAATTAATCTCACTCTACATGATCCTCAAACTCGTATGTGGAGAATTGTGTTCAATCATTCATTCAAGAAATATTGCTTTCCTATTATGCAATGGGCTTTTATTTATTCAATACATTTCTCAACAGATATTTATTAGATACCCACATAATTTGGAATGGGACCTGTGATAATTCTTACAATAAACAATGAATAAGACATTGTTTCTGGTTGCTCAAATAAGTAGACAATTTTAAAACCTCAATAAGACTGTGATGGTGTTAACCACTTTGTGCTACAACAACACAGAGAAGAGAACCCAACTAGCCTTTAAGAAGGGATTTCTGCTGAAAAGACTCCTCCTTCTAAGAAACTTTTTTAGACTGCCTGGTGTATGTTAGATTCTGGCACCCTTTGTCTTTTCTTGAGGCCAAGTTTTAAAGTTTGAAACTCCATGTCTATTTGAGAGGTTTTTCTGTTCAGTCTCCTCCATGCAATTTCAGGCTCTAAAAGAATAAGGTCACACCTATTTTGTATGCCATTGCTTCTCCATTACTTGGAACCTAGCATGTGTTTAATAGCTGACTGTGTGAAAGAGATAATTTCACGTTTGAACTCCAAGGATAGCTAGACGTGTGTTCAGTAAAAAAAAAGAAAGAAATTCATTTTAATAGATGGCCCAAAAGCACAAAACTGAAAAAAAAAATCATAGCGTATTTACAAACTAAGGTAAATATAGTCTTACTGAAAATGGCAGTTAGGGAAGGAATGTCAGGGGCCAAGGGAAAGGTAGGAGTTGCATGAAGGAGGGAAGAGTTGCAAGAGTTACAACTAAAGAAATGAGCAGAGTCTAGAGTCTAGGCCCAGGAGAGTCTTGAGAAATAACTAAAACAATCTACATAAAGTAGTTAACAAAATATCTGGCATGTATTAAGCATTTGATCTTTAATCATTAATTTATTCTTTCACTTAGCGAACATGTATTGGTAGATCATAGGTTTCAGGAATTTTTCTAAATATGAGGGATTGGCATTTAACAAAATTCAATAATTCCTTCATTCATGGAGTTTGCATTCTGGTGGGTGAGGGTGAGACAAGAGATAAGCAATAAATAAATAATTAAACCAGAAACCTTAATGTGGTCATAAAAGCTGAGAATAAAGCTGGGGGATGTGATGTAATAACTGGGAAGCTATATAATATGGTCAAGAAAAGACTCTCTAAGAAGATGACTTTTAAGTTGAGAATGAGTGATAAGATAGGAAATGAAGACCTAGGAATGAGCATTCTGGGCAATTTTTTTTTTTTAATGTGGGAACCACCTTGGTTCATTTTTTTTTTTTTTAATGTGGGAACCAGCTTGGCATGTTTCAGGAAGACAAAGAGAACCATTTTGATGGGAGTGTAGTGAGCTAGAAGAGTCACTGATGGAGATGATTTGAAGAGCTAGGCAGAAACCATATAATTTTCCTTCTTATAATTAAGAATCTGAGCTTTATTTTTAGTGCAATGAGGAAACAGAGGGTTTTAAAGAAGGGGGGTTATGTTAGCTGACTAATGTTTTAGAAATATTATTTTCAGTGATGTGAAATGACTAGATTTTGTACTGAAGGGAATATGAAAATATAAGTTAGCCATAGTGCCTGCTCAGTGGAGAAAAAATAAGTGAATAATTTTATAATATTGTTTGGTGGGGATGTAATAAGGGAAGAGAAACATTTGCCTTTGGGGGTAAAAGGCTTATCATAGATGATCCAAGTCATCACCCTCTCTCACACGTACTATTACAATAGTCTCCTAACCTGCCTCACCACTTCCACTATTGCCCCCATTCAGTCTATTCCCAAAACAACAACCAGAGTGATCCTTTAAAACAGTCAAACCACCATGTCCTCCAGGTTCTTCCATGTAGTTGCAAATGACAGGTTTCCTTCTTTTTAAAGGCTGAATAGTATTCCCTTTTGTATACATACCACATTTCTTTCTCCGTTTGTCCACTGATGGACACATAGGTTGATTCTATATATTAGCTATTATAAATAATACTGCAATAAACATGGGAGTGTAGATATCTCTCAACAGGCTGATTTCATTTCATCTAGATTTATTCCTAGTAGTGGGATCGCTGGATCATATGATAGTTCTATTTTCAATTTTTTGAGGAACCTCCATACTGTTTTCGATTATAGCTATGCCAATTTACAATCCTACTAACAGTGTGCGGGTATTCCCTTTTCTCCACATTCTTGCCAACATGTATTATCTTTAGTCTTTATCTTTATCTTATCTTTAGTCTAACAAAGGTGAAGTGATCTCTCATTGTGGTTTTAATCTGCACTCCCCTGATGATTAGTGATGGTGAGCACTTTTCATAACCTGGTTGGCCATTTTTATGTCTTCTTTTGAGAAATGTCTGTTTAGAGAGTAGAATGGTGGCTACCAGGGAGGGGTGGTGGTTGGGGAGATATTGGTCAAGGATTCAAAATTTCAAGTAGACAGAAGTAATAAATTCAAGAGATTTATTGTACAACATGGTGACTATAGTTAATAATAAGGTATTTTATTTTGCAAATCACTAAGAGAGATTTTAAGTGTTCTCATCACAAAAACGGAGCATGTAAGAAAACATATGTTAATTAGTTCAATTGGACCATTTCACAATGTATACATATGTCAACACATCATGTTTTACATGATAAATATATAAATATATATATATATTATTTGTCAATTTAAAAAATAAAATTACCCTTTTTTTCAAGATGGTTGACCAGGGACTTCAGATGCCAAATCTCCTCAGAAAGATCAAGTTACAGGTGAATGGCAATGATTCAAATGGAAAGCTGAGGAAAGAGAGCCAGGACCTGTCAGAGCCCATGGGAAGAAGCTGGGTTACAGAAAAGGAAAGTAGCAAGTTTGGCAGAGATTGACCCTCGAGGAACCCAGAACCATATGGAAATGGTAGGTGGGGTGCTTCTCTGCTCCACTCCCCCTATGACAATTTGCTGACATCCAAAGTGTCAGCATGCCACTCTGTCCTTGTGATCCTGAGCACCACTGTTGGTTGCAATTTTAAAACTTCCTGGAAACAGGAAACCAGGTGGCCAGCTCACACAGGTATGCTCATACTCCTCTCAGGCCTGAACCAAAATAGAAGACACCATACTGGACCTGCATCCTTTCTGAACAACTGCCCTGCCCAGTGAACCTCAGCCCTTAGGTCACTGCATCACCAGCGTGCCCACAAACTTACCCCACAACTCACTCTGCTTTGGCAACAACAGGGGACTGGTAGGGCCCTGCCAGGTCCCTGCAGCTGCAGCATTCCCCAAAATCGAGCCCTTGACATGAACTTCCCCTAGGGGAGGGAGGAGCACAGTCCACCAAAGCCCGCCCTGAGACAATGGAAATGTAGGTGTGGCACCAATCACTGAAGCAGTCAGCACCAGTGGCCAGGAACACATGTGAGGAGAGGATTATTTTCCCCTCCACCTAACCCTGTTGTGGATGGAGAAGAGGCTCCCCTGACTGGAAGCCAGTGCATGAGCACTTAGAGACAGCCTTTTCATCATTTTATTCTGCAGCTGCACCCTGTTGAAAGTGAGCCCATGCCACATGGGCTTCCACAAAGAATGGGCTCATCTCCCTCTCCTCACACACAACAGCAGTGTCCCAGCAACATAGGGCAGACAAACTGCAGAGCTGTCTGCTCTGGACTAAGGGGAGAGGCTCTGCCCCAAACCCATTTTGGTGGTCCAGCTAGAGGAGTGTTTCCACAGTCCTCAGCCTTGACTGGGAGTCAAGGGACATCTACATGAATTGAAGATCATGACCCTGCATCAGGGGCAATAGGGAAGTGGATTCCAGTCCTGCCTGCCTAGGTTGAGGAACTGGTGCAGCCCCCACCATTACCCTACCCCTGAGACCTCAGCCACCCTAACATGATTCCTCATTCCCACCCCTATCCACGAACAGAGCAGGCAGCTCCACTCATTAATGGGCACCTGAAAGTGAGCCGGCTCTTATTCTTAAGCACCACCTACTGGATAGGAGATTGATTTGCACCACCAAATAGTAAACCTGCTGTCAGGACATAGCACTAGTATATGAGATAAGCTTCCTGAGACCTCCACACTCTTAGCACTGCAGAAGATAGTGTGTCAGCACATATAACCAACATATCACTTTTTAAAAAGCAGCATTTGAGAAGGCAGCCGCACAAAGGCTACCTCAACAACGAAAAAACCGACACAGAGCCTCAGCCCGTTGAAAGAACCCAGAAATGAAGTCAAATGACAGCATAATCCACACTCATACACTCAAGGAAACAAATAATTAAAAAAATTTAAAAGGCCTTTTCAAATTATAGCATATGCAAATATAAGAAGCAACAGCTCCTTCAGATGAGATAGAATAAGTTCAAGAACTCTGGCAATAAAGACAAAGTGTTTTGACACCAACAGAGACTGCGTTCACTCTCTACCAATGAACCCTAACCAAAATGAAAATTCTGAAATGGCACATAAATAATTCAAAGTATGAATTGCAATGAAGCTCAATTAAATTCAAGAGAAAGATGAAAACCACCACACAAAAAACAAACACAGAAAAATGATTCAGGTTATGAAAATGAGAAAGCTATATTTAAAAAAAAAGCTAGAACTTTGGGAGTTAAAAAATTAACTGAATGAATGTAAAAATATCATTAAAGTCTTTAATAATAGACATGACCAAGCAGAAGAAAGAATTTTAGAGCTTGAATGCTGGTCTTTTGAATTAACATAGTCAGACAAAAATTAAGAAAAAATAATTTTACAAAATGAACAAAGTCTTCAAGAAATATGGGATTATGTACAGCAACCAAACCTGTGACTAATAAGCATTCCTGAGAGAGAAGAAAAAGTAATCAACTTGGAAAACATATTTGAGGGAATGATTCAGGAAAATTTATCTAATCTTCCTAGAAGTAGATATCCAGATACAAGAAACTGAGAGAACACCTGTGAGATACTTTACAAGACAAACATCACCAAAGCAATATAGTCATCAGACTATCCAAGGTAAATGCTAAAAAAAAATCTTAAAGGCAGCTAAAGAAAAGGATTAAATCACCTATAGAGATAAACCCACCAGACTAACAGCAGACTTTTCAGCAGAAACCTTATAAGCCAGAAAAGATTAGGGGCCCAATTTTAGCCTTCTTAAAGAAAAAAAAAATGCCAGCCAAGAATTTTGTATACTGCCAGAATAAGTTTCATAAACAAAGGAGCAATAAAGTCTTTCCCAGATAAGCAAATGCTAAGAGAATCTGTCACCACTAGACCAGACCTATAAGAAATGCTCAATGGCATTCTAAAGATGGAATTGAAAGGACAATACTTGCTACCATAAAAGCATACTTAAGTTCAAAGTTCACAGATCCTATGAAGCAATTACACAATTGAGACAACAAAGCAACTAGCTAACAACATGACAGGAACAAAACCTTATACGTCAATATTAATTTGAACATAAACAGTCTAAATCCTCCACTTACAAGACACTGGCTGGAAAATGGGATTTTAAAAAAGCAAGACCCAACCATCTGCTGCCTTCAAGAAACCCACCTATGCACCCAACACCAGGTCACACAGGTTTATAAAACTAATACTATTAGACTTAAGAAAATAAACATACAATAATAGTGGGAAACTTCAACATCCAACTGACTGTACTAAACAGATTATTGAGACAGAAAACTAACAAAGAAACTCTGGACTTAAATTAGACTCTTGAACAAATGAACCTAATAGACATCTACAGAACATTCCACCCAACAATCACAGAATAAACACTTTTTCTCATCTGTGCATAGCACATTGTTCAGAATTGACCATATGTTTGGTCACAAAGCAAATCTCAATAAATTAAAAAAACCTGAAATCATATCAAGTATTTTCTGAGACAACAGCAGAATAAAATTAGAAATCAATACCAAGAGGAACTCTCAAAGCACACAAGTACATAGAAATAAAACAACTTGCTCCTGAATGACTTTTGGGTAAATAATGAAATTAAGGCAGACATCAAAATAAATTTGAAACAAATGAAAATAGAGACAGCATACCAATATCTCTAGGATACAGTAAAAGCAGTGTTAAGAGGAAAGTTTATAGCATCAAAGGCCTACATCTTACAATGTAGAAAGATTTCAAGTTAACAACCTAACATCACACCTGAAAGAACTAGAAAAACAAGAACAAATCAAACCCAAAGCTAGCAGAAGAAAAGAAATAACAAGGATCAGAGCAGAATTAAATGAAATTGAGATTTTAAAAAGTCATACAATAGTTGAATGAAACAAAAGGTTAGTTCTTTGAAAAGATTAACAAAGTAGACTTAGGTAGATTAGCCAAGAGAGAAAGAGAAGATTCAAATAAGCAAAATTAGAAATAATAAAGATGACATGAAAACTGATACCATAGAATACAAAAGTTCCTCAGAGACTTACTATGAACACCTCTGTGCACAATCTATAAAGCCTAGAGGAAATGGATAAATGTCTGGAAACATACAACCTCTAAAGATTAGACCAGGAAGAAATTGAAATATTGAACAGACCCATAATTAGTTATAAAATTCAATCACTAATAAAAAAATCTATCAACCAAAAAAAGTCCAGGCGCAGACGGATTCACAGCTGAATTCTACCAGACACACAAAGAAGAGCTGTTACCAATCTTATTGAACCTATTGCAACCTAACTTATTCTATAAAACCAGTTCATTCTGATACCAAAATCTGTCAAGGACACACACACACAAAATGAATATCAATAGGCCAATATCCCTGACGAACATAGACACAAAAATTCTCAAAAACTACTAGAAAATCAAACACAGTAGAACATGAAAAAGGTAATTCATCAAAATTACATGGATTTTATACCAAGAATGCAAGGTTGGTTCAACATATGCAAATCAATAAATATGATTCAACAAGTAAAGATAATTAAAAATGAAAATAATGTGATCATCTCAGCAGATGCAGAAAAAGCATTTGATAAAATCCAACATTCCTTCATGCTAAGGAGCCTCAAAAATCTAGGCATTGAAGGAACACACCTCAAGATAATAAGAGCTATCTGCAACAAACCCACAGCCAACATCATACTGAACAGCACAAGTTAGAAGCATTTCCCCTAAGAATTAAGGCCAGACACAGTGGCTAATACCTATAATCCCAGCACTTTGGAAGGCCAAGGCAGGTAGAACACCTGAGGTCAGGAGTTTGAGACCAGCCTGGCCAACATGGTGAAACCCTGTCTCTACTAAAAAAAAAAAGTCAGCCGGGCATGGTGACAGTCACCTGTAATCCTAGCTACTTGGGAGGCTGAGTCACGAGAATTGTTTGAACCCAGGAGGAAGAGGTTGCAGTGAGCCGAGATTGCACCACTGCATTCCAGCCTGGGGGACAGAGTGAGACTCTGTCTCAAAAAAAAAAAAAAAAAAAAAAACAACAACAACAACAAAAAAACAGAGTAATCAGGCAAAAGAGTTGAATAAAAGGCATCCAAATTAGAAATAAAAGACATCTATTAGAGAAGAGTAATGTTAAATTATCTCTGTTTGCAGATATATGATCTAATACTTAGAAAACTCTAAAGATTCCTCCAAAAAATTCCTAAATCTGATAAATCCTGAATCAGTAAAGTTTCAGGATACAAAATAATGCATGAAAATTAGTTGCATTTCTATACATCAACAATGTTCAAGCTGAGAACTAAATCAAGTACTTATTCCCATTTACAATAGCCTAAAATATTAAAATACCTAGAAATATATTTAACTAGGGAGGTGAAAGACTTCTATAAGGAGAACTACAAAACACTGATGAAGCAAATTGTAGATGACATGAACAAACAGATAAGCATCTCATGCTCATGGATAAGAAGAATCAATATTGTTAAAATGACTATACTGCCAAAAGCAATCTACAGATTCAACACAATTCCTATGAAGTTGCCAACTTCATTTTTTACCGAATTAGAAAGACAATTCTAAAATTCATTTAAAACCAGAAAGTAGCCCAAATAGCCAAAGGAATCCTAAGCAAAAAGAACAAAGCCAGAGGCATCACATTACCTGACTTCAAACCATACCTCTTACGTCTATAGTAACCACAACAGCATGCTAGTGGTACAAAAATAGACACATAGATCAATGGAACAGAATAGGTAACCCAGAAATAAATCCACACACCTACCACTAACTGACCTTTGGCAAAGTCAACACAAATATATACTGGGGAAAGGACACCCTATTCCATAAATAGTGCTGGGAAAATTAGCTATATGCGGAAGAATGAAATGGGACTCTTATTTCTCACCATATATAAAAATTAATTCAAGATGAGTTAAAGATCTAAATGTAAGGCAAGAAACTATGAAAATATTAGAGGAAAAACTCTTCTGGATTATTGGCCTAGGCAAAGTCCATGACCAACTCCTCAAAAGCAAACACGGCAAAAAAGAAAATAGACAAATGGGACTTCATTAAACTAAAGAGCTTCTGCACAGAAAAAAAAAAAATCAATGAGTAAACAAACAACCTACAGAATGAGATAAAATATTTGCCAACTATGCATCCAACTAAGGACTCATATCCAGAATCAATAATGTACTTAAGCAAATCAACAAGAAAAAAAAATAACCTCATTTAAATGTGGGCAAAGGACATGAACAGACACTTCTAAAACAAGACATACAAGTGGGCAACAAACAAAAAAGAATGAATGCTCAATATCACCAGTCATCAGAGAATGCAGTGAGATACCAATCACACGAGTCAAAAATGGCTATTATCAAAATTTTTAAAAATAACAGATGTTGATGAGGATACCAAGAAAAGGGAACATTTATACCCTGTTGGTGGGAATGTAAATTAATTCAGCCTCTATGGAAAACAGTACGGAGATGTTTCCAAGAACTATAAATAGAACTACCATTCAACCCAGCAATCCTTCTACTGGGTATCTACCCAAAGGAAAGGAAATAATTATACCAAAAATATACTTGTATGTTTATTACAGCACTATTCACAATAGCAAAATCATGGAATTAACCTAAGTGTCCATCAGTGGTTGAATGCATAAAGAAAATGTGGTTTATATGCAGCATTAAATACTATACAGCCATAAACAATAATGAAATCATGTCTTTTGCAGCAATTTGTATGCAACCAGAGGTAATTATCATAAGTGAAATAACTCATAGAAAGTCAAACACTGCATATTTTCACTTATAAGTGGGAACTAAACAATGGGTACATATAGATATAAAGATAAAAAATAAGAGACACTGGGAACTCCAAAAGGGGAGAGTATGGAAGGGAGGCAAGGGTTGAAATACTACCTATTGGGTACTACATTCACTACTTGAGTGATGAGTTCACCTGAAGCCAAAATCTCAGCATTACCCATGTAACAAATCTCCACATATACCCCTTGAATCTAAAATAAAATAACTAAATAAACAAACCATGTGTGTTAGGCTGGTTCTTGTGTTGCTATAAAGAAATACCTAAGGCTGGGAAATTTATAAAGAAAATAGGTTTAATTAACTCGCAATTCTGCAGGATGTACACAGAGCATGACATTGGCATTGCTCATCTTCTGGTGAGGCCTTGGTCTGCTTACAATCATGGCAGAAGGCAAAGTGGGAGCAGGCATGTCACATGGCAAGAGCAGGGAGCAAGAGAGAGTGAGAGGGAATGCCACACATTTTTTAAACAACAAGACCTAGGGAGAATTCACTCACTGTCATGAGGACAACACCAAAGGGATGGTGCTCAACTATTAATGAGAAATCCACCCCCATGATCCAATCACCTCCCACCAGGTCACACCTCCAGGATTGGGGATTACAGTTCAACATGAAATTTCGCAGGATAAACATCCACACTATATCATCACTACAACAAACAAACATAGTCATACATTTTCACTCTGCTGGTCAGAATCCTCCAATGTCTTCCATGTCATTCGGAGTAACAGCCAAGATCCATACAGCAACCAGGGAGAACATACACAAGCAGACTCTCCTGCTACCTATTTTTATTCATCACCTAATACTCTCCTTCCCTCTAATTCTACTCCAGTCTTTCTAGGCTTTTTGTGGTCTCTCAAGCCAACAAACAGTTCCTCGCCTCAGAGCCTCTGCATTGACTATTTTTTTTTCTGCCAAGTGTCCTCTTCCTAAAACCGTTTTTATGGCTCAATTCCTCTCTTTATTCTAGTTTTTGGTAAAACACCACCTTTACCAGTAATGCTAATACTCATTGCTTGGATAAAACATACATACTGTGGTTGGCTGATAATGGCCCCCCAGGATATGGCCATATCTTAATCCCTGGAACCTGTGAATATCACCTTATTTAGAAAAAGGGTCTTTGAAAGTGTGATTAACTCAAGGATCTTGATTTTGGATTATACTGGATTATACCAGTGGGCCTTAAATGCCATCACAAGTGTTTTTATAAGAGAGAGGCAAAGAGAAATTAGACTCACAACAGAGAACATGGTGATATGAAGACGAAGACAAAGACTGAACTAATGCGGCCTCAAGTCAAAGAATGCCAACAACTACCAGAAGCTGGAAGAGCTAAGGAACAGTTTCTAGCCCTAGAGCTTCGGGTGTGAGTGTGGTCCTACTGAAAACTTGATTTCAGACTTCCGGCCTCCAGCAATGTGTAAGAATAAATTTCTGTTCTTTTAAGATACCAAGCTTGTGTGATTTGTTAAAGCAATAATAGAAACTACTATAAATATCAAACACCTAGCCTTTTTACCTTGCTTTGTTTTTATTCCATAGAATTTTTTATCTCCCATAATATGCAATAGCTTTTGTTTGTGGTTTTAAATCACAGGCTGCTAGAATGTAAACACCATAATGACAAGAACATTTTGTGCAGTAACTCATTCTAGAACAATGACTGGGACATAGTTCTCAATGATCACTTCAGAGAGGGAGCAAAGAGAGGAAGAGAGGGTGGAAGGGAGGGACAAGGGAGGAAGAATTGAGTCTTAAATTTTTCCAGGTGGAAACGGATAGTACTCTAGGGCAAGGAGGATGTGTCCTGTTCTTATTACTGTCATTATAAGGGCAGGATAATTAAGTATAGTCAGAAGAAAGCAACAATGATAGTGAAGGGAGTAGTACACTAATGTGCAAAATGTGATTGTAGG
This sequence comes from Homo sapiens, assembly GCF_000001405.40. Lineage (NCBI taxonomy): Eukaryota > Metazoa > Chordata > Mammalia > Primates > Hominidae > Homo > Homo sapiens. The sequence goes on from NC_000012.12 coordinate 23,383,627, forward strand.
AGCTAGACATCTCTAATTTAGAGAAGATAATTCTTGGTCTAAGTGTGGGAAATAGATTACAATGAAATGGATCAATGATTAAAAGCTTTGCAAAAGTGTATTCTATCATAGATATGGGGAGTAGAATGGTGGTTACCAGAGGCTGGGGTCAAGGGGATGAGGAAAGTGGGCATGTTGGTCAAAGGGTACAAAATTTCAGTTAGACTGGAGGAATAAGTTTTAGTGATCTGTTGCACTGCATGATGATCATAGTTAATAATAACATTGTATATTTCAAAATTGCTAAAAGTATAGTTTTCAAATGTTCTCACTACAAAAAAATAAGTAGATGAGGTGATGGATATGTTAACTAGTTTGATCATTCCACAATGTATACATATATCAAAACATTACATCGTACCCCATAAATATATACAATTATTATTGTAAATTAAAAATTTTTTTAAGAGGAAGTTTTGAAGAAATTCTAAAAGTTAACAGTGCATGTATATTAGTACACCCTTTATGGAAAACAGTACGGAGATTTCTCAAATAACTAAAAATGGAACTACCATTCAATCCAGCAATCACACTACTGGGTATCTACCCAAAGGGAAAGGAATCATTCTATCAAAAAGACACCTGCACTTATACGTTTAAAGTAGCACTATTCACAATACCAAAGATATGGAATCAATGTAAGTGTCTATCAATGGATGTTCAGATAAAGAAAATGTGGTGTATATACACAATGGAATACTATTTAGCTATAAAAAGAGTGAAATCATGCCTTTTGTAGCAACATGGATGAAACTGGAGGCCATTATCTTAAGCTAAACAACTCTGCCACACAGTCCAGTACCACATATTCTTACTTATAAGTGGGAGCTAAATAATGCACACACATGAGCATAGAGTGTGGAATGATAGACATTGGAGACTCCGAAGGGTAGGAAGGTGCAAGGGGAGTGAAGGATGAGAAATTACTTAATGGGTAGAAGTATATTATTCAGGTGATGGATACAACAAAAGCCCAGATTTTACCACTAAGCGATATATCCATGTAATAAGACTGCACTTGTATCCCTTCAATTTGTACAAATTTTTAAAAAGAAAGAAAAGAGAATGTTATCTACATTAGAACACTAGAATTGACTGTATCCATAACATATTTCATGAATGGAAAGATGGACAGGACTAGACTGGCTCAATATTCATCAGGAATATTATAGGAAAGATTCCCACATTATGTAACAAGTTTGAAAGGCATCGAGAGTTGCTTCTATTTAAATTGGAACCAAAATAATCATGCCAATAAATGTTTCTGCTCTGATTTAAACAGTAGATTAGGACACCAATTCTGAGATAGCATTGATAATTTATAATAGTTTATCTATCCGCTTTTTTGTTTCAATAAAACAGAGGAATAAATAACTCCTATCAAAATGATGAGTCACTAGAGACTGGTTTTCAACAGAATGGGGAGTACATCAGAATCTCTTAAGATGTGAGTGGAGTCATGTATACTGTGTAGTTTTGGGAAAAAAAAAAAGATGGTTCTGCTTTGCTCACTGAGCTGGACATGTCTCTGCATTTATTCATTGCCCTAAATCAAGGCTAACCTTTTAAAAAAATCTAATGATTATCCTTTTAAAATGAACTGAAACACTTGATTTTTGGAGGGAGGGGAGCTTCAACCTTCTGTATGGTTCCTTATTTTTTCTCTTTGGATAAGATTTAAAAAGAACTAATAGTGATAATGAATGGAAGACCTTTCCTAAAATCACTTGCTTTTTAGAAGTAAAACATTATACAAAAGAAAGCTTAATGTTATTTAAATGATTCTTAAAAACTAACAATTATTTAAGGGAAATTAAGAAATTTAAGTTTTTTATTTTGCTTATTTAACATTAGGTGGAAAGCAGGGAAAGGAGGGGAAAAAAGGAAATAACTTACCAAAACTATTTTAAGGAAAGTTAGAAAACCTGAATAGCTGTATAAATGTTAAGCCAAATAAAAAAATAAAATATTTTCACACACAAAAAAACAGAAAAGTACCAGGCTCAGATTTTTTGTAAAAAAATGAGTTCTACTGAACAGTTAAGGAACAAGTAATTCTAATCTATACTATAAACTATACTAAAGTACAGAAAAGTAGCATAATTCCCATCTCATTTCAGGAACTCAGCATAACCTTAATAATAAATTTTGACAAAGACATTATAAGAGAGGAAAATTATGAGACTAACAAATAATTATAGATGAAAAACGTGCTAAAGAAACTATTAGCAAAAATATGGCAATGTACAAAAATCATAACTCATGACCTAACAAGTCATATTTTGGGAATGCAACATTGATTTAACATTAAAAATTTACCAGATTAAAAAAGAAAAGCCATATAATCACTTCATTCTATTTTTAAAAATTAGACAAAATTCAACACCTATTAAGTATTATTGTTAGTTAAACAGCAAATTAGAAATACAAAATAATTTCTTAACATGAAAGAAAATAACTACCAATAACAAAGCAATCCTCACATTACATTGCAAAGGGGTGTAATCATTACTTTCAAACTTAGGGCCAAGAGTTCTTGCTTTCCTCAATTTTATTAACATTGAATTAGAGGCATAGGTGGCACAATAAGGCACGAACAATAAATAAAAGAAGCCACACATGGAAAAAATAGAAATAGAGAGTCATTATGTAGAGATGACATGGTTTTGTACATAGAAATAAAAAATAATCAAAAGACATTATAAGAATTAATGAGAGGTTAGCAATATGGTGAGACATATAACTTAACACTATTTCTATATATCAGCAACCAAACATTAGAAAATGCAATCTGTAAACCAGACACCACTTGGAAAAAACATTAAAAAATCTTTCTCAGAATCCATCTAATAAAAGTTGCACAGTTTTAAAATATGATTGCAAAATTGACAACCTTCCCATCCTGAAGTGGGATCTATGCCCCCTTCCTTGAATCTGGGCTCTGCAACTGCTTGACCATCAGAATCTGATGAAAGTGACACTATGCCAGTTTCCAAATGCAGGTCTCAAAGAAACTGGCACTTCCATTTCCAGTCTCTTAGGATGCTGGCTCTTAGAACTCAGTACACCTTGCTGCAAGGAAATCCCTACCCAACCTGTGTGGAGAGACCACAGGGAGAGGCCCTGTAACTGCATGAAGTGAGATGTCTGGCTATCTTTCAGCTGCTGGACATTCCCCCTTCCCCATCATCTTTACCCCATCCAGCTTCAGCCACCATCTCACTGCAACCATTTGAAAGATCTTGAGCCAGAACTGCCAGGTGAACCCCAACCACAGAAACCATAAGGGGCAATAAGATGATTTTTATTGTTTTTAAGTCAATAAGTTTTGGGATGATTTGTTACATCAACAACAGATAACTAGAGATATCTCTATGGAGAAATTTTAAAATTTTGCTGACAACATAGATTCAATACAACTGCACCAAAATCTCCACAATCTTTGTTGGTGGTCCTCCTTAAGAACAAAGTGGGGTCTTTTTTTTCATATATCAAGAATTATTTTGAAGTTATAATAGGTCAGTGTGGTATTGGAGTAGACATAACAAATTCACCAAAACAAGGAAGAGCTCAGAAGCAGAATCAAACAAATATGAAAAATTTCAATATGCTCTAAATCACATACAGACTGGTTGAGAAAGAATGGCATTTTCAATAAATGTTGTGGGGACATTTGCTATCAGTGATGGAAAAGAAAGTGGACCTATACCTCACACCATATACAACCAGCATTTCCAGCTGGAATAAAGACTTATCTATGAATGATAAAATTATAAATTTTAAGATACATTATAGGATATCTGTATTACAACAGTCTACTAAGAATTCTCCCAATGCATTAAGAACTTCTGTAAAACCTTAAGAAAAAGACAGACAACTCAATAGAAAAATGAACAAAAGTTATGGGCAGGCACATCATGAAAAAGAAAGCCCAAATTGCCACTAAAATCTTAAGAAATCTAAAAAGGGTGAATTTTACTGTATGCAAATTATACCACAATAAACAAACCAAAATAAAAATGTGAAAAATATGACCCTTATGAGTAATCTTGGAAATACAATTTAAAATCACAATCAAAACATTTCTCACTACCAAATCAGCCAAGAAATAAAAATTCTAATAAAATAAAGTTTTGGCAAAGATATGAAGCAAATGGAACATCTATGTACTGCTGGTAGGAATAAAAATTAGCACAATTTTGGAAAACAATTCACTGTTAATAAGCTACGGATGGCACAGCAATTCCTCTGCTGGTTTTACACCCTAAAGAAATTCCTACAAATGGACACCAGAGTCATGTAAAAGAATGTTGTAGCACTGTGTGAAATAGCAAGATTCTAGAAATAACTCTAATTTACCAATAGTAAAATGGCTAAACATATTGTGGAAACCAACAATGTAAAATATACATCAGTGGAAAAATCAAGGAACTAGATTCACAACAGTCTATAGGCAGTGTGAGACCATTTATATATAATTTTAAATCATAGAAAACAATGCTATGCTTTATATAGTAATAGATATACTGTAAAGACACATGATGTGTATGTTCATTGCAGCACTATTTGCAATAGCAAAGACATGAAATCAACCTAAATGCCCATCATTGATAGACTGGATAAAGAAAATGTAGTACATATACACCACGGAATACTAAACAGCCATAAAAACGAATGAGATCATGTCCTTTGCAGGGACATGGATGGAGCTGGAGGACATTATCCTTAGCAAACAAACACAGGAACAGAAAACCATATACCTCATGTTCCTACTTGTAAGCAGGAGCAAAATGATGAGAACACATGGACACATAGAAGGGAAAAAAACACACTAGGGCTTATCAGAGGGTGGAGAAAGGGAGGAGGGAGAGGATCAGGTAAAATAACTAATGAGTACTATGCTTAATACCTGGTTGATAAAATAATCTGTACAACAAACCCCCATGACACAAGTTTACCTACGTAACAAACTTACACATGTACCTCTGAATTTAAAAGAAGAGAGAGAAAAAGAAATTTTAAAAATCATTTAACCATTTCCAAGATGGTCAAATAGGAATAGCTCCAGTCTACAGCTCCCAGTATGAATGATGCAGAAGACGGGTGATTTCTGCATTTCCAACTGAGGTACCAGGTTCATCTAACTGGGGCTTGTCACACAGTGGGTGCAGTACACAGAGTGTGAGCCGAAGTAGGGCGGGCCATCGCCTCATCCGGGAAACTCAAGGGGTCAGGGAATTCCCTTTCCTAGCCAAGGGAAGCCGTGACAGACGGTACCTGAAAAATCGGGACACTCTCACCCTAATACTGCGCTTTTCCAATGGTCTTAGCAAATGGCACACAAGGAGATTATATCCTGCATTTGGCTCGGAGGGTCCCACGCCTACGGAGCCTTGCTAACTGCTAGCACAGAAGTCTGAGATCGAACTGCAAGGTGGCAGCAAGCCTGGGGGAAGGGCATCCACCATTGCTGAGGCTTGAGTAGGTAAACAAAGCAGCCAGGAAGCTTGAACTGGGTGGAGCCCACCGCAGCTCAAGGAGGCCTGCCTGCCTCTGTAGACTCCACCTTGGGGGGCAGGGCATAGCTGAACAAAAGGCAGCAGAAACTTCTGCAGACTTAAACAACTGTGTCTGACAGCTTTGAAGAGAGCAGTGGTTCTCCCAGCACAGAGTTTGAGATCTGAGAATGGAGAGACTGCCTCCTCAAGTGGGTCCCTGACTCCCGAGTAGCTAACTGGGAGACACCTCCCAGTAAAGGCCGACCGACACCTCATATAGCCAGGTGCCCCTCTGAGACAAAGCTTCCAGAGGAAGGATCAGGCAGCAACATTTGCTGTTCTGCAATATTTGCTGTTCTGCAATATTTGCTGTTCTGCAGCCTCTGCTGGTGATACCCAGGCAAACAAGGTCTGGAGTGGACCTCCGGCAAACTCCAACAGACCTGCAGCTGAGGGTCCTGACTGTTAGAAGGAAAAATAACAAACAGAAAGGACACCCACACCAAAACCCCATCTGTATGTCACCATCATCAAAGACCAAAGGTAGATAAAACCACAAAGATGGGGAGAATCTCTTCTCCTCCAAAGGAACACAGCTCCTCACCAGCAATGGAACAAAGCTGGACGGAGAATGACATTGACAAGTTGAGAGAAGAAGGCTTCAGACGATCGATAATAACAAACTTCTCCAAGCTAAAGGAGGATGTTCGAACCCATCACAAAGAAGCTAAAAACCTTGAAAACAGATTAGAAGAATGGCTAATTAGAATAAACAGCATAGAGAAGACCTTAAGTGACCTGATGGAGCTGAAAACCATGGCATGAGAACTACATGACGCACGCATAAGTTTCAGTAGCTGATTCAATCAAGTAGAAGAAAGGGTTTAGGTGATTGAAGATCAAATGAATGAAATGAAGTGAGAAGAGAAGTTTAAAGAAAAAAGAGTAACAAGAAACGAACAAAGCCTCCAAGAAATATGGGACTATGTGAAAAGACCAAATCTACATCTGATTGGTGTACCTGAAAGTGACAGGGAGAATGGAACCAAGTTGGAAAACGCTCTGCAGGATATTATCCAGGAGAACTTCCTCAATCTAGCAAGGCAGGCCAACATTCAAATTGAGGAAATACAGAGAACCCCACAAAGATACTCCTCGAGAAGAGCAACTCCAAGACACATAATTGTCAGATTCACCAAAGTTGAAATGAAGGAAAAACTGTTAAGGGCAGCCAGAGAGAAAGGTCGGGTTACCCACAAAGGGAAGCCCATGAGACTAACAGTGGATCTCTCGGCAGAAACTCTACAAGCCAGAAGAGAGTGGGGGCCAATATTCAACATTCTTTTTTTTTTTTTTTTTTTTTTTTTTTTTGAGACGGAGTCTCGCTCTGTCGCCCAGGCTGGAGTGCAGTGGCGGGATCTCAGCTCACTGCAAGCTCCGCCTCCCGGGTTCACGCCATTCTCCTGCCTCAGCCTCCCAAGTAGCTGGGACTACAGGCGCCCGCCACTACGCCCGGCTAATTTTTTGTATTTTTAGTAGAGACGGGGTTTCACCGTTTTAGCCGGGATGGTCTCGATCTCCTGACCTCGTGATCCGCCCGCCTCGGCCTCCCAAAGTGCTGGGATTACAGGCGTGAGCCACCGCGCCCGGCCTCAACATTCTTAAAGAAAAGAATTTTCAAGCCAGAGTTTCATATCCAGCCAAACTAAGCTTCATAAGTGAAGGAGAAATAAAATACTTTACAGACAAGCAAATGCTGAGAGATTTTGACAACCCAGGCATGCCTTACAAGAGCTCCTGAAGGAAGCACCAAACATGGAAAGGAACAACTGATACCAGCCACTGCAAAAACATAGCAAATTGTAAAGACCATCGAGGCTAGGAAGAAACTGCATCAACTAACAAGCAAAATAACCAGCTAACATCATAATGACAGGCTCAAATTCACACATAACAATATTAACCTTAAAGGTAAATGGGCTAATGCTCCAGTTAAAAGACACAGACTGGCAAATTGGATAAAGAGTCAAGACCCATCAGTGTGCTGTATTCAGGAGACCCATCTCACATGCAGCAACAAACATAGGCTCAAAATAAAGGGATGGAAGAAGATCTACCAAGCAAATGGAAAACAACAACAACAAAACAGCAGGGGTTGCAATCCTAGTCTCTGATAAAACAGACTTTAAACCAACAAAGATCAAAAGAGACAAAGAAGGCCATTAGATAATGGTAAAGGGATCAATTCAACAAGGAGAGCTAACTATCCTAAATATATATGCGCCCAATACAGGAGCACCCAGATTCATAAAGCAAGTCCTTAGAGACCTACAAAGAGACTTAGACTCCCACACAATAATAATGGGAGACTTTAACACCCCACTGTCAACATTAGACAGATCAATGAGACAGAAAGTTAACAAGGATATCTAGGAATTGAACTCAGTTCTGCACCAAGCGGACCTAACAGACATCTACAGAACTATCCACCCAAAATCAACAGAATATACATTCTACTCAGCACCACATCACATTTATTCCAAAATTGACCACATAGTTGGAAGTAAAGCACTCCTCAGCAAATGTAAAAGAACAGAAATTACAACAAACTGTCTCTCAGACCACAGTGCAACCAAACTAGAGCTCAGGATTAAGAAACTCACTCAAAACCGCTCAACTACATGGAAACTGAACAACCTGCTCCTGAATGACTACTGAGTACATAACAAAATGAAGGCAGAAATAAAGATGTTCTCTGAAACCAACAAGAACAAAGACACAACATACCAGAATCTCTGGGACACATTTAAAGCAATGTGTAGAGGGAAATTTATAACATTGAATGCCCACAAGAGAAGGCAGGAAAGGTCTAACATGGACACCCTAACATTACAATTAAAAGAACTAGAGAAGCAAGAGCAAACACATTCAAAACTAGCAGAAGGCAAGAAATAACTAAGATCAGAGCAGAACTGAAGGAGATAGAGACACAAAAATCCTTCAAAAATCAATGAATCCAGGAGCTAGTTTTTTTAGAAAGATCAACAAAATTGATAGACCGCTAGCAAGACTAATATAGAAGAAAAGAGAGAAGAATCAAATAGACGCAATAAGATATGATAAAGGGGATATCACCACCGATCCCACAGAAATACAAACTACTATCAGAGAATATTATAAACACCTTTATGCAAATAAACTAGAAAATCTAGAAGAAATGGATAAAATCCTGGACACATACACCCTCCCAAGACTAAACCAGGAGGAAGTTGAATCCCTGATTAGACCAATAACAGTCTCTGAAATTGAGGCAATAATTCATAGCCTACCAAGCAAAAAAAGTCCAGGACCAGACAGATTCACAGCCAAATTCTACCAGAGGTACAAAAAGGAGCTAATACTATTCCTTCTGAAACTATTCCAATCAATAGAAAAAGAGGGAATCCTCCCTAACTCACTTTATGAGGCCAGCATCATCCTGATACCAAAGCGAGGCAGAGACAAAACAAAAAAGGAGAATTTTTGACCAATGTCCCTGATGAACATCGATGCAAAAATCCTCAATAAAATACTAGCAAACCTAATCCAGCAGCACATCAAAAAGCTTATCCACCAAGATCAAGTTGGCTTCATCCCTGTGATGGAAGGCTGGTTCAACATATGCAAATCAATAAACATAATCCATCATATAAATAGAACCAAAGACAAAAACCACATGATTATCTCAATAGATGCAGAAAAGGCCTTCAACAAAATTCAGCAGCCCTTCATGCTAAAAATTCTCAATAAACTAGGTATTGATGGAACGTATCTCAAAATAGTAAGACCTATTTATGACAAACCCACAGCCAACAACATACTGAATGGGCAAAAACTGAAAGCATTCCCTTTGAAAACTAGCACAAGACAGGGATGACCTCTCTCACCACTCCTATTCAACAGAGTGTTGGAAGTTCTGGCCAGGGTAATCAGGCAGGAGAAAGAAATAAAGCGTATGCAATTAGGAAAGGAGGAAATCAAATTGTCCCTTTTTGCAGATGACATGATTGTATATTTAGAAAACCCCATCATCTCAGCCCAAAATCTCCTTAAGCTGATAAACAAATTCAGCAAAGTCTCAGGATAAAAAAATCAGTGTGCAAAAATCACAAGCATTCTTATACACCAATAACAGACAAACAGAGAGCCACATCATGAGTGAACTCCCATTCACAATTGCTTCAAAGAGAATAAAATACCTAGGAATGAAACTTACAATGGATGTGAAGGACCTCTTCAAGGAGAACTACAAACCACTGCTCAACTAAATAAAAGAGGATACAAACAAATGGAAGAACATTCCATGCTCATGGGTAGGAAGAATCAATATCGTGAAAATGGCCATACTGCCCAAGGTAATTTATAGATTCAATGCCATCCCCATCAAGCTACCAATGACTTTCTCCACAGAATTGGAAAAAACTACTTTAAACTTCATATGGAACAAAAAAAGAGCCCACATTGCCAAGACAATTCTAAGCCAAAAGAACAAAGCTGGAGGCATCACACTACCTGACTTCAAACTATACTACAAGGCTACAGTAACCAAAGCAGCATGGCACTGCTGCCAAAACAGAGATATAGACCAATGGAACAGAACAGAGCCCTCAGAAAGAATACCACACATCTACAACCATCTGATCTTTGACAAACCTGACAAAAACAAGAAATAGAGAAAGGATTCCCTATTTAATAAATAGTGCTGTGAAAACTGGCTAGCCATATGTAGAAAGCTGAAACTGGATCCCTTCCTTATACCTTAGACAAAAATTAATTCAAGATGGATTAAAGACTTACATGTTAGACCTAAAACCATAAAAACCCTAGAGGAAAACCTAGGCAATACCATTCAGGACATAGGCATGGGCAAGGACTTCATGTCTAAAATACCAAAAGCAATGGCAACAAAAGCCAAAATTGACAAATGGGATCTAATTAAACTAAAGAGCTTCGGCACAGCAAAAGAAACTACCATCAGAGTGAACAGGCAACCTACAGAATGGGAGAAAATTTTTACAATCTATCCATCTGACAAAGGGCTAATATCCAGAATCTACAATGAACTCCAACAAATTTACAAGAAAAAACCAACCCTATCAAAAAGTGGGCGAAGGATATGAACAGACACTTCTCAAAAGAAGACATTTATGCAGCCAACAGACACATAAAAATATGCTCATCATCACTGGCCATCAGAGAAATGCAAATCAAAACCACAGTAAGATACCATCTCATGCCTGTTAGAATGGCAATCATTAGAAAGTCAGGAAACAACATATGCTGGAGAGGATGTGGAGAAATGGGAATGTTTTTACACTGTTGATGGGAGTGTAAATTAGTGCAACCATTGTGCAAGACAGTGTGGCAATTCCTCAAGGATCTAGAACTAGAAATACCATTTGACCCAGCCATCCCATTACTGGGTATATACCCAAAGGATTATAAATTATGCTGCTATAAAGACACATGCACACGTATGTTTATTGCGGCACTATTCACAACAGCAAAGACTTGGAACCAACCCAAATGTCCATCATTGATAGACTGGATTAAAAAAATGTGGTACATATACACCATGGAATACTATGCAGCCATAAAAAATGATGAGTTCATGTCCTTTGTAGGCACATGGATGAAGCTGGAAACCATTATTCTGAGCAAACTATTGCGAGGACAGAAAACCAGACACTGCATGTTCTCACTCATAGGTGGGAAATGAACAATGAGACACTTGGACACAGGGTGGGCAACATCACACACTGAGGCCTGTCATGGGGTGGGGGGAAGGGGGAGGGATAGCATTAGGAGATATACCTAATGTAAATGATGAGTTAATGGGTGCAGCACACCAACATAGCACGTATATACATATGTAACAAAGCTGCATGTTGTGCACATGTACCCTAGAACTTAGAGTTTAAAAAAAAAAAACTACATATAAAAAGATCGTTTAAAAAAATCCATGAAGTTGATTTTAAAAATCATGATTGTGGTTTTCTTGGGTTGTGCTATTGAATGACACTAGTGGGTAGACACTCCCAGAATGACAAGTCTAGGCTGGGTGTCAAGCTTGGTGTCTAGAAAGTTGTTCAATATATTACTAATTATTTCTTTATTTTGTCTGAAGTAGTCCATAAATATTTTTGAAATTTTATGTCAGATGTTGACGGCCTGAAAAATTTACAGTTCTCTGTATATATGAGGCCATTACACCAAGACAGGGTGGAGGATACGTATTTCAAAGTATGAATGTTAGTTTTATGAGAAAGTTGGATCGTAATTTCTAGGAATTATGTTCTGTGATTTAGAGAGAGTTCAGAGGTTGACATTCTATTTTTAACTGAAAGCAGACCTGTTAGCCTATGTTTCTACTTCAAAAGTATTCTTTCCAGGTGGCAGCAATGAAAATGTCTGAATCTAGAATAAGGGATAATTAATATTTATTAATCTCTTAAAGATAGGTAAGATTAAGACAATACAGGAAGGTTAAAAGATCAGGATCTTAGCACTGATTCTCAACTCTGAAACTATGGTAGTCACTGAAAAATATAACTAAAAACAACCTCAGGGTCAAAATGATGCATCTGTTTGCTTTTTTTGAGATTGAAGATTCATATTTGTTGACTCACTTTGAACTATTTGAATCTGGTTTATCTGCTTAAGATGAGACACAGGGATCCATGGTTACGTGGAATTTTCTTTATGTGATTGTAGTCTTTTAAAAAATCTGAGTAAAGGTTTTTAAAATGTTAAATAGGGACACATTTTGATTATATCTATGATTAAGCAGAAAGCAGAATGAGATCAGATGACGGCCAATCTGAAGAGCAAGTTATCAACTGAGAAAGAATGTACAGAAACCATTTTAAATAAAGCAATTTGAGTTAATTCCATTTATTGATGCCCTAGATACCCTGAGGGATTGACATTTGATTCTTTCAAGAACATTGAAGATGGTAATGTTCCATGTCATGGCCTACATGAAGGGTTAACATACATGCCAAATGTTTTCACCCTTTATTTTGCACCTTAAGTGGCAGAGCTTGGGGTAGAAGAAAGAGAGGAGTCATACACATTAGTGAAAAGACTATGGGCAGTTCTGTCATGAAATCCCTACGCTGTTAAACTCCTGGATTAGCCTTCTCTTTAGTCAAATAATATTTTGCCTAAACTTTCGATGGGTTACATTAACAATTTTTTTCTTACTTATAAATTCCCAAACTTAGGTTATCTTTTTGTGTCTGTCTAGCATTTTCCTCTTCTGGAATCAAGACATCAGATACAGAATTTTGTTGACATGTTAGGTCTTTATTTTGCCAACTCTTTGATTATAATATCTCCATGTGATATTGTTTGGCATTTGCCCACATAGTAGGTTTCCATATAATTTTTAATTATTTCATCCAGATCCCTAAATGTTTTGACAAGTTAAGCTGCTCTGATTCATTTGCAACAACCTCAGCTCTGAGAAAGAATGCCTTCAATTAAAATAATGAGTGAACAGTTCAAGGAAAATATTACGGAAAAATAAAAAGGGATGCATAATACCATTGTCTATGCTTCACTGTTGAACAGTGCAGCTTTTTTCCGTGGAGACATAACTTTTGGCTTCCTCTTTTGCTATTAAAGATTCAAGGGACTTTATCAAGTACCATGCTCTAACTGCCTTTAAAAAATGTCTATTTGTGAGCAAAGTTCCAGCAAAGAAAAGAAATTACATTGTATGTTTTTAAGATCCTATAAATTTAAGATTTCAGGATTAGGAATGGCCATGTTTCAATAAATAGCATGACGAGGTGCTGGCTGTCCCATTCCACAGACTGTAGAATCAAAAGCGTTCCACTCATACTGCTATGTTCCTATAAAATGAAACACAGTTCGAGGCAGTGTGATCAACTGCAGCAAAATGAAAGCTTGTCATTTACACCACTGTAAAATGAATATGCCAAAAGGATCCAGTTATTAGCTACTGAAATATGCTTCTATGGGAAGACATGATTACTGAGCAGTAAGATCAGCCTGTTTCAACTGAGATATTTTTTGTTTTTAGGAGCATGTAAGTCCTCAGGTCAATTGTTATACATATCCTTATTTTAGCTTTTTTTCCCTTTTAATGCAAAACATGTACAAGAATTGTTTTAATAATTTAAAATAATTGCAAAATATATAGATAAATGAAAATTGTTATAAAATCTAAAAATTCCTCCCTCAATTATTCATGCACAAATAGAACTTCAGAGAAAAAGAGTTACAACTTCCTTTCAATGGGAAATTAAAGCTTATAAGAATACAAAAAAATAAAAATAAAAACCACATTGGACCAAACCCATGCTCTAGCAAGCCCAAGATTCTATGTATTGTCGCAACAAAATCTATCTAATGATTGCCATCAGTGATGTCATCCTTAAAAATAAAGACTTTAATTTTATACAAATAAATCAATTAATCATGTTTATTTCAATGATTATTTAGTTATACACCTCTTTATCTCTTTACAAATATGCAGTTCTCTTATTGTCTACTGCAAACTCTTAAGGAAAATTTGGGCTTGCTAATATATCCCCAAGCTTATTGGGAAATATGAGCTAATTTGTTCTATTTGAATATAACAGGCTTGCAGCCTGACTTGTTTAATAGCCTTGTAATCTCTTGTATTGCTTTTACATTGTATAGCACAAACAATATGGACACGAAAGATTAAAAGTAAAAGGTATTATTGGCTGTTATAGCCAGAGAGACATTCAATCACGTAATATGTGTCCAAGATTTGATGAGGATTGGTTTTAATGTTGCACTCAGACTGAAAGTTATTATTTTCCAATGAAAGAATCAGAAAAGAAAATATAAAATTACACCGTGAAGAGAGGAATATACGCAAAGAGAGGGGAAGAGGAGAAACAAGTTTGCTGTACCAGAAAAGGACCAGAACAAATGAGAGATCGTGTAAATACAAATATCTTATAAGAGTATTTCAAAGGGGAAATAGTGTTAGCCAATAAAGTTAAAAGATGTGGAGTAACTTCTAAAGAGGAGGTCAAGGAAAATTATTATATTTAGACATTAAAAGACATAATTATGGTGAGGGGAGATCATGTCTCCAAATTTTTAGAAGAAAAATAATTGGGAAAATGATACATTATAAAAAAAAAAAAGCACCAGAAAGCAGCCATAAATCAGTTACAGTTTCTTCCTTGGTAATTATGACTACTGAAAACCATATAAAAACTTTTTTTCTCCCCTGAGGATCTTGATGTGGGGAATGGATCTCTAGGCAGCTGCTTTCTGTTTGCCACGCCTCCTTCATTTCTCTCACCTGGTTGAATCTGTCTTCCAGCATTTTGTCCACCCAATTAGGAGTTCCCAGAAGAGGTTAGATGGGGAACCCCCAAGCCATAGCATCTAGCAAGTCTGAGAGGATGAACCATTGACCAGGAAAACACTGCAATTCTCCCTCTTCTTACCTCCATCAGAACCCCCAAATAGTTAACCTATATTAGGTGGTCATAAATAAACCTAAAAGGAAGAGTTTTACAAAAGGCTGTGGACAAAATTTGTATTTCACTGGACTGAGGAGAAATTCTATGGTGAGTAAACAGAGGCAATAACTGTAAGAGTTTACCTGAGAAATTTATTTCTAAAGAGAGAGAGTGCAGCAATTCAAAGGGTTAAATCATTAGCATAGCAAGAGGACATGCTAACTGGAGATGGTTGCTAGAGAATTTTGTCTATGTTTGTGTGTTATTGGTGGATGATCCCTTTTTACGTTATTGCATAATGTTTCTGATAGAAGAATCCTGTTTATGCTCGAGAAGTAGCCTGCCGTTGTTTTAAAATGTTTTTCTATGATCTATAATCGACAAGTGTCACTGAAACATTCATGATTATTTTAACAAACCTTTAAAACACTTCATACCCTATTTACAGACATTAAAAATCCATTACTCACAAAGTAAAAATTGTAATATTCCAGACTTACCAAATTTGATTCTATTGCCAACACCTGATCCCTTCCCTTGCTTAATAGAAGAAAAGCATATTGACTACTAGATTTCAGAAATGGTCATTTGGTGTCACTCTATTCTTATCCTCAAAATTATTAACACAGGAAAACATAGATACGTCATTATTATTTTTAGTGGGGTTTTTTTTTCCCTAGGTAGACTTCACCTTGGTGTGATAATGGCTGTGTTAAATGAAAGAGCTGGCATACTTGTAGGGGGTTGTAAAAATTCAAAAGAGGAATACTTAAAGTGGAAATATTAAATTCATCTTTTGACAGGTTTTCCTATAGCAAGGATGAGAGGGAGACTTAGAGACAGGACTCTCCAATGAGGCTTTGAATGGTCCTATTTGGTCTGCATTGAGCTAATTACCTGGCTATCTGCCAAAAAGCCCCTTTACCTTGTGCTATGTAGAGTCTAATGTTAGATAATATCTAATTTTTAATGCTAAGAAGTGGCATTTGATGTTGTTACTAGTATCTGGTAGAAAGCAAGGGACAGGAGGTCAGAAACAGTTTCCTGGGAAGTGCTCTTAAACTGTTTCCTATGCAGCAGGGAAGGTGAACAAAGAGAAACCCTGTAGCCACCATTTCCTTATCCTTCATGAGAATAAAGAAAAAGGAAAAGATTTAACATAACCTGCTCAGCAGGAAACTCAACTTTACAGTTTCAGAACAGCATAATTCGGATATTTTATATTAGTCTATCGTATCCAAGCATTTCAAAAATAAAACAGGAACAGCTTTAATGCAATCTGTGTTTACTAATATGAGCTAATAAAATCTCATAATATTATTTTGTATTGCACTAATGGATATTGCATTATAGGATATTAGTTAAATCACCCATTATTTCAGTATTTGGTGTATTACTCATAGAAGAAGCATACACACCATAGTATCAGAGATCTGAGGGGAAAAATAGGGTGCAGAAGAAAAGATGGCCTTTTAAAAATAGGTTGATGTTAAGGGAAGGAAAGAACGAGGGAGCAATAATGCAAATGGGGCATTCGTTTATGGAAGCTCTAAACCTTATGAGGAAGGAGGCAAAATACAGCTTCTTAGATTGCCCTGGGGACTTACAGGTTGCTCCATTAAGAATATAAATTCAGTGCTAATGGTGTTTTGAATGATGAGAATTCTATACCCTAAGCCCTACCATCATCAAGTTTGCCACCTTCCCTCTATCTTCTCAAACCTAAACACATAAACTTATATACTGAGATGAAGTCGAGCCCAAAATTCTACAGATAACAAATGGTGGAATGCAGACATTCACTGAGGCTATTCTGACCCCAGCCTACTGTGTTACACTGCCTTCTTATCACAGTGTTTAAAAAATATCATTACATATAATTTTGTGCCCAATCAGATACCATTACTCATTAGGGGGTACTATGAGTGGTTGGAAGCAGGGATCAAACATTTAAGAAAAACACCCTATGTTCCTGTACATCAATATCAAATTGATATTTAATATTAATATTAATACATAAATATTAAGGCTAGACAAGATGATCCAGAGTGAAGAGACCTTTATGTATTTCATGCATCAATGTGATGAGATTGTGGATTTCTGTGAGTGGGGCAAGTATACAGAACATTCCTTAAGAGCATGGATCTTGAAATCAGAGACAGCCTCTTTTCTTTCTCAGTTTTGCCTTTTCTAGATGTGTGACCACGGAATGACAATTAAAATTTCTATCACTTGGTTTCTCTATCTAAAGTATACGGATAACAAACATTTCCTTAAATATATTTTAATGGAATTAAATAATATTATAACAGTAATATTTTTATTCAGTACCACAAACATAAAGTCTCACTAAACAGAATAATTATTATTTTGAAATGCATAATAATAGCTGGGGCTATGCACGGTGACTCACACTTGTAATTCTGGCACTTTGAGAGACTGAGGCAGAAGGATCACTTGAGGCCAGGAGCTTGAAACCAGCCTGGGCAATATAGCAAGACCTCATCTCTACAAAAAATAGAAAATAAAAAAAACAGCTAGGTGTGATGGCACACACCTATAGTTCTGGCTATTTGGGAGGCTGAGATGGGAAGATCACTTGAGTCCAGGAGTCTAAGGCAGCTGCAGTGAGCCATGACTGCACCATTGCACTCCAGCCTGGGGAACAGGGCAACATCCTATTTCAAATAATTAATGAATTAATTAAATTTAAAAAGTAATAGGTGGGATGGTCTTATATCCTGCTTTGCCTGAAGCAGTCTTGTTCACACCTATTATTCCAGCAAAATTATTCATGTTGCTCTTTCACTGTCAAAATTATCTTGAACAATAAATTCTCTGGGTTCTTTAATGATAGCTATGACTTATTGAATACTTATAATATGCCCCTCCTGTTTTTCTTAAATGCTTATTAACTCTCTTAATCCTTATAACCCTTGAAAGGTAAATACTATAATTATCCCCGTTTTATAGATTAAAACAAAATAAGGCATGTAGAAGTGAAGTAGCTTGGGGATTTGAAAGCAAACTTTGCCGTCAACTCCTAGAAATTTATTTTTTTAACCATGTATTTATTTGGGTGACCTTAGCACTGTAACTGCTCAAACATAACAAAATAAGGAAAAGAGTAGTGATGAAAGGAGGAGAGAAAAAAGAACAAACAATTCCTGGGTCAACTCCCTGCTCTGGATGCTATAACCATGCATTAGTTTTCTTAGTTAAAATCTCCAGAGTTCTGAGCCTATTTGAAATAAAGTTTATTTGAGGCCCTGAGATGTCCGAATTTCTATCTTCAACAGTAACTCTTCCACAAACATTAACTCTTCTTCTTTTCTTTTATGATATAATGGTGGCATTTTACAAAGTTTCATATAATTTGGGTTCATCTGTTTGCTCATGATTAGCTTTAGGTTATGCATTTTGGGAATAAATTCCACCTGAGCAATGTTGTTCCTTCTCATGATGTCACCACAAGAGTCTCAGGGTGTAAGTTTGTCCTATTACTGTTGTTGCATTTCATCACTTGGTTTAAGGTGGTATCCATCAAATTTTTCCATCATAAAGGTATGTTTATTTCACTTTGTAGTTAATATATGATAGTTGGGAAATACTTGAAACTGTTTAAAAACATCCTGTTCTCCAAAATACATCCTCCCATTGTTCCATCATGCATTGGTGATTCCTCCCTGAATTGATTATTCTATTGTAAATAGTGATTTCCTAACTATATTCCTTCAACATTTATTGATTGACATTCTATCACAAAACCAATCTTTCCCACTAATCTTTTCCCCCTTCCTATGTTTATTAGTTTTTTAATTAAAATTTTAAAAAATTCAATGTGTCATAATCAATTACTGATTTTAATCATTTTGCTGCTCAAACTGACCCAAGTTTGTCCAGTTAGGGTCCCGTGAAGCTGGCCCCCATGTCGTTTTAACATGTCCCTCCTTAGTTTCTCAGAATCTTCTTGCTTTCTGGTAAAATAAGGTGTTTCAAGCTCAGCTTGTTCTTGTTCTTTTTTAGCCCTGTAATGAATCATTTTTATAACATTCCCTTGTTCATTTAGTGTTCCTTTAGAAACCAAGATTTGAATGTTAAATAAGTGCATTGCTACTGAGGTGTTATTATTTCCAAGCCTTTCAATGGACAGAACTAATATAATACACACGCACACACATATATAGAGAGAGTTGCATGCATGTATACACATTTGAGTTATGCATAGATCATAAAGCATAAATATGTGTATCACTGATGCATCATGGATTCATATTACTAACCATAATTACAATTCTACATCACAAAATTCTTTCTTGCACTCCCTAATTCCTTATTGGTATCTCTCTTTACTAACAGTAAGAACCCTGGTTTCTGACAATATCAAAATATTTATAAAATTCCTGATTCCCACAATAATTAAAAATCATTTCAGGATTGCTATACCAACACCACTAAAAACAACTAATTTTACTAGGTATAGTTAATCTATGTTATGTATAGTTAGGTTTTTTCTGTTTGTACTCATTTTTAGGAAGTTGTTTATCCTTGTTGATTTAAACATCTTGGATCTGCAGAATGTTAATATGGTTTCCATGTGAAAAGTATAAAAAAGAGTATACTTCAAGTGTTGCTCCCTCCCATAATCCTTCTATCTCATCCCTGTCTAACCCTTGTACACAATCCGTTTCTTTTTCTTTTTTGGATTATCCTTGTTTTCTGTGTTTCTTTTTGTGCATGCATAAGCTTATTTGCCTTCCTTCCTATAATAGGTGTAGAAGGAAGTAGAGAAAATAAGCACAAACACACACAAACACATACACACACATAGAATTTTATTATCACTTTTTTATATATTCTAAATATATAAAGTACATATTATGTAAGTGTATAATATGCTATACTATACATATTCTTTTGTATGTTGCTTTTCTAACTTAAAAATATATCCTGGAAATCACTGTATGTCAGTTTCTAGAGATATTACTGATTCTTTATTATTATTGGGTAGATATATGCCATTGGGTAGATATACCATAGTTTATTCAAGCAATCTCCTATAGATAGACCTTCAATTGTTTCCAAAATTTTGCTATTACATATAATGCAATAATTCTGCAGTAGTTCAGTGAATACCTTGTACATTTTTTCATATTAACATGATCCCTTCAAGGTAATTATTCAGAGTTTACTGAAAAAAGTGTAGGTAGGAATGGAGCTTTTTTAGATATTACCAAATTCCATTTTATAGGTATCATATTTCATTGCATTTCCTTAGGTACTGTATAAAAGTTCCTGTTTGTCCACAAACTCAATAACAGAGTGTGTGGCCAGTCTTAAATTTTTGCCAAACTGATAGGTAAAAATAGTATTAAAATAATTAACAAAATAGCAGTAGTAAATCCTTACCCATCAATAATTACTTTGAATGTAAATAGATTAAACTATCCAAGAAAAAGACATAGAGTGGCTGAATAAATAGAAAATAAGATCCAACTATATGCTGCCTACAAGAGACTCATTTTAGATTTAAGGACATACATAAGCTGAAAGTGAAGGGATGGAGGAAACTATTCCATGCAAATAGTAATCAAAAGTGAGCAGAGGTGGCTAGACTTATATGAGATAAAATAGACTTCAAGTCAAAAACTGTCACAAGAGACAAAAAAAGGGTCACTACTTAATGATAAAGTGCTCAATTCATCAAAAGGGACATAACAGTTGTAAATATATATGCACCTAACATCAGAGCATATATGTATGTGTGTGTGTGTGTGTGTGTGTGTATGTATATATATATATATATATATATATATATATATATATATATATATATGGCAAAGTTTAATGGACATGAAGGGAAAAATAGATAGCAATACAATAATAGAATAATAGTAGGAAACATCAATACTCCACTTCCCAAACAATCAATAAGACAGAAAGTTAATAAGGAAATGCTGGAATTGAAATGCACTTTAGGCAAAATGGACCTAACAGATACATACAGAAGTTTTCACTCAACACCAGCAGAATACACATTCTTCTCTAGTGCATGTGTAATATTTTCCAGGATAGACCATATAGTAGGCTACAAAACAAGTCTTAACAAATTTAAGAAGATCCAAATCATATTAAGTATTGTTTTCAATTACAATGATATAAAACTAGAATTTTGGAGAAATATTGAAAAATTCACAAGTATGTGAAAATTAAACAACAGTCTCCTAAACAATCAATGAGTCAAAGAAATAATAAAAATTTAGAAATATTTTGAAAGAAACAGCAATGGAAACACAGCATACCAAAATCCATGGGATGTGGCAAAAGCAGTTTTAAGAGGGAGGTTTATAGCAATAAATGCCTACCTTAAAAAAGAAGAAAAACCCCAAATAAATAGCCTAACATTACATCACAAGGAACTAGAAAAAGAAGAATAAACTAAACCCAAAGTTAGCAGAAGGAAGGACATAATAAAGTTTAAAACAGAAATAGAAACTATAAAAACCATAGAAAAGATCAGTAAAAATAGGAGTTGATTTAAAAAAAAAAAACAAAATCAAAAAACCCTTTGCTAGACTGAAAAACAAAGAAGGAAGACTCATACATATAAAATTAGAAATGAAAGTAGAGACATTACAACAGATGCCTTAGAAATAAAAAGGATCACAAGGAACTATTATGAACAAATATATGACAACAAATTTCATAAAAAAGGAAATGGATAAATTTCTAAAGAAATCTAGCATACCAAGCTTGAATCAAGAAGAAATAGAAAGTCTGAACAGATCTATAACAAAGAAATTAAAATAGTAAATAGAAACCTCCCAAAAACAAAAGGGCCAGACTAGGTGGCTTGATGGCTGAATTCTACCAAATTTTCAAAGAATTAATACCAATACTTCTTAAACTCTTCCAAAAACTAGAGCTGGTAGGAGTACTTCCTAACAGGTATCAAGATGGTACTTGGTCTTGTCAATGTGTTACAAGTCAGACATCGACACCACAAGAAAAGAAACTATAGGCCAGTATTTCTGATAAATATTGATGCAAAAATCCTCAATAAAATAATAGAAAATCAAATTTAACATCATATCAAAAATATTATACAACATGATAAAGGGGATTTATCCCTCGCATGCAAGTCTAGTTTAATACATGCAGATCAATCAATGTCATACATCATATTAACAGACTGAAAAACAAAAACCACATTATCATATCAAGGCGGAAAAGCATTTGACAAAATTTAAAGTTCATCTGTTCTTCCTGAAAACTCTTAATAGTTTAGATACAGAAAGAAAGTTTCTCAACCTAATAAAGTCCATTTATGAAAAATACACAGCTAACGTTATAAGCAATGAGGGGAAACTCAAAGCTTTTCCTCTAAGATCTAGTATAGGGCAAGGATGCCCACTCTCAGCACTTCAATCAACATAGAAATAAAAGATATCCAAATTGGAAAATATTTCTATTTGCAGATGACATAATCTTATATGTAGAAACCATGAAAGATTTCACCAAAAAAAAAAACCTGTTAGACCTAATAAATGATTCAGTAAAGTTGCAAGACATCAATTCAAAACACAAAAATTTATGGCATTTCTATACACAAAAAATGACCTAGCCAAAAAAAAAAATAAATCAAGAAAACAATCCTATTAAGGATAGCATTAAAACATACTCAAGAATAAATTTAACCAAGGAGGTAAAAAATCTGTACACTAAAAAGTATAAATTGTTAATGAAAGAAATTGAAGATAGCACAAATAAACAGAAAGATATACTATACTCATGGATCAGAAGAATTAATATCATTAAAATATCCATGCTACCCAAAGCAGTATATAGATTGAAACCAAATCCTATCAAAATCCCAGTGGCATTCTTCACAGAAATAAAACAAACAATCCAAAAATTCATGTGGAACCACAAAATACCCCAAATAGCCAGAGCAATTCTGAAATAAAAGGAATTAGAGGCATCACGCTTCCATATTTAAAATTCTATTACAAATCTATAGTAATCACAACAGCATGGTACTGACATAAAAACAGACATATAGGCTACTGGAACAAAATAGAGAGCCCAGAAATAAACCTAAACACATATAGTTAACTAATTTTTAGCAAGGTCAACATGAAGACACAATGAGGAGAGGATGATCTCTTCAATAAATGGTACTGGGAAAATTAGATTTTCATATGCAAAAGAATGAAACTGGACCCTTATTTTACACCATACACAAAAATTGACTCAAAATGAATTGAAGACCTAAACGTCAGACTTACAACTGTAGAACTCACAGAAGGAAACACAGGGGAAAGCTCCTTGATACTGGCCGTGGCAATAATTTCTTGTTATCACACCAAAAGCTCAGGCTGCAAAAACAAAAGTAAATAAATGAGACTACATCAAACTAAAAAGCTTCGGGACAGCAAGGGAAAGAAACAACAAAATAAAAGGTAACCTAAAGCTTGGGAAAAAATATTTGCAAACCATGTATCTAATCGGCGGTTAATACCCAAGATTTATAAAGAACGTATACAACTTAACAGCAAGAAAATATACAACCTAGTTAAATAATATGTAGAAGATCTGAATAGAGATTTATCCAAAGATGACATAAAAATAGCCAGCAGGTATATTAAAAATTGTCCAACATCACTCATAATTAGGAAAAAGCAAATCAAAACCACAATGAGTTATCACCTCACATCTGTTAGGGTGGCTATTGTAAACGTTGGCGAGGGTGTGAGGAAAAGGAAACCCTTGTACGCTGCTGGTGGGAATGTCGATTTGTACAGCCATTATGGAAAACACTGTGGAGGTTCCTAGAGAAACTAAAAACAGAATTACTATATGACCCGTAATCCCTCTTCTGGGTATATACCCAAGAAATCATCACCCCATAAAGATATCCACACTCCCATGTTCATTGAAGTATTATTCCCAATAGCTAAGATATGGAAACAATTTAACGATTTATCAGTGGTGAATGGATAAAGAAATGGTGGTATATATACAAGGGTATATTATTCGGCCTTAAAAAGGAGATCCTACCACTTGCCACAACACAAATAGATCATGAATAGAGTACATTATGCTGAGTGAAAAATGCCAGACACAGAAAGAAAAATATTGCATAATCTCAATTATATGTGGACTCTAAAAAAAGAAAAGGTTAAATATGTAATACTGTGTTTTGGAATACTAATATGGACATAGCAACAGTCATCAAGGAGCTACAGATAATAAAAGGTGACTTCTTTTATATATCTAGTACCATATTAAAAATTATCAGATCATCTGGGACAAGGATAGAAGTTTTAATAGTCTGCAACTGGACAGCCTCTTGCACAAGGATGAAATTGGATTCATGCCTCACACTACATAGAAAAATAAACTCTAAATCTAAGTCTAAATCTCTCATGAGAGGTCTGAATATACAAAGTAAAAGTATACAAGTAGAAAAAGTGGATGAATTGCTTTGGAACCTGATGAGAGAGAGAAGGCTTTCAAACTGTGACTCAAAATCTATTTGTACTATCATATTGGTAAATTCAAATGTCTAAAAATAGAATTCTTATGAATGATAAATATCACCATTAGCAAATTCAAAAGGCAAATGACACACTGGAAGAAAACATTTGCAATGTATGTTGCAAATGAGAGGCTAGTACTTTTTATTGTTTTAATGAATTTTATGGTGTATATTTAAGGTATGCAACATGATTTTTTAAGATACATATATAGCAAAATGGTTACTATAGTGAGACAGATTAACATATCAATTATTTCACATAGTTATACCCATTTTTCCCCTTTGGCAAGAGCAGCTATCATCTGCTCATTTTGCAAAAATCCTGAATCCTGAAACATAATATTGGGGAAAAGAGCAAGTACAGTTACATGTTTTCAATTTAAAATGCACACAAAACTAAAAACTGTATCTTATAGGGATACCTTTGTATATAGTGTAACTATGAGGATATTCAAAGGAATGGTAAGAAATACTGCTTCTGTTTGAGGAAAGGCGAATGTGGAAAGTATATGGAGGGCTTCAAAGTTTTAGTAATATTTTATTTCTCAAGCTGGGTGTTGTTTCATTAACATTTGTTTATACCTTATATTCCATTCATTTATTTATTCCACAAAGATTTGGTGATCACCTACTATGTGGCAGGCATTCAAGGCAATTGGCACATGAATGAACAGAACAGATGAAAAATCATTACCTTTGTGGATTTTACTTTCTAGAGGAGGAATACAACAAAACAGATTTTAAAATATTATGTTACAAAATTACATAGCATGTCAGATGGTGGTAAAGAAGGTCAGCAGTACAGGCATTAGAGGGGATATTCATTTTAAATAACACAGCCTGGGAGGACTTTAGAGGTGGCATTTGAGCAAAGACTTAAAGGAAATGAGCAAGTATAAAACATTTTGGAGGATAAGGATTTTAGCAGGTGCAACACTTTGTGCAAAGCCCTAAGGCAGAAAGCCTTCAGTATAGATGGAGCCGAGTGAGTCAAAGAGAAAGTTGGAGAAAATGAAGTCAGAAATGGCATGAGAGGTGGTCAGAGGTATTCTAGGGCCCTGAAGGCAAGTGTAAGAATTTTGGCTTTTACTCTGAGTGAAATGGGGAGCTGTTGAGCAGAGAGTTGACATTTTTTGCTTACTTTTTAAAGTATCAGTCCAGCTGAGGTATGAAGAATAGACTGTGGGAGGATAGGGGTGGGGAGAGGGGAAAAGATGAAATCAGGATAAGCAGTTAAAGAGCTGCTGCAGTAATCAAGGCAAGAGATGATGATGATCTGCAGCAAGGTGGGTAGTATAAGAGGTGGTGAAAAGTAGATTCTATTCTGAATTTAGAGACCACAGGATTTCTGAATGGATGAACACAGGATGCAAGAAGAAGAAAAACCCAGGATAACTCTATAGATTTGAGCATGGGCAAAAGAAGGATGAAACTGTAGTGAACTGACTTGGGGAAGACTGTGTGTATAATAATCTGCTAGAGTTGCCATAACAAAATACCACAGACTGGGTGGCTTTAACAATATAAATTGTTTTTTCACAGTTCTGGAGGCTAGAAGTTCAAGATCAAGATCAAGGTGTTGGCAGGTTTAGTTTCTTTTGAGGCCTCTCCCCTTGGCTTGCAGACAGCAGCCTTCTTGCTGTGTTCTCATATGGACATTCCTCTGTGTCCACTGATGTCTAGCACCTGTCTTTTCTTTTTTTTTTTTTTTTGAGATGGAGTCTTGACACTGCAATCTCTGCCTCCCAGGTTCAAGCAATTCTCATGCCTCAGCCTCCCAAGTAGCTGGGACTACAGGCGCACATAACCACGCCTGGCTAATTTTGTGTGTGTGTGTTTTTAGTAGAGATGGGGTTTTGCCATGTTGGCCAGGCTGGTTTTGAATTCCTGGCCTCAAGTGATCTGCCTGCCTCAGCCTTCCAAAGTGCTGAGATTAGAGGTGTGAGCCGCCACACCTGGCCTTATGAGGACACCGGTCAGATTGAATCAGGGCTGACCGGGCATGGTGGCTCACGCCTGTAATCCCAGCACTTTGGGAGGCCAAGACGGGCAGATCACAAGGTCAGGAGATCGAGCCCATCCTGGCTAACACAGTGAAACCCCATCTCTACTAAAAATACGAAAAAATTAGCCAGGCGTGGTGGTGGGCACCTGTAGTCCCAGCTGCTCGGGAGGCTGAGGCAGGAGAATGGTGTGAACCTGGGAGGCGGAGCTTCCAGTGAGCCGCGATCGCGCCACTGCACTCCAGCCTGAGCGACAGAGCCAGACTCCATCTCAAAAAAAAAAAAAAAAAAAAAAAAAAAATTGAATCAGGGCTTACCTGTATAATCTCATTTTACTGTAATTACTTCATTAAAGGGCCCTATCTCCAAATGCAGTCACACTCTGAGGTGCTGGGGGTTAAGACTTAAACATATGAATTTATGTGGGCAGGAGAGATACAATTCAGCCCATCACAGTGTACCAGTAGGTTTTGGGATGGATATGAAAAAGTTAAGTTTCATGCATATTAAATTGAGCTATCTTGGATGTCTGCATAGGGATTTGGAGTAGGCAATGTGAAAAAGAAAGGGCCAAGGTTGGAGCCATCGTGCCTCCAACAGTAAGTCATCAATGATCAGCAAGAAGCTCAAGGAAAACTAAGGAGAGACCAAAGGAGAAGAAAATTCAACTAGCAAGACAAAAAAAAAAAGTAGCAAGGAGGGAATGATTGTATGTAGTAAATGTTGCTGATAAGTCATATAAAATGGGGTTCAAGAATTAGTTAACATGAATGTAATTGATAAAATCTGTAAGTCTGTTCTATTGGTAAAGTGCTGAGGACAGAAGTCTGGTGGAGTGGGCTTAAGAGAGAATAAAATGAAAGAAATTGGGCTGGGCGCGGTGGCTCACGTCTGTAATCCCAGTACTTTGGGAGGCCGAGGTGGACAGATCACGGGGTCAGGAGATTGAGACAATCCTGGCTAACACGGTGAAACCCCATCTCTACTAAAAATACAAAAAATTTGCCAGGCGTGGTGGTGGGTGCCTATAGTCTCAGCTACTCAGGAGGCTGAGGCAGGAGAATGGTGTGAATCTGGGAGGCAGAGGTTGCAGTGAGCCGAGATCGCGCCACTGCACTCCAATCTGGGCAAAAAAGAGAGACTCCGTCTCAAAAAAAAAAAAAGAAAAGAAAAGAAATTGAAGTCAGAGTAAAGATGCTGGTTTCAAGAGAGTAGCAGAGAAAAAGAGTAATAGCTAATGGGGAAAATGGAGTTAAGAGAAAGTTTATTTTTATGATGGAAGAACAATAGCATGTATGTGTGCTGATGGGAAAGATACCACAGACAGGGAAAAACTGTTGGCATAGGACAGAGAAAGGGGATTGCTGGATCAATGTCTTCAAGTCAATGAATGAAAATGTGATCTACTAGAGGGATTATCTTTAAGTAGGAAGAGCAAAGATTATAACAGGGATATAAACATTTATATAATGTGTATATATACACATATTTAATATGTTTACATTTATGTATGTTTCATGTATTTATTTACCTATATATAAAATACATCAGTCTTAAGTCTGGCTTAATGAATAGTTATTGTTTTACTTGTTCTCCCTTTCCACCCTCATTCTATTATTCTGGAAAATGCTCCTTCCTACCAAATGGGTGCTCCTGCAGAGGGAGGTAGGCTGCCCATTGGCCAAAGGAATAAAGACATGATTCATGGTGGCTTACAGTAAGTGGTCCAGGTATGGTCATGTGATTCAGCTGGGCCACAGAGTGTCTTTTCCTGAAATTTTCAAATAGAATTTGAGGAAAAGTTAAGGATTAACTTTAACTTTTGATTAAGGATTTTTTTTCCTCCTTAATCATAGCACTGCATGGTTGTAAGCTTGAAACTCATTGATAGATGGATAAGCTGTCCTAGAGAATGAAGCCAGTAAAGAGTCAGAGGAGACGGAGAAGAATGTATTCTTGACATTGTCCATGTCTACAGTTCTTGTTGCCCTCAAGGTCATTTCTGCAGAATCCTTCCAACTAACCTGAACCGTATATATATATATATATATATATATATTTAGCTTAAGCCAAAACAGGGTGGGTATTCAAGATTCTCCGGGACCTGCAGAGCTGATACAAATTATGCTTCTTAACATTTGCT
Source organism: Homo sapiens (assembly GCF_000001405.40). Taxonomy (NCBI): domain Eukaryota; kingdom Metazoa; phylum Chordata; class Mammalia; order Primates; family Hominidae; genus Homo; species Homo sapiens. The sequence goes on from NC_000012.12 coordinate 23,412,366, forward strand.
CCTGATGTTTCATCCACATTCTACTTAAAATTGTAGTCAACCTTTTCTCATCCCTCACATTCTAATAATTAGCCAATTCTTGAACCTCTACAATCCAACTATTTCTGGAGTCATACCCCAACTCACCATCACCTCTGCCATCCTAGTCCAAGTCATTCTCATTTCTCACCGTGTAGAGTAAACAAATGATTCTTACTCCCTAGATTTTTTCCTACATTTGTTCATGGTGTTTGCTCCACCTGGAGTCTCCATCAACTCAGCCCAAAACTACCCCCTGCTCTGGAGGGGATCCTGATGCCTATAATCTAAGTTACTTCCCCTTATTAAATATTCTTACACTTCTCATATCATTTGTTTCATTTTTGCTTTGCCTTCCATTATCTGGATCTCTTTTAAGATGATAATCACACTAAGAGTTGTTTATTCAATAATGTTTCATCTGTAGCCCCTTGTATATATTACATTCTCAGTAAGTACATATTGTTCTAAGTTACTATAAATTAACCTAGTCTTTTTGTCATTTAGATAAGAGTATTTAACTGGGGGAAATATTATGATAAATGCTACTACTACTTATAAAGTGACTTTTGGTAAATTTCTGGATTCATAATGACAAGTGGTGAAACGATATAAGAATTTATGCCTCTTGGCATGTTCCCTTCTCCACTTTAAATCTTAAGATTCAGAAAATTGAGCAATAATGAAGGAAAAGAATGTGGAAATGTAGAATTTCGGAAAAGAACATGGATGTGCCATCATTCTTGAACTGCAATTTTTTTGTTCTACAGAAAAATATCACCATGACCTCAGTTCAAGATAGCCTTCATGAACAGAAACACATCAGTTCATATCTCCACATAATTGTTGACCTAGCAACTGCTATTCTAGCTTTATAAATATTGTCTCATTTTTGAAACGTATTTGCTTAAATAAAAGCTGCTGCTATGAGGCTTAGAGGTTAATTATGCCTATTCACCCAAAAAAATGTTTGTTTTAAATTTGTTGCTAAAAATTTCTAGGTTGAGTAGCAAAATTACGTTCACATAAAAAATTGTAGTTGAAGTGCTAATAGAGATAGCTGCCAATGACTCATCGATACTTTTACACATTAAACCACTCATATCTCTCCTTTTAATACCACATTTTTTCAAATACACCAACATGAAATGATGGCAATTAAACAGCTTATGATTATCTGCATAAAACCACTCTTTCAGCATTAAAATTCATCCCAAACATCAGAAGATACCAAACTGAAAGGAATTCTAGTCTATGATCATTCATTTTAAAAATCTGGTTTTACAGATGGTGAACCTAAATATTAAAATGTACTATGCTATAAACATATACTAAGAAACCCCCATCGCATGATAAAGCTAATAGCTTGACTCAGCTACAAAAGTGGAAAAGCAGCACTATTCAACTAATAATGCCATCTGATCTACCATGTAATGCAAATACCGAATATTCTATTCCTAAACAGAAAAAAATGGGAATTTTGTTTCATGGTTATGGAATGTTGTATACTCTTTGGATTATCTTCTTTGGGCCCATTTTTATCCTAAGATAATGAGAGCTTTGCATGAGTAACCAAGGATAGACTATGGTCTTTTGAAACTAACTTTTTCTTACTGCCAAATAAATCTCTTTTAAATATGTTCTCTGTGAGGCAATCATGACATCCATTGGCCAACTGGATCTGGGGTTATGCCTGGATACTTTCCACATTGCACGTGGTTGTCAATTTGAATTGTGTATCAACTACCCATCATATTTGGCACATCTGTACTTAACATTGGCATTAATTTTACCCTATTGTTCTAATTGCAGTACTTTGATGTAATGACACCATTCAATTCACAGATGGTACTGGTGGGGGGTTTTCCCAAAAAAATATAATGTAATTTTAATTTGGAATCTGAGAATGCCAAAAATAAGAGCTTCATTGATTAAGTTATCTCAGCCTGCTAAACAGTTGAACATTTGAACTAAATAGGAAAAACCGGGAAAGAGAACAGCAGGTTTCAATACCAACCTACTGCAAGTGTTTTGTTTTTTGATTATAGTCTATGGGGCATGCAAGACTTATCTGTTCATAAACAAACTTTGACATACTTAAGAATGATAAAATCTATATTTTCAAATAAGGTAAGAGCATTCTGTTAAAGACGAAGTCTTTGTGAATGGGAAGCCTGCAATTTGAAAGGTAATCATTTAATTTAAAATATTAAATCTAAAAATTATTTAAAATATTACAGATTTGACATGTATATATCGCTCTATATATCTATCTTTTAAATAGATATATTTACAAAGTTTTCCTGGAGTATCACTCTATTTCCTGTGACATCATTAAGTAATGCCTATCACAATGTACATTTTATAGAATCAAATCGGGATAATTAAGGAACTTTCCAAAGGTCACAGGACCCGTCGCTGATGGAGGAATGACTAGAATACAAATCTTTATTCCTTACATGAATGTATTTTATGAGATACTGCCAATTTTATTGAATAAAAAAATGCTACCATGTTGTTTCAACAGGAAATAGACCACCTTTCCTGTTAAGAAGAGTGGCAAGAGGTGTGAATTTAAGACAATTACACTTAGCTTTGGAATGGGGTTGGGAGAGAAGGACTAATATTAAACCATAAGAATAATTCATTTTAGCAAGTTACCTAGAAATAAAAATTGATGCTGGACAAAGTCATAAAGGCAAGAGACGCATCTGACTGCAGTATGAGTAAAAATCCAAAAGGACTTGCCACAAATCATCAGTTTACTTCAGTCAAATACTGGCAGCCAGGGTCCCAGTAAGCTAAGAGATTTCTATCATAGCTGATATGTTTGATGAAATGATGGGATAGTGGACCTTTGAGATATATATATATCCAGAGAATGCTGCAAGATGTCAAATCTCTGGTCCTCCCCTAGCACTGTAGTTGGGCCCCATGAGAAATAGGCTGTAGACTGAAGCCAAAGGAGCTATTTTCATAACGAACATTTGTTTATCTTGGCGTCATAAGCAGTACTTCTCTGGTGTGTGCCAGACAAAGTTCTTCCCACTTCTGGGTGAAAGACAGAATGGCTTCAGTTCAATGACGGCATAGGAAATTCTGGGTTATTTGGTACCATAAATGATGATTGTATTAGCTCATACCTTTGCCACAGGGAGAAGTATGAAGTGACTCTGTATCATTCTCAAATAGCATTGTAAGTAGCAGATATTAGAACGGGGTCCAGATTCTGGGAAGATTCAAGGATTATTTCTGAGTACATCTGAGACACCTTGAAGTCCTGTCAGATATAACTGAATGAATGAGAATTTTGGAGGTGGATGAAGAAGTTGTTCATTAACTTTCACTCACAACAGCAGTTTACGTTTTACATTTACTATAAAATTCATAGGCAGCTGGACATGGCGGCTCACTCCTGTAGTCCCAGCACTTTGGGAGGCTGAGGTGGGTGGATCACAAGGTCAAGAGTTTGAGACCACCCTGGCCAACATAGTGAAAACCCCATCTCTATTAAAAATACAAAAAAAAAAAAAAATTGCCGAGCACGGTGGCTGGCGCCTGTAATCCCAGCTACTCGGGAGGCTGAGGCAGGAGAATCACTTGAACCCAGGAGGCAGAAGTTGCAGTGAGCCGAGATTGCATCACTGCACTCCAGCCCGGGTGACAATGCAAGACTTCATCTCAGAAAACAACAACAACAACAATAAAACTCATAGGCTGAAATGTCTTGGGAAACTTGTTTTTAACGTGCAGTATTCTTAGAGTAGTGATCTCTCTAACACCTTGCTCCCTGCCAAGTGTCACAGGAGCCCCAGCCCATTAAAACTGCCAACTTTTGTTACTAACCATAAAAAATATGTACCCACTGTATAGAAGGCTGACCTGAGCTGGGAAGATGTAGAGATATGGAGGAATGCTGACTCACTGCAAGCATGCTTTTCAAACTGTCATCTGCATTTCTGTTCAAGCTCTTTCTTCTGAGCCCCTCCCACTGTTTAAATAAGAAGTAGTTATTTCTTTAAATGGCATCTACCATGCAAAAAGTTTTACTAAATTCTGTTTTAATTTCTCATTGTTTCTTATGAAATTTCAACATCAATCATCCCCAAATTTGTATTGCCCTTATCTGCAGTGATTAGTATTAAAATGTTGGCCTACCCTTGATTTTTCTAGATCATGTCCTGAGTGATAAATTGTGTCTCATGAGGCCAGTTAGAAGCCTCAGATGAGAAACCCCATTCCTATCTCATGGTGGCTTTTCAAATCCTTACACATTTTTATATGCAATGGGCCCCAGGAAAAGCTAATTGTGGAGAGTACATGTGTGCTAAGAACCTCGGAAGTCAGTGGGCTATAAAAGAAGAAGGTTCCTGATAGCATAAATTGCTCACTCTCCTCTTAGCTAATAGGCATCTTGATTTTAGACAGGCATCCTTTCTGAATAAGTAAACAAAGAAGGCACTTTGTATTTCTATATTTTACCACTTCTTTTTACCGTTATCTAGAATATATTTTCCTTCCAAAAATACCCTGCTACCTCTCCATTTCATTTAGGTTTATCTGCTTCTATATGTCTATTACCATATTTTTTAAAAAAGGTTTTATTTTCAGGTATATATTTTTATTTTACATATATGTGTGCATGTGTGTGTATATACAAACTTCCTCATTTACTGCCAAAAGTTACCGCATTTTAGTTAATTTTTGAAGCTTGTGCAGCTGTTAATTAAAGTGTCCATTACAAGATGAGTTAGCATATAATTTTAGAATAGCATACTGCAAGTTTGAAAAGACCTACACCTGTGTTTACCTGAGTACTATAGCTGGTTTTAGGGAAATCCAGATGAGACCCAGGTGCCCAACCCACTTAGTTGCAATATTTACATTTTGCACTAAATGTGTTTATGCTTCAATTTTTAGTAACACAGTCATAATTATGATGAACAGTATTTCTATACCTTCCTCTGGGAAGTGGAATTCCTTTTTTTCATGAAGCAGAAATACAAAATTGACTTATTGTTTTGCTAATTTTTCAAGCTTATTGGATGAAAATTCCAAGTCATTACTTTTCAATGACTGTCACTTTTTTTTTTTTTTTTTTTTTTTTGAGATGGAGTCTCGCTCTGTCGCCCAGGCTGGAGTGAAAGCTCCGCCTCACAGGTTCACGCCATTCTCCTGCCTCAGCCTCCCGAGTTACTGGGACTACAGGCGCCCGCCACTGCGCCCAGCTAATTTTTTGTATTTTTAGTAGAGACGGGGTTTCATCGTGGTCTCGATCTCCTGAGCTCGTGATCTGCCCGCCTCGGCCTCCCGAAGTGCTGGGATTAAAGGCATGAGCCACCGCACCCGGCGACTTTCACTTTTTTTTTTTATTATTATACTTTAAGTTTTAGGGTACATGTGCACAATGTGCAGTTTAGTTACCTATGTATACATGTGACATGCTGGTGCACTGCACCCATTAACTTGTCATCTAGCATTAGGTATATCTCCCAATGCTATCCCTCCCCCCTCCCCCCACCCCACAACAGTCCCCAGAGTGTGATGTTCCCCCTCCTGTGTCCATGTGTTCCCATTGTTCAGTTCTCACCTATGAGTGAGAATATGAGGTGTTTGGTTTTTTGTTCTTGCGATAGTTTACTGAGAATGATGATTTCCAGTTTCATCCATGTCCCTACAAAGGACACTGGGCAGAAACTCTACAAGCCAGAAGAGAGTGGGGGCCAATATTCAACATTCTTAAAGAAAAGAATTTTCAACCCAGAATTTCATATCCAGCCAAACTAGGCTTCATAAGTGAAGGAGAAATAAAATACTTTACAGACAAGCAAATGCTGAGAGATTTTGTCACCACCAGGCCTGCCCTAAAAGAGCTCCTGAAAGAAGCACTAAACATGGAAAGGAACAACCGGTACCAGCCGCTGCAAAATCATACCAAAATGTAAAGACCATCGAGACTAGGAAGAAACTGCATCAACTAACGAGCAAAATAACCAACTAGCATCATAATGACAGGTTTAAATTCATACATAACAATATTAACTTTAAATGTAAATGAACTAAATGCTCCAATTAAAAGACACAGACTGGCAAATTGGATAAAGAGTCAAGACCCATCAGTGTGTTGTATTCAGGAAACCCGTCTCACATGCAGCAACAAACATAGGCTCAAAATAAAAGGATAGAGGAAGATCTACCAAGCAAATGGAAAACAAAAAAAGGCAGGGGTTGCAATCCTAGTCTCTGATAAAACAGACTTTAAACCAACAAAGATCAAAAGAGACAAAGGCCATTACATAATGGTAAAGGGATTAATTCAACAAGAAGAGCTAACTATCCTAAATATATATGCACCCAATACAGGAGCACCCAGATTCATAAAGCAAGTCCTGAGTGACCTACAAAGAGACTTAGACTCCCACACATTAATAATGGGAGACTTTAACACCCCACTGTCAACATTAGACAGATCAACGAGACAGAAAGTCAACAAGGATACCCAGGAATTGAACTCAGCTCTGCACCAAGCGGACCTAATAGACATCTACAGAACTCTCCACCCCAAATCAACAGAATATACATTTTTTTCAGCACCACACCACACCTATTCCAAAATTGACCACACAGTTGGAAGTAAAGCTCTCCTCAGCAAATGTAAAAGAACAGAAATTATAACAAACTATCTCTCAGACCACAGTGCAATCAAACTAGAACTCAGGACTAAGAAACTCACTCAAAACTACTCAACTACATGGAAACTGACTCTCACTTTTAAGATAACTAAAGTAGTAAGGCATCTTTTACTACTGTTTGTAAGAGAAAAATAAGATATTAAGACATTGGAGGGCAGAAGTTTGATCAGATGAACTCAGAAGCATTGATACAAAATTTGCATAGCTTTTGAGTATACAATGTTAAATGTTTATGCTAAGTAACATGTAATGCTTGATTTTTATTTATTTATTTATTTATTTTTTGAGATGGAATCTCTCTCTCTTGCCCAGGCTGGAGTGCAGTGGCACAATCTCAGCTCACTGTAGCCTCCACCCACCAGGATCCAGCGATTCTCCTGCCTCAGCCTCCCAAGTAGCTGGGGTTACAGGTGCCCACCACCACGCTTGGCTAATTTTTTGTATTTTCAGTAGAGACAGCGTTTCACCATGTTGTCCAGGCTGGTCTTGAACTCCTGAGCTCAAGTGATCGACCTACCTCAGCCTCCCAAAGTGCTGGGATTACAGGCGTGAGCCATTGCGCCAATGCTTGATTTTTTAATTTGCACCACTGAGACTTTTGAATATACTTTCTGCTGCCTTTCTCTTCACTGTATTCACTTGATACTTGTGATGAGAACTGAGAAATTCTGAAATGTGATATTCCAGCTGAAACGTTCTGGTTACAGGTGATCAGATTTTAAAAATTCAGGCAGCTCCCAATTAATTCCCTGAAATTAAGTCTAGATCCACAATACTCAGAATATTTGGTTTTTAAGCAACCTGTTTTCCAACTAGCCTAAAATATGATACCAAATTAATGTAGGTTTAATCTCATTGTTGTAGTCATCACACTGGCTCTTCAGTCACTAAAATGAAAAATATTTTCTTAGTTGTTCTTCATCTGGCCAGTCATTCATTTTGACCTAACGTGGGTGTCCTTTGATCAAGATATGCTATAAGTAGCACAGTATGAATGTATCTATAATAAGTCTGTGGGGTTATCCGTTGGCATCAGCATTTTCTGGCAAATGGAGTAAATCCTTCATGCATTTTTTTTCTGAGTTTTAGATGTTCATGATATTGATTTTTTAACTTGTCTATATAGTAAGGACTTTTTTCACACACAAGAGTACCTTTAAAACCACTAAATTCAGTATGCAATATTTTGAGTGATCTGAAATCATTCACTGGGCTGATAATAAAACCATATCGTTTCATTGCCATCATTTTAAAGTGATATTCTTGAGTCTTAACAAAATATTTCAACAATTTTAGATTCGTGTGTGTGTGTGTGTGTGTGTGAATGCCTGAACCTTGTCTATAGGCACTAAGTTTCTTTATAGGAAACATTATAATATATATTATATCTATATTTATAATAATATATATAAACATAATAATCATAATAGAAATGAGTTAAGGCTACTTAGTAGTTTCCTTTACATATTAGAACAACTTTTTTTTCTAATGAGCATTATGATGACATGAATTCAAAATATTTACTCTTCACTCTATTCCTTCTAAAAACTTATCAATGTGTTCTACTGAGGTCATTTTTTTTTTTTTTTTTGAGAAGGAGTCTCGCTCTGTCACCCAGGCTGGATTGCAATGGCACAATCTCAGCTCACTGCAACCTCCGCCTCCTGGGTTCAAGCGATTCTCCTGTCTCAGCCTACTGAGTAGCTGGGATTACAGGCGTGTGCCAATACATCTGGCTAATTTTTCTATTTTAAGTGGAGACAGGGTTTCACCATGTTGGTTAGGTTAGTCTTGAACTCCTGACCTCAGGTGATCCACGCGCCTCGGCCTCCCTATGCTGGAATTACAGGCGTGAGCGACTGTGCCCAACCACATCTTTTATAATGTTACTATTTCTTCATTCAAAACATATTATGACTTGTAAGTATGCAAAAGCTGTCATTAGATTGCCATTTTGTCCTAATACCAACCCATTGTCCCATGCCTTTATGCTTGGACTTCCATCAGTCAGATATTCAAAGAAATATGAAGCATGATTCTCTCTTATTTAGAACACAATGTTTGATATTAATCAATTAGAACAAGATAATGTTTTAAATGAGAATCAACTGGCTGTTATTTGTGGCCTGAAGAAACAGGGAATGAAACTACAGTACAGTTTTCTAATTGGCTGTGTTCTAGGTTCTAAGCTAAACATTTTACTTTTTTTACTTGTTTACTCCTCATAAATGCCATGCAACGTTATATAATTCCAATTTTATAATTAGAAAAATAAACTTTGGAGAGTTAAGGCAATCTTCTCATGCTTTATCAACTGCATCCTTATAAAATGTCTTAGAGTTGAATTTATATATACATCTTCCAATTATGACAGGTCGCACTCAACTTTTGGGGAAAAGTCACTGGCAGAGGCTAAACGCATCCCTGTGAATTTTATAAGATTAACAGGGAAGAAGAGAGGGGAGAAATGAAAATATGCCCAGCCTGAGCACATTTATCATTCATCATGAGGTCAGCCGGCTCTCTGACCTGCTACCTCAGAGTGGTTTGCTGCCTAGCACCTCAGAATCATGTAGACCCTGTCATATGATTAGAGTTCCCCTAACCACCCTATAGATAATAGCTTAAGCATTGTGAAATGTTGTTTGCCCTTTGAGCTATTCTTTCAGGTCCTGCATACCACTCACATCAACTGATCTGAAGGACCCAAAGAGGAGCTGACTCACCAAAGAATGCAGTTTCTACGTCCTAATGATTTCATCCTTCTTACCCTAACCAAGCAACGACCCCAGTTTTCCAGCCCCTTGCCTTCCATGATCCCCTTAGCGATCCTAGCCCGGATCTCCTAGGAGAGATCGATTTCAAGGGTCCCTCCCATCTCCTCGTTTGGCTGCCCTGTGATCCTTAACCTGTTTCTCCTCTGCAAACCCTGAGGTCTTGCTGTACTGGTCTGTTATTGCACAGTGGGCATATGAACCCATTGATCTTGTAACAAGGTGTACAGCAAATTTTCCACATACCTAATTTTAAACTTCTCACACAAACATCAGTTACATCTATATGTCAAGTAACATCAAGATGAATTATACATCAGTCAGTGCTCTTAACATAATTATCAACAGACTTCTTAATTAACCTGCCAATTCTCTCCAAACTAAAGTTCACTTTGGCTTTATCTATGAGAGTAGGTTAAGCACTTTTTCTTCCATTGAGTTTTTATTGGCTGTATTGCCTGCAGGGTCATATAGCCCAGGGGAGTACTGCAGCACACACACAAGTGAGAACTTAAAATGTACTTTTTTTGTGACACTTCAGCACTTCATACACAGTTGAGATAGTTGTTTCAATAATGTAAGCTTTCTTTACCTATTACACGGATCACCCATGTTAAGCTACTCTTCTGTTTATTGAGTTTGATTTACTGTCAAAGACTCTGAATGTGGAAATAAACCACAGGAATCAATTGAAAATGGGGGAAAGAAAGATCATCTCTAACTTCCCCTCCCAATTCTAACAGACAGCAGCTCTTTAATGCCACCTCTAGGATAATTCCCTATGCAGCATCATAATGAAGACTTATAACTAGAAATATACAATGTAAGAGAACAATGGAAGCTACCAATTAGGGAACACTCATTATGAAACAAAACTATGCCAGGAGTCAGCATACTTTTTCTGAAAAGGGCCAAATAGCAAGTATTTTAGGCATTACAAGCTATATGGTCTCTTTAGAAACTACTCAGCCCTGCCATTATGACATTGAAGCAGGTTTTGAAAAACATAAACAAATGAGAATGGTTTTATTTTAATAACATTTTCAGTATAAAAACCTGCATTTGGCTGGGGCCTCGCAAATGATATGTATGTTTTCTATAGTCGCTATGACAAACATCAAAGAAAGGCATTATTTAATTCTGTAGATGAGGAAACTGGGATTCAAAGAGATTTTGTATACATCAGATCTAACTGGGAAAACAGAACTGACCACCAGTAATTCGGTAGAGGGCATTTGATACAAAGCACCAGTTAAAAGGATGTTAGAAGTGCTAAGTGCCAAAGAGGGTATAGTAAGACAACCCCAAGGTTAGCAACAGAAGGAAGTTGCTACCATCCAAAAGGAGGCGGTGGCATTCCTAGAGCTCAGAAGCTGTCCGCCAGGAACCTCACTGGAAAGGTATATCCGGAGTCCTGGGATCCTGGAAGAGATGCAGCCCCTTTGGTGATCCAGCAGAAAGGGGAAGACGTGCCCTGTCATCCTGCTTCCTGCCCCCAAATTTCCCACCACAGTGGTGGATCTTAGCTGAATTTTAGTTTGCAGATAACAGCTTCTTGAAGTACAGAGCACAACAGGGAATTTATCTCAGAGCACACAAAAAAGATCAAGTCATAGTAACATTGTCATGATTAGAATCTCGACCTGTCTCCTTCAACTGCCATGCATTTTCACTGTACAACAGTGTAAGTAGAGTTTGCCTCTTATCTTTTCTTCTCACATTTTACAAATGTGATATTTCTTAGGCTCAAAAATATAGCTCTTGAAATTTCTAGCTTTACTCTACAGCACTCAACATTCTCTTTCTGTAAAAAAAATGAAACAGTGTTGTCCATATCCACAGAAAAGTGAAGGTAGTTCTGTTAATTTGCCAATGACTTATTTCACAGTGTTGAAAAGAATGTGTTTACAAAAATTTTAGCTGGTTTTCTATGTTATTTATTTAAACCTTCATATGGGATACACATGAGGACCATCCTAATTTTATTTGAGTATTAAGATGGTAGATTTTTATTCCTCTTAAACCTAGTTTCACAAGATTATTTTCAGGATAGATAGTAAAACAGTCGTTGGTAGTTTGACAACCTTAGTAGTATCTACAAACATTACTCAAAAGATAACCTGTCTTGCTGTTTGCTAAAGTCACTTTGAACATATGCAGGCTATATGATAGCTGGCAGAATGGTTAATTTTAAAGCTCCATAGGGGGTTACAAGAAGGCAAGATGGACAATAAATTGAGATGCCCAGAAATTATCATTTACTCCAAGATTCTCTACCCTCTTGGGGAAACTTTTCAGTTACATTTCAACATGGAAATTTTTCCTCACCCGAAGATCCAGAGTTAGAATCAATAACATCATGAACAGACCAAGCAAATCAGTGAAAGCTTTTCAAAGAGATGGTAAAGAAAGCTATGGCACCACACAGACGGTGTGAGCGGTCCTCCCTCACACCAAAAAAAAAAAAAAAGAGGCAACAGGAATTTGCAGAATGTACAGTTGACCCTTGAACAACATAGGTTTGAACTACATGGATCCACTTATACACAGACTTTTTCAATAAATATGTTGGAAAAAATTTTAGAGATTTGAGACAGTTTGAAAAAACTCACAGATGAACTACATAGCCTAGAAATATTTTTTTAAAATAAGAAAATGTCGAGTATGTCATGAATATATAAAATATATGTAGCTTCCAGTCTCATCATTTGCTACCATAAAACACACACAAATCTATTATAAAAAGTTAAAATGTACCAAAACTTACATACCTAAACACACACTGTAATGGTGCCATTTGCAATCGAGAGAAATGTAAACAAATGTAAAGATATATTATGAAATTGTAACTGCATTAAATGAACGGTAGTACACATAATGTACTACTGGAATAACTTTGTAGCCACCTCTTGTTACTATGGTGGTGAGCTCAAGTGTTGCCAGTGTCCGCTTAAGCCATGCTGTGACGCTAATCATCTCTGAGTAAGCAGTTGTCTCTGCAGTAAATTGCGTGTCACAGTAAAAAGTGATCTCTCGTGGTTCTCGAGTATTTTTCATTGTGTTCGGTGCAAAACAGTAAACCTTGAATAACACCATGGTGGGACCCATACGAAGTGCCACTAATGATGCTGGAAATATTCCCAAGAAGCAGAAAAAAGTCATGACATTACAAGAAACAGTTGAATTGCTTGATATGTACCATAGATTGAGGTCTGCAGCTGCAGTTGCCCGCCATTTGAGAAGGACAATTCATCTTGTAAACTGATGATGTAAACTTAAGGTATCATATATACAGTATAGTACTGTGAATGTGTTTTCTCTTCCTTATGATTTTCTTAATAACATTTTGTTTCCTCTAGCTCCCTTATTACAAGAATACAGCATATAATACATATAGCATAAAAAACATGTGTTAACTGACTGTTTATGTTATCTGAGAGGCTTCCTATCAACAGTAGGCTACTAATAGTTAGATTTGGGGGGAGTGAAAAGTTACATGTGGATTTTTGATGGCATGGGGGGTTGGCACCCCTAATCCCCACAGTGTTCAAGGATCAACTGTACTTAAAATGGAAGCCTGTCACTTAAATGTAAGTATAATTAAAAATCTATAATCTGAATTCAGAATTTGAATTTTAAACAATTGCAGATGGGAAGACTAAGAGTTCTCTGTGGTTGGAATTCTAACTCCAGTAACAAAATGCAATAATCGCTCCACAGACATGGAAACAAAGAGGAGGCCCAGGGGACATTTCAAACTTACACCCTAAGAGAAGACACTTGCTTTAGCTACACTCACCTTTATGCCACATCCACCACTTCCTGAGGAGAAATTAAACAGAACTACACCATCTATTATTTACAATCAGCTATGTATTTATTTCCTTTTAGATGTTCTGAATAAGTGACAGAATTTAGTTCTCATTTCAAACTCTGGCTACCTCTATTCTGAGTGGAGACCCTGAAATTTTCCCATAGTCCTGAATTAAAAGAAGAAATGTAATTGCTACTGAAGGATAATATTTGGTTGTATCCAACTGGCAATTGCTCTTGAGTTTCTGTGCCCAGTGCGCTGATCAAGGGAACTGAATAATGTAGTCAGGAAAGGCAGGTGCTCTGGGTGCATGGGTTTGAATCCTACTCTGCCACTGACTAACTACAGGCATTTAATTAATCCAACTTCTTTGTGTCCTCTGTGCCTCAGTTCTCTCATCTATAAAATGAGGCTAATAATAGTACCTTCCCATATTGTTGTAAGAGTGAACCAAGTAAAGCATTCTGATACAGTGCTTCTCAAATTTTAATGTTCTTTACAAATCACTTGGGAATCATGTTGAAATGCAAATTCTCTTTCAGTAAGTCTAGGGGGAGGACTGAAATTCTGCATTTTTTAACAAGCTCTAGATAATGCTGAAGGTGTTCATCTGTGAATCACACTTAGAGTAGCAAGGTGTCATAAAAGTGCCTGGCACATAATAAAAGTTAAATAAGTGCTATGTACAGTATTATTATTTCACAACATCCACTGTAGAACCGTGGCTTACTATATCTCATCCTATCTGGCTGTCATATACTACATACATTATGTTGCAGTACTATCTTCAAGAGTAATTGTTACCTTTTTCTTCTACTGGCCTGCCTTAGTTGCCCCAGGCTGAGTCGTTTTATTTTTGCTGATCCTTCGTTTTCCTTACCACATCTACTGAAAAGGTCTTTCTCTAGTTTCTCAGTTATTATAGAACATATTTTTTCTAATACTTTTGCAAAATGACCATGTATCATCTTTCGACAACTTTCATACCGTGTTAATATCTTTCTCTCCAAATAGATTGCACTTCTCCTGTCTCATCAGCCTTCCGTATCAACCCCTTTTCCTAAGCTAATGCTCTGTGTGTCTTAAGTGCTCAATTAATGTGTTTGATCATTTGGAGTTGGAGAAGCCGTTGCTCATCCATACTTTCTTCTTTCTAAGGTGAGCCCACAAAGGTTGGGATATGAGATCCTCTTTCTTTGTACAATTCCTGGGATATCTGGCTTACTACATTTATTTTTCTAATCCAATTTGAGACAGAGATGCACAACATGTTTATTTCCATTAGAAGGGAGGGCAATATGAATAGATTCCTTCCAAATATCTATTAGCACTGTCAAAATCTTTAAGGCTGCATGTAAAAGATTTGAGGCTAAAAGTCATATATATATTTTCAAATATTCTGAGTGTCACTTGTGCATCACAAATTCTTCTCATAAACGTTTTTTATGTTTACCGTCTCTGCTAAAAATTTTAACTTGCTTCATGTATGTGTCTGTGCTGGTGGTTGGATAATTTTAAAAGAGATTCTTCTGATTTGAATGGAGTCTTTTTGGTAATTTCAACTTTATAGGTCTAAACAGAAGAGAACATAAAGACGCAGACTTCACATTCAGGAAGACCTAGGTTTTAATCCCATCTCCACTACTTCCTGACTCTGTGACTTAACAAGATACCTAAATTTTTTGTTCCTTAGGTTCCTCATTAACTAAATTAGAGTAACTAATAATTTTTGTATATTTGTCCAGTGTCTGGCACAACAAAAGTGATCAATGAATCTGAGTCATTCTTGAAGAGAATGATTTTCATCTTTATGAAAGTCAACCTGAAGTTTATGATAATCAAGTTCTTCCATAAATGTCATTCAGTATAGTCATTCTTCTCCTCTTTTATGAAGCTTCTTCTCCATAAATCAGAGCTTCACTCAAAAACACATAATTTACGGACCAATAAGGACTTCTTGAATGCCAAATCAATTGAGAGGTTAGCACAATATGGGCACCATGAGTTGAATCAGAGGGAGTACAAGGAAGATTCATGTCCTAATTTTATAATAATCCCCTAAGATTGAGTTATTATGTTGTTTTATTCTGAAGAGTTGTTTCTTTGCCTTGTTTTCTTTTTTAAAAGATCAGGAATATTAAGATTGTTTGTCTTCAATTTTGGTCAATCAAAAGAATGAAGATAGGAAGAAATAAATAAAGGGAGAATAGCAACAACAGAAGTCAGGGAGGCAGGGAGAGAGGGACAGTAGAGAAGGAGAGAAACCAATTGTGTTAAGAAGAAACTGAAATAAGCAGTCAGGTGAAATCTCTCTAGAGGAAGAACAAATGAGCACAACTTGACTTTCATGTAACCCTTAATCTATTTAGAGAAGGAAGAATTGGGAAATGAAGTACTTCTCAGCAGTAGTTTAAGTGAAGAACTAAAATTAATTTACTTGATTTTCAAGCTATGAGACTTGTTTATACTCTATAGAAACCACAATTTCACACTCCTAGATTCTAGTACAATGTTGACAAAACAACTTCCTTGAAAAATCAGGCAAACTACTCACCACCAACTGTATTGCATGGAAGATGTCTTTATTGTGTGAAATAATCACCCTTCTACTAATTGAATAAAGCAAACTCCTTTAGAACCCAGAAAAGGATATTTGAAAGATGATGGACATGGTTACTAGGGTCTTAATTGAAAAGAATTGTTATTACTTCACATTAATTTAAACAGTAAAAACTGTGAGAACTCTATCAATACAATTGAATAGTTACATTGAGCCAACTTTGTTTTAAATGTCAATGGTCTAAAAACTTTCAGGCTAAATAAAGAAGAACAAACTTTTAAAGCAAGAATGCAATTTTTATTTGAATTATTGGAATACTAAATGGATACTATTGATGCAATTTAATCCAAAAGCAAAATTATTGTAAACAAATCCAAAAATGAAATTATTGTAAACAACTATAGCCAAGATTTTTACTCAGAAAAACTGACCTCAAGAAAAAAATAAATTTAAAACATGTTGTATGCCAGATAATGTTCTGCTGTATTTGTATTGATAAATGTATATGAAATCATTTTTTGTATGATAAAAAACTAATGCAAAGGAGCTGGATCATGAGTTGCTGCAAAATCTCTATGTATTACCGTTGTATCAGCTAGGTACTGCCAGAACAAAGCTACATAACAAACAAACAAAAATCTCAGTGGCATATTAGTATAGACATTTTTGAAGGTAATATATCTGTGGGTAGGGAGGAAGTTTATTGACCCAGGCTGGGCTCGGCTGGGTGCCTCTCATTCAAGTTGGGCGTGGTTACCTGCTGGGGTTTCTGCTTAGATTTGCTTCGCGTGTGTTTATGCTTGAATTCGTGTTGACAAGGCAGCAGCTAATGAGAGGAAACTCCTCTCATGTCAATGGCAGACAGCACAAGAGGACAAGTAGAAACAGTCAAGGTATCTTAAGGTCTGGTCATGCAATTTGCATACCCCTCACTGCTACCCCATTCAACTGGCCATAGCAGAAAAATTGTGGGAAGATCTGCAAAATCACATAGCAAAGAGCATGGTTATAGGAAGGGCCTTTAATTACGGCCTGTTATGCAGCCCAACACCACAACCATCTTCATATAAAACAATACCATTGTTAATCACAGGAAGGACCACAAAGGACAATTATAAATCTATAAACATTTCCAAACAGATATCTGAATGGAAGTTGTCTGACTGGAAGAAGACCTAGTTAGAGAAATTTACTGTGGTATATCAGTGAGGAAAAAAGTAAGGTAAAGTCTCAACTCAAATAACTGAAGAATGATACAGTTAATATCTACTAGAAAGCTCAATATTTAAAAAGCAAGAATGTTAAAAATTGAATTTGGAAAAGGATCTATTCTACAGCAAATTTTAAAATCCAGGATTTTCTGTTCTTTCTCTTTCTCAAATAAGAAGGGAAAACAATGCAATATTGAAAATATGCTTTATTCTTTCATGTTATATATATACACATATAAATATTTCATGCATATATATGTTATATATATATACACAACACATATGAATGTGTCAATGTCTCAATTTAAAAATGCAGTTAGATGATGATCTACCATTGAATGTTATATGATATAATCACTACAGTTGGAAGGTGCTGGATGTCACAGTGAGGCTCAGATGGTACCATAAGCCAGGGAAGAAAGTGTGTGTTAACTCTGCTCCGTATATTATCTACTTCCCTTTGGGGTTTTTAACGGAGAGAGCCAAACTCAGCTACCATTTCGCTAGATGAAGAGGCCCTAAAAACTGGGATGGTGACATCTGAACAGTTTTCGGTGAAGTTTAAAGAGTTGAACTCACAAATTCCTCTGAGCTTCCCTTCCTGGCAGAAGCAGCCCCTGTTCCACTATCTGAATCTAACCTCCCCTTGCCTAAAGACCTGTAATGACTTCTTATGAAGGTGTGGCTTTGAAAATAACTGCTGGTCCTTCCTATGACCCATCTCTCCTGCTTCTCAATGTCTCTAGACTCAGATCTAATTAGATCAGAAGTACAAAGTGTGAACAGGAGGTGATACCACAGACACCAAGAGAATTTCAAGATTTTGCCAATTATTCCTGAGGAATACGTGTGTGTGTGTGTGTGTGTGTGTGTGTGTGTGTCTGTGTGTGTGTGTGTGTGTGTAGGTTCTAAAGATGATAGAACAGAATGACAAATAATGTGATATTTGATCTGGTTGAATTTATTGTTATTGGTACATTAACCAGAGATTGGTAATTCAAAGGGGGATGATAGTAATTTTATCAATTTACTTGAATGACTAACATAAACCTGAACCCACAGTACCCAACAATAAATGAAGTATAAATGCCCGAACTTCCTTTGTATACTGTAGAATGGACACAGATCAACAAAATGTAATTCATGGACCAAATCCAGCCTGCAAACTGTTTTAGTAAATAGAGTTTTATTGCCACACAGCTATACTTGCTATTTTATGTATTGTCTTTGGCAACTTCCATACCAAAACCACAGAGGTGGGTAGTTATGACACAGATCATATTACCCACAGTGCCGAATTTTTCTTATGTGGCCCTTTAATGAAAGTGTTTGCTGACCCCTGCCAAAATCCAAAAGGCAAGGGAGGGGCTGGAGTGAAACTTACTATGTGTGGTCCACTTACCTTCCCCCTATCTATTTTTTCTAGTGAATCTAGAGAACTCTTTTTTCACCAAAACCCTGAGAAATGCATAGGTAAAGGGAGCACCAAGATGTCTGATAAACTCTGTAAGTCAGGAATGCTGCCGGGAAACATTACTACTGAAAATAGCTCCCTGATTCTAACAAGACAGATGGAATCCTGGAATAATAGAGGTCAAGTGGAATACTTAATTGCCAGTGACAAGGTGTGGATAATTACTGAGATGTACAGCCAGGCTGCAGCAATAATCTGAATGGCTTGACCTACAGAAACCTTTGTTAATGATTAAATGATCATGGTGACCCTGCAACTGGTATAAATGGACATTCTACTAAAGTCTTACTTGATTTCTAAAAGCAAAGTGAGTCACAGCCCACAATGCTCTTGCCAGCTAGAATCAATCCACAGACTGAATGAAGTGGTTCTCTTTGAGGAAGCATCCTATTACACTGCCAAAAATTTACACGGAAACATTCCTCCTAGCCTAACCAAAGGGACCTGTGTTCATTTTCTAGGGCAGCCATGCATGGGAAAAAAGGGAGAAAATACCTAAACTTTTCAAGGATTACTACCCTATATATATGAAATGATGCTAAACCCTTGGGACTCCAAATCTCACTGGGTTCCACTGGCCCATCAGAGTGCGGAATTACGGCAGTCAAGTGAAAAATGGACTTTTGGCTCAGATCCATCCTACAGTAGGCCCAGTGGATTCCTGAACCCATTGTCTAGCAAGGCCATGTGTCTGTAACAAAGAACAATTAACCATTCAAAAAGCATCTCTTGGATGGCACTGGGTCGCAGTAGAGAATATGAACATAACCATGAAACATTGAACGACCGTGCAACCAGATACGCTCATCATGAGCTAGGCATTGTCAAACCTACAAGTCATACATTTGCATGAGACACAGGAGCAAAGGTATATATTAAGATTGGACACAGGTAAATTACATGACCCAAACCTTATGTCATCTGTCTACGTTACATTTATTCCTCTTCCTCTGCTCACATTTATTGCCTGATGGGGAATTTCCTGTGATCAGTTGCCAGAAGATGGAAGAAACCCAGGTTTGGTTCATTGGTGAAATTGACATGAGTCTGTTTGTGGGTTTGTTTTTCCTGCCTACCACTAGCACCACTACCAGCTGTACTGTTATCCAATAACTCATCTATCATCATGGGTTCCTTTATAATATATCCTTTGACCAAAAGACTCATTTTACATTGAAAGAAGAATAACAATGTGTACACAACTATGGGGTACATTTGTCCTACAGAAAACCACATCACCAGAGCCTGCTAGCCTATTAAATGTAAAGCTGAGGTTCCAGCTTGGGTGTCATACACAATAGGGTTAGGATGCTTTTCTTCAAGATGAGTTCAGGCACGTAATGAGGGATGGTAGAGGAACTTGAGGATACTTGTAGGGAAATTGGCTTTTCTTTCTGAGTGAAATGGGATGCCATTAGAGAGTTTGAACAAAAGAGTGAAATGGCTTATGTTGTACAGAAACCACTCCGACTGAAGTGGAGCAAGGGCAGAGCAGGATGACCAGTAGGTGACCTATTGTAATAAGCTATGCAAGAGACGATGATAGTTTCGCCCAGCTGGGAGCAATGCAGGTGGTGACAAATGATTGGATTTGGGCTATAATTTGATGTTAAAGCCACAGAATTTCTTCTTTTAATTTGCATTAATTTACTAGTGAGTTAAACATTTTATCAGGTAGATGGATCACATGCATGCTTTCTTTGTGATTTTCCAATGTATATGTTCCATCATAATAAAAAATGGCAGCCCAATGAAGGAAACAATTTTGACACTTATTTTCACTCAGTAAACAGATTCAAAGTCCCCCAAACAGGACATTTGAAGACTTTCAGATTATGTTGCCTTTTCTCTATAAAAGTCTCTTGAAAAAAAACTCAAACCTTCATTAAGCTTTCCTTTAGAATGTTTGGTTTGTGTCAATCCATCTGAAACCTGATTTTTTTTAAAATATTTTCTTTTATACTATTTTAAGTCCTTACATACCAGTTATTTGTGATTGTTATGGACTGAATTTTATCTCCCACCCTCAAATTTATGTTGAAGCCCTAACCCCCAATATGACAGGGTTTGGAGATAGGGCCTTTAATGAGGCAAGGTTAAATGAGGTCATAAGTGTAGAGCCCTAATCCAATAGAATTGATGTCATTGCAAAAAGAAGAAGAGAAACCAGGGAGCTCTCCCTCTGTCCAAGCAAGTACAGAGAAAAGGCCATATGAAGACACAATGAGAAGGTGGCAATCTGCAAGCCAGAAAGAAAGGCTTCACCAGAAACCAACCCTGACAACACCTTGATCTTGGTCTTCTAGCCTCCAGAACTGTGGGTACATAAATTTCTGTTGTTTAAGCCACCTAGTTTGTGATATTCTGTGATGGCAACTCTTGTAACTAAATACACTTTATATATTTGGACACATGGCAATTGTTAAATAAAGTTTTGTTGAATTGATCAGAGGTGAAAATTAAAGTATCTAGGATGGTTATAAAAAAGAAGCAGCATATCCAACAGTGAATAAAATAGGAGGTTCTGTCTGTGTAAACAGGAAGTTTTGACCTCCAAATATTCTGCAAGTATTTACTGTTTGAAACCTTGAAGATATTTTCCTTTAGGAATAATGTGATAGTTACTAGTGAGATTTAGCCGGTTCAGATATTTTCATAGTCCATTATTTGCTCCCACTCCCCTTCACCATGATTATTTTCTTATCATTGAAGTTTCAGCATAAATACTATTTCTCAAAGAGGTTTTTATCTCACGCACACTACCTGGAGTTGCCCTAGTCACTCTGTCTCATTATCCTGGTATATTTTCTCCATAACATTTACCTCATTCTCAAGTTACATGTTTGTTTTCTTTTCTTATTTCTCATGAAAATATAAATTCCGCATTACCTTGTTTCTTGCTCACTGCCATATTTCTAGCATCTAAAAAACATCATATTCAATAAATATTATGTGAGAGAAATATTTTCAGAACTGACTCAAGAAATCATAGAACCAAATTTGTGGTTTACAATATGGCCCACATTCTGTGAATTAACTTCAATTAATCCAACATTTCTACCCATATTTTCCTTTAGCATTAATCTTAGTTCATCTCACCATGTTACGTACTTTGTAGATTGTCCTTTTATCTAAATATCATTGTAAATTGTTATAAACGTGTTTTGAAGTAAGAAAGCATATAAATAAGCAAACAAAAATCAAAGTTAAAATCCGAGATTTTTATTCAAAAGGTGTTTACTCTGTCATGAAAATGAAGTAGACCACAGAAGGAGTGTTTTGACTATAAATGAGAACTACGTGCTATGTAGTATTTCTCCTAATGGCTTAAATATACTAGTTTGATTTTTCCAACTGTAGTAGCCTGCTGTTGTTCCCTGCCACCTACCCTTTTCTATGATTCATTATGTGCATTTCTCTGCCTTCCTCTCCATCCCACAGGGCTGACCTCCAGAGCTACATTGCTCAAGTCCTCTTGCCATCTGGCTTCCAGTTGGATTCAGCCAATGGCAGGAACTCACAGGAAAATGGAGGATGGGAGGAGACAGAAGTTGAGTATTTATCACCCTGGGTTCATGCCCATACGCTCTTCCTGCCTTGCCACTGTCCTGACAGTGACAACCTTCTGCTTTGACCTTGGATCCCATCAGACCCTTTGTCTTACACAGCTCCAGCATCCTTCATGGTTTAGGAACATCATTCCTTCCCCTTACTCTCTCAGACCTAAGGGTGGCAATGACTTCCCACTGTTGCTAATCTCTAAGGTGTTTTATCTCCTTGGCTTCCTTAGTCTTGGCCCACACAAATAATTCCTTCATTTACCACTCTTTAGTTAAACTCTTTGAATATGCCATCTCTTTCTTGCCAGCAAGGAACCTGACTGCATCTAATAATGAAAAGTTCCCTGGCTGTGTTTTGGTAGAAGAGGGAAGTAGTAAAGCTACTCCTAACTATACCTTCATTCAGTACATATTGAGTATGTAAGATATGCAATGCACTGTGCTCTCTGCTATAATAGCTACAATGCTGCATAAAACATGACTTCTGTTCTCAAGGGAATAGTTAAACAAAGGGGAAAGTAACATAAATTTTTCTGTTTATTCTGATGTCAAAAGGAATGGTTATTTTTGTCTCTATATTGGCTGAGATCCCCAAATCTGAGAACAAAGGATATTAGTACCTTTTCACAATAAAAAAATGTGTCAGAACATCCTTATAGAACTTTGTAAGAGATGACCCCCAAAATATCAGGCAACACTTAGCCATCACTCATTTTCAGAGTACATAAGGATAGGGGAGAAAGAAGATGTCAAGAGAATCTTACTGGTACCTACTACAATGTTTTATAAATATGAGAGATTTGGGAACTAGTATCTGACTTACGTCTGAAAAACAGTCTAAATGTAAAAAGCTGGCTGGGTCTTTTTTATTATAGAATATTCAGAAGAATGCACCTCAATCTCATCTGTGGTGGAGGAAAGGTGTGCTTCCCTGGGGCCAAATGAAAACTCTGATGAAGGGATATGATTCTGAATTGTCTTGGAAGAAACTGTGCAAAACCTTAAACAGGGAAAAGTGGACTTAAAGACTCCAGGGTTTGGGTAAGAGGCATAAGGAGCTAGTGCATTGAAGCCAAAGTTCTTAGTGGACAAATCTCTGAGGAACTCATTATAGGAAGGATCAGCATTTAGACAAGTGTTCCTATGCCAGACTGCACATTTACCAGTCAAGCAGTATCTTTGTATCTACCCTCACCTATTTTCTTCTCCCCATTTCAGTGGACTGAAAGCTTATGTTTTCCCAAAATTTGTTGGTTGAAATCTTAATCCCCAAGGTGATGGTATTAGGAAGTGAGGCCTTTGGAAGAGTTCTGCCCTCATGATTGAGATTAGTGTCTTTATAAAAGAGACCCCAGAGGGTTAGAAGCTAGCGAGTCCCTTTCACCATGGGAAGACAGAGCAAAAAAGTGCCATCTATATGCCAGAAGGTTGAGCCCCACCAGATACCCAGTCTGCCTTGATCTTGGACTTCCCAGCCTCCAGAATTGTGAGAAATAAATGTCTGTTTTTATAAGCCACTCAGTTTATGATATTTTGCAATAGCACCTAAATAGACTAAGATACCATTCCATTCCCAGAAGAACCCTGAGACTACACAGTGAATGGAGGTGATGAGTAGGAAGTCAAGGTGGGGAAAATAAGATTTCTCAGGCTGAGCTGTGAGAAGAAATAAGTTTGAATTTGATGAGAGATTGAAGATTTAATAGAAAATTAGATAATTTGTTTATGTTTGAAAATGAAGATAAAGGATTTGGGATAAACCCAGAATATCACAGGATTGAGAAAAGACTTAGAATACCATGAAAGAAATGCAGTGGTATGAAAAAATGAAGTTGCTTTTTGGTTGGCCTCTATCTAATCCAATTTACTCAATAACCTCATTAATACTATAACCAAAGGAAGAATAAGTGTTATATTAGTCTGTTCTCACATTGCTAATAAATACATACCCAAGACTGGGTAATTTATAAAGGAAAGAGGTTTAGTTGACTCACAGTTCCACATGGCTGGGGAGGCCTCACAATAATGGCTGAACGGGAAGCAAGACATGTCTTACATGGTGGCAGGCAAGGGAGCTTGTGTAGGGGAACTTCCATTTATAAAACCATCAGATCTTGTGAGACTTATTCACAACCACGAGAACAGTATGGGGGAAACCCCCGCCATGATTCAACTATTTCCACCTGGACCTGCCTTTGGCCTGTGGGGATTATTACAATTAAAGGTGAGATGTGGGTGGGGACACAGCCAAACCCCATCAAGTGTGACAGGAGAAAGATCTCAAATTTACATTTCAGCTTGAGTAAGACCATGTTTGCTCAGGCAATAGATATAACTACATTAATTAAATTGACCAGTTCCTACTAACCTGTTGGTAAAAATCATATACAAAATGGATATTTTATTTCATTTAGCTGAGATAATTTTTTGCCATATTACCCAAAGAATTCCAAGACTGTATTCAAACTTGCAGCAAAATTTGCAGCAATTTTTTAAAAACCACTTTTGCTAACTCTACTTTTGAATTTTCTTGTATATCAACCCTCTCATATGATTTTAATTTTTCTGGATCCAGGATCTAGGAAATTCAAGCATCAGACAGGCAACTTAGAGATAGTACAAACAATAGTAATATAGTAATAATAGAAGTAGTGCAATAATAATAAATTTTAAAGTGCTAGACGCTTATGAAACTACTACGTGCTTCAAATGTGAAATATTTTAAAATTTCAAGATTCCTCGGATATACTAGATAATATTGTTTCAATTTCCAGATAAGTGCATATGTTCTTAAAAGTCAGACCTGAGTAAGATTAAAAGAAAAAATAGCAGTTCTCAACTGCAAAAGGCCGTTAGTTTATAACGAAAGCAGATTTCATTGAGACTATGATTTGTGAATTTTTCTTTTCCTAGCACTTAATAAAGACCCTAACATAACCAATTTAGAGTAGACCATTCAACAGGTATTTGTTAAATGAATTAATAATGAAAAATGTTGAATGAATATCTAAAAGACTGAATTTCTATACTTTGTAACAGAGGTTAAATAATATAAATAAAATTTAAATCCTTGAAAAATGCCTATCTCAAGTAAATATAAATTAATATGTGACAAAAAATGACAAAGAGGCTATCACCACTGATCCCACCTAAATGCAAACTACCATCAGAGAATATTATAAACATCTCTACATAAATTAACTAGAAAATCTAAAAGAAATGGATAAATTTCTCCTAAGACTAAACCAGAAAGAAGTTGAATCCCTGAATAGACCAATAACAAGTTCTGAAATTGAGGCAGTAATTAATAGCCTACCAACCAAAAAAAGCCCAGGACCAGACGGATTCACAGCTGAATTCTACCAGAGATAAAAAGAGGAGCTGGTACCATTCCTTCTGAAACTATTCCAAGCAATTGAAAAGAAGGGACTCATCCCTAACTCATTTTATAAGGCCAGCACCATCCTGATACCAAAACCTGGCAGAGACACAACAAAACAAGAAAACTTCAGGCCAATATCCCTGATGAACATCAATGTGAAAATCCTCAATAAAATACTGGTAAACCAAATCCAGCAGCTTATCAAAAAGCTTATCCACCACAATCAAGTCAGCTTCATCCCTGAGATGCAAGGCTGGTTCAACATATGCAAATCAATAAATGTAATCCATCACATAAACAGAACCAATGATAAAAACCACATGATTATCTCAATAGATGCAGAAAAGGCCTTTGATAAAATTCAACACCACTTCATGCTAAAAACTCTCAATATACTAGGTATTCATATAACATATCTAAAAATAATAAGAGCTATTTATGACAAACCCACAGCCATCATACCGAATGGGCAAAAGCTGGAAGTATTCCCTTTGAAAACCAGCACAAGATAAGGATGCCCTCTCTCACCACTCCTATTCAACATAGTATTGGAAATTCTGGCCAGGGCAATTCAGCAAGAGAAAGAAATAAAGCGTATTCAAATAGGAAGAGAGGAAGTCAAATTGTCTCTGTTTGCAGGACGACATGATTCTATATTTCGAAAACCCCATCATCTCAGCCCAAAAACTTAAGCTCATAAGCAACTTCAGCAATGGCTCAGGATACAAAATCAATGTGCAGAAATCACAACCACTCCTATACACCAACAACAGAGAAGCAAAGAGCCAAATCATGAATGAACTCCCATTCTCAATTGCTATAAAAAGAATAAAATACCTAAGAATACAGCTAACAAGGGATGTGAAGGACCTCTTCGAGGAGAACTACAAACCACTGCTCAAGGAAATAAGGGAGGACACAAACAAATGGAAAAACATTCCATCCTCATGGATAGGAAGAATTAATATCATGAAAATGGCCATACTGCCAAAGTAATTTATAGATTCAGTGCTATTCCCAGCAAACTAACACTGACATTCTTCATAGAATTAGAAAAAAAACTATTTTAAATTTCACATGGAACCAAAAAAAAGAGCCCATATAGCCAAGACAATCCTAAGCAAAAAGAACAAACCTGGAGGCATCATGTTACCTGACTTCAAACTATACTACCAGGCTACAGTAATCAAAACAGCATGGTACTGGTACCAAAACAGACATATAGACAAATGCAACAAAACAGAGACCCCAGAAATAACACCACACATCTACAACCATCTGGTCTTCAACAAACTGGACAAAAACACAATGAGGAAAGGATTCCCTATTCAGTAAATGGTGCTGGGAAAACTGGCTAGCCATATGAAGAAAACTGAAACTGGACCCCTTCCTTACACCTTATACAAAAATTAACTCAAGATGGATTAAAGACTTAAATGTATAACCCAAAACCATAAAAACCCTAGAAGAAAACCTAGGCAATACCATTCAGGACATAGGCATGGTCAAAGACATCATGGCAAAAATGCCAAAAGCAATTGCAACAAAAGCCAAAATTAACAAATGGGATCTAATTAAACTTCAGAGCTTCTGCACAGCAAAAGAAACTATCATCAGTGTGAACAGGCAACCTACAGAATGGGAGAAAATTTTTGCAATCTACCCATCTGACAAAGGTCTAATATCCAGAATCTACAAGGAACTTAAATCTACAAGAAAAAAAAAACATCAAAAAGTGGGCAAAGTATACGAACAGACAGTTCTCAAAGGAAGACATTCATGCTGCCAACAAATATGAAAAAAAGCTCAACATTACTGATCATTAGATATATGCAAATCAAAACACAATGAGATACTATCTCATGCCAGTCAGAATGGCAATTATTAAAAAGTCAAGGAACAATAGATGCTGGTGAGGCTGTGAAGAAATAGGAATGCTTTTACACTGTTGGTGGGAGTGTAAATTAGTTCAACCATAGCAGAAGGCAGTTTGGTGATTCCTCAAGGATATAGAACCAGAAATAACATTTGACCCAGTCATCCCATCACCTGGTATATGCCCAAAGGAATGTAAATCATTCTACTATAAAGACACAAGCACATGTATGTTTGTTGCAGCACTATTTACGATAGCAAAGACATGGAACCAACCCAAATGCCCATCAGTGATAGATCAGATAAAGAAAATGTGGTACATATATACCATGGAATACTATGTAGCCATAAAAAGGAATGAAATTACGTCCTTTGCAGGGACATGGATCAAGCTGGAATCCATTGTCCTCGTCAAACTAACACAGGAACAGAAAACCAAACATAACATGTTCTCACTCATAAGTAGGAGTTGAATGATGGCAACACATGGACACAGGGAGGAGAACAACATGCACCAGGACCAGTCGGGTGGTGGGTGGCAAGGGGAAGGAGAGCATTAGGACAAATGGCTGATGCATGGGGGGCTTAAAACCTAGATGATGGATTGATAGGTGCAGCAAACCACCGCACATGTATACCTATGTAACAAACTTACACATTCAGCACTTGTATCCCGGAACTTAAAGTAAAATAATTAAATAAAAAACTCATATGTAACTATTTCATCTCATTGATTTTAGCACTACTTATTTGCTGCTAAATGTGATAAACATTCAGCTCAGCAATTAAGAATATTAAAATCTTGACAATCATGATGCCCTAATTTAGGTTAATTTGGGATCTATTAAAATCTGATTGAAATTTTAACCCTGTGAGAGAGATATTAACATTCAACAATATTTTTTTTAAGCCAGAAAACATAAGGCACCCTGACGGTAAGGACCTGATCTAAATGGATGAAAACTGTGAAACTGAACAGTGATTTCTAGCAACAGCTCTTAAGTAGTTGTAATAGAGGGTGTTCTGCACAATTCCCAAAGCATAACATGACATATTTGGCATTCTGTCTGTTGCATAGATGAAACGAGCTCACAGTTCTCTAACTCCAAATTCAGCTCCAATTGCCACATCCTCCGTGGAACCTTCACTGAACTTCACAGACCAATGTAGTCTCTCCACCCTCTGTGCTCCTGTAGAACTTAGTTTAAACCGTTAAATCAGTAAAGAGCTGGGTTAAAAAAAAAAAAAGCAAAAAATATTAATATGAATGAGGACAGGACAATAATGTCCAATAGATTTTAGTCATTTCTGGATTAGTGTCCTGAGTTCATCCCTGGATTTCATCTTTAGAACAGAATAATGCAACAACATGCAGATTTCCATGAGAAAGAAATAGGAAGAGGAAGACAGAAATGGCCAACTGTTGATTTAACATCCTTTCCAGGAAACCTGCAGCTTGTATCTTGTTCAGGATATAAACAAATCTAAATACTAAAGGATTGTGGTGGTATTTGGGATATGCGTGACTGCTAAGGAGGCTTAGATACAGCATTTGTTTTTAAGAAGATGGCAAATTTGTGAAGAAGTAGTCAGAGTTTCAGCTGCAATGCCTATTGCTTCATTTAGCAGAATATGGAAGATCAACAGACATGCAGACCCTGGAGTCACTTCTTGTCTCAGGAAATGCTCTTTTCCTTAACCCTATGCACTGCTACATCCTATGCTGTTTTCACCTTCCGTATTTGAGAGTGGTACAAATAAGTGTAAAGTTTTATATGTACACATATACATATTTATATAATTAGCTAAAATATATAACAGTGGGCAAAAATTATTGTAAAGGTAATATTGGAAAATAGAAGGCTATCCAAATAAAGAGTTATCCTCAAATCTCAAAACATAAACTAAGCATTAGACTGGGTGTAAGAAGGGCTGAAAGTTGAAGTAAATAGTCTTGTGCATTTCAGTGGATTCTTTCTAATGGGGATAATAAAACCAAATATCCAAGTGTACTTTAGAAAAAGCAGTGATTTTTTGAGAAACCTTTTTAAATTATTGTACACTTATTACCCCAATTTTTTTAATAAGGTGCCATCTCTATTTGCAAAGGGAGGAACAAAAATATATATCATCTGCTGGCAGTGGACTCAAATAAGAGAATTTCAATTGTTCCAAATTTTAATGGCTTATTTACATAATTCAGTCCTATTTAAAAATCTCTGACTGGTAACAAAGACAACTGAGTTTGGACCCAGGTATTTGCACTAAAGCATTGACACTTTAGATGTTTACTTTCTAATCTCTCTTAACCATAAATTTTTCCTTCTGTATTTGGGGATAATATATTACAGAATTTGGGAAGTAACTTTTAACAATATATGAAAAGCACTTGGTTAAGTGCCAGGTAGCTTGGAGGCCTCAACAAATTTTAGTAATAGCTATGGAGGCTATCTTAATTTTCAGTGGAAAACAATCACATCTTTTAGTCACATCTGATTCAACAAAACGATTTGGAGAAACGGTACTTAAGGGACTCACTGTTAGATAAGATCTGAATTCAATGGTTCTCTAAGCTGCAGCTTTGAGGGAGACATGCCCTGAGGTTGTCTCAATGGAATAGTTACAGCTATTACAGTAATCCTAATAAATAATAAAGTGTGACTGATACAAAAGTAATTTATATTCATGGATTAGCTGGGCACATAGGTTTAATAATATTGACATTACAGTAATATGCTTAATAGCACATTGTCATAGTATCATCTGTTAAGTGTTTCTTACCAATGCATTTCATATCCCTGCCTAATAATAATTTGTTAAAGGCAATGTAGCTGCACATATTAATTCTTTCGTAAATGTGAACATCACATTCTTGAATGGCACATAACTTAATTCATGATAACTTGGGTTGCGATTACATGAATAAAAACTCAGCCTCATCTGAATTGGAAGATTGCACATTTGTAGCCTTATTATAGTTAGGAAATTGAAATGTGAAAGGAGTGACAACTGCTAAGATCTGCAATAGAAAACATTTGACTACATGCAGTGTAACTGCTCTATGTCACCTTGCCACTCACGCCTTGCCATTTTAACCTCTGACTCTGAAATGTATAGCAAGATGGCTGAGAATGAAATGAAGCTATGATCTCTCCCCTCAGCTACTCAGATTATATATACATGTTCATTTCACCTTGCCTAGTTCAAAATAAAACTGATGGAGCACAACTAGTTATATTTTCATCTGTCTTACTTATAAGAGAATATTATGTTTCATTCACTTATTCAATAAGCATTTATTGATCACCTGCTACTCACCTGGCAATGGGTCAGACACTATAGATCCAAGATGAAAGACAGATTTCCTGTCTACAAAGCATCATAATCAAGAATAGAGATTATATAACAAATTAGAGATGGAAGAGATAGATCATGGGCCAACTGCAGCAATAGTTGTCAAAACTTCTAGCTCCAAAATGCACCTACTTATGATTTTTAAAAACTCATCAAGCAAATTGTTTGCCTTCTAAATAATGTTATTCTTATGAAAGGTAATGAAATGCAAGATTACATAAAGATCCTTTAAATGATTGATGTTAAATGTGGTAGGCAGGTCTGATTTTTATGTCTCCTTATTACTCATCATAGAAATCTTGCTAAAATCCATGAGATATCTGTTTTCCTGCCACGAGTATTCTCATTTTAAATATTTTATTTCTTGTATGATCTTTGGTTTTACATACTTTATACAAGGTATCTCCTGTGATAAAACTGATAATCTTGAGACTTAAACAATTTGATGCATTTAGACTTCAATTGAGATGTTCTCATTTTATTGAAAAGCATCAACAGAAAGGTAACAGATTGTTTCTTCTTTTGTTTCTACATACAGATTATGTCTGTATTGCTTTCCAGGTAGTGTGAATAATGAATTATGCAGATCCTATTATTTGTCCCATATTTTTCTCCTCTCCTCTCAGACAGCTATTGTTCTTATTTTTCAATCTCTATTATTTGCAAAAAAAAAAAAAAAAAAAAAAGCTGGTTCTAAACTTCATGTTGATATTCAAGCGACCAAACATAGCCACAATAACCTTGAAATAAAAAGTAAACAGCAGGGATACTCAGAATTCACAATTTTCAAATTTACTACAAAGCTACAGGAATCAAGACAGTGTGGTACCCGCATGAGGACAAACATATAAATCAATGGAATGGACAGTTCAGATATAAACCCTGCATTTACTATTAATTGATTTTTTTTAACTAGGATTCTAAGACAAATGGATAATAATAGTCTTAACAAAAGATGATAGGACAATTGAATACCACATGTAAAAGAGTAATATTGGACCCTCTACTTCACATGGTACACAAAAATTAACTTAGAATGGATCAACGACCTAAAACTGTAAAACTCTTAGAAGAAACATTAAAGTAAATCTTCATGACCTTGGATTAGGCAATAATTCCTTAGATAGGTTCCCAAATACACAAGCAACTAAAGAAAACACGTATAAACCGAACACCTTCAAAATTGAAAACTTCTTTGTGTCAAAGGACTTTATCATAAAAGAGATGATCTACAGAATGTGAGAATATTTGCAAATCATGTATCTGATGAGAGTCTTGTCTCTAGAATATAAAAGGAACTTTTACAATTTAATAACGAAAAGATAACCCAATGTTTAAAATGGACCAAGGATCTGAGTAGAAACATTTTTCCAATGAAAATATACAAATGGCCAATAAACACAAGAAAAGATGTATATTATTAGCCATCATAGAAACACAAGTAAAAACCACAATGAGACATCACTTGATTCCCAATAGGATGGCTATAATAAAAAAGACATAATAATAGATATTGGTGAGGATGTGGAGAAACTGGACTCTCATATACGCTGGTGATAATATAAAATGGTGCAGCCGTTTTAAAAAACAAAACAGCAGTTCCTCAAAAGATTGAACATAGTTACCATATGATCTATCAATTTCACTCCATGTATGCACTCAAGACAAATGAAAACATGTATCTACACAAAAGCTTGTATCTGAATGTTCATAGTAACATTTATATTTGCCAAATATCGGAAACAATCCAAATGTGCATTAACTGATTGATTACTTATTTCACTCAGTATAATGTTTTCAATGTTCATCTATGTTATAGCATATATTAATACCTTATTTCTTGTGATAGATGAACAATATTACAATAAATGAAGTTCTAGAGAGAGCAGCCAGTCAGATAAGAGGCTGACACAAAGAGAGTAGAGCACTGGTAGTTCTCTCTCTTTTAATGTTTCAAAAGCATTTTGAAGATAAATAAATTATCAACTCCATTAAATGACACTGAGAGGTTGAATGAAATTAGGATTGAAAACCCCCCCAGAATATGTTGATAAATTTATCTTAACAGAGTTCTTTGAGTGAAATGGTTGGACTAAGTTCAGGAGAGAAAAGGAGAGGGCAGAGAAAACTAAGAAAACAAACATTGCCCAATCCTGTAAGGACTTTTATCACACAGAGAAGCAGAGAAATGCTGCAGAAACTGGAGAAAATTATGTGGTTAAGGCTGTGTTTTTGTAATTTTTAAAAGATCAGATATATTATGGTGTATAGAACACTAATGGAACAATCTAGTAAAGCTGGAGAAGTTGATGGTATAAATAACCTAAGGCAACCAGATTCCATATCTCACTTCTAATCCTTTCAAGCCAACCACTCCTTCCAAGATATTATTACAAAGGCAACACTCATATAGAAACAAATCTGCAAGAGAGAGGCAGATAATTTCATCTATCAGTTAATGGGAAAATGTGGAAGTTCTCTCCTGGTTGCTTCTGTTTTTATCAATGGAATATGAAACATGCTTCTGAGCTGAGAGTGTGGAGGAGGATGGAATAATAAAATTTTTAGGTATACAATAGTCACCTGGACAGTGAGGGAGTGAAGTGAATAGAAAAATAACTAAGAAAACATGATGACATTGGCAGGCACTATCAAGGGCCCATTTGCAGTTTGTGGTCACAAATTCAATTTGAGGCCAGACATTATAGATGTTTGACTGTGATTGCCACATTCCACCCCTTGAATGTAAGCACATAGCAGGAGGGGAATTGGAGTTGAACAAGTTGGTTTTTTACCAGGTGTATTATACCGAGGGGGAAAGAAAAGAAAGTAGAGATTCATGCAAGGGAATGTAATAATAATGGATAAGGAGGGACCACACAATCTGAGCATAGTTGGGAGAAATATGTGGATAAAAATGAAGTGATAAGACACTGCAAAGGCAGTAGGGCCAATGGATTGGAGGTTCTGGTTTGGTAAAGAATTAAGGAAATAAGACAATGTGAAAGGGAATTATAGTAGATAACAGTCAGAGAGTATAATAATTTAAACTGAGCAGCTGGAAATCCTGCAATTAGTGGTGATGACTTGGATGAGGGTGAGACCTTGGGAGTGGGTGGCTGAGGTTAATGGAGAACAAGATCAGTGAAGGTGAGGAAGCCAATAGCTGAGAGGGTAGAACTTGTTTAAAATGGATTGTCCATGGAGATATTGAAATCACAAAGACAGGAGAATAATGACTGCAAAATGGCCAGTGGAAGGAAAGCCAGCCACTACTAGAGAAAACTAAAAGGGAGCATTTTTGTTAGAACCAGCAGATTGTGATTAGGGCAAGATAGTAAAGGGATTATTCAGAGAAGAGGCTGAAAATATAAGAGATTTTTATAAATATCTATGTCAGAACATATGTCTATAATAGGGAAATGTTTGGGATCTTAGGGAAGGTAGAAGATGTGGTCAGAATGGCATATACAGAGCTATTTAAAAAGTACAGTGTACATGGCTAGCTCAAGTTTACAAACTGTGTTTACGATCATACAGTAGTTTGAAAACCTTAAGACAACATAAATACATGAACTCTCATTTTCCATCAAAAGGAAAGATTCGAAAAGTTTAGCCACTTCATCTAATTTTGTGTTTGTGCAGGGAGATAAGTCAGAACACCTAACCATATTGTGCTGGGAGATGCTGTATTGATTAGAATTCTTTTCATTTCCTTTGAGTATAGCCAAAAGCTTTTTTCCTCACACAGAATACATAAGGACTGAGTATCTGTTTGCCAACGGACCACTGGATGGGATGAAGACAGCTCATTCTTTATTCCACTTCGATCTCTGGCCTGTCTGATGGTACTGTCAACAAGGGGGTGACACAATGCCAAGTATCGTTGTGATTTTTATGACCTGGACATCTGTCTAGTATGTACTAGACTAGGACCACAAGTTCTGTCACAGAGGCCATGGAAAAACTGCCAGATGGTAATGAATTTTAGCCACTGCTGACTTCAGCTGGATACAAACAAATGACCTAAGGGGACCAGATTCCATATCTCACTTCTAATCCTTTCAAGCTAACCACTCCTTCCAAGATATGATTACAAATGCAACGATCATGTAGAAACAAACATGAAACCATGGAGCAGCATTAAGGTGCATAATTTGGACAATACAGCAAATATAAAACATGTTTAGGCAGATATTGAACCAAAAAAAATCATGTTTTTTGTAAACCTTTATATTCCCTTACCTCATCTCAAAAAGCCAGAAACAGAAATAATGAAAATTTGCCATGTTCGTTTTTCTTTTTGTTAACCCCAAAATAGAAAAGGTTATTGCAACGATTACCTCACTCACAACATTCACAGAATAATATATCTGAAAGATGACACATTTTAAAACCAGGCTTATAGCCAAAGGACAGGTTATTTTGTTCTGACAAATGTAATTTTCTAATAAATAAAATGTTTTGTTTCGTTTTTCTTTTCATTTTTGTTATGGTTTCAAGTCTTACCAACTTATCTAAATGTTTAGGTATTTAATTCAACAATATAGTAAGTGGAAATGACTATTTAATTTTCTGCAGGGCCTACTAGTGAATCTTAGTTTGGATGGCAGGAGACAGTAGACTGGATTTATACTTACCATGAGCTTGTTATGTTCACAAATATGAGATCTAACTAATATGAGATTGAATTCCTGTATTTTTTCTCTCTCTCCCAGAAATGAGTAGAGAAAGAATCCAACCTCATTTATGGTCATAAATAGTTGGTGTTCAAACGAAGTAGCTCCAACTAATTAGTGAATTGAGAGCTAAAAATAGTAACTTTATATCCCTAAGTTCACTTTCTAGACATAAATTCACATGGTAAATTAGGTGGGATCTTAGTAGGAACTGTGCAGAAAGAATACGGTAGAAAAAGTAAGAAAGATCCAATTTTCAGTCATTTTTATTTTAACATACTCTCCAAATATGAGGACTTTAGGTCCTTTCTTCCATACACCAAGTTGGGCTATAAAGGAAACTTTCTTCAGACAGATTCTTAAGGGCCTGTGGCAGGTGATTCTTTCTTATTGTTCAGCTATCAGAAGTTTTGATGGGGAAGGCATTGAATCTATAAATTACCTTGGGCAGTGTGGCCATTTTCACGATATTGATTCTTCCTACCCATGAGCATGGAATGTTCTTCCCTTTGTTTGTATCCTCTTTTATTTCATTGGGCAGTGGTTTGTAGTTCTCCTTGAAGAGGTCCTTCATGTCCCTCGTAAGTTGGATTCCTAGGTATTTTATTCTCTTTGAAGCAACTGTGAATGGGAGTTCACTCATGATTTGGCTCTCTGTTTGTTTGTTATTGGTGTATAAGAATGCTTGTGATTTTTGCACACTGATTTTGTATCCTGAGACTTTGCTGAAGTTGCCTATCAGCTTAAGGAGATTTTGGACTG
The DNA here is from genome assembly GCF_000001405.40 of Homo sapiens. NCBI lineage: Eukaryota > Metazoa > Chordata > Mammalia > Primates > Hominidae > Homo > Homo sapiens. The sequence continues at coordinate 23,448,521 of NC_000012.12, forward strand.
AGATGATGGGGTTTTCTAGATATACAATCATGTCATCTGCAAACAGGGACAATTTGACTTCCTCTTTTCCTAATTCAATGCCATCCCCATCAAGCTACCAATGACTTTCTTCACAGAATTGGAAAAAACTACTTTAAAGTTCGTATGGAACCAAAAAAGAGCCTGCATCAGCATGTCAATCCTAAGCCAAAAGAACAAAGCTGGAGGCATCATGCTACCTGACTTCAAACTATACTACAAGGCCACAGTAACCAAAACAGCATGGTACTGCTACCAAAACAGAGATATAGACCAATGGAACAGAACAGAGCTCTCAGAAATAATGCCACATATCTACAGCTATCTGAACTTTGACAAACCTGAGAAAAGCAAGAAATGGGGAAAGGATTCCCTATTTAATAAATGGTGCTGGGAAAACTGGCTAGCCCTATGTAGAAAGCTGAAACTGGATCCCTTCCTTACACCTTAGACAAAAATTAATTCAAGATGGATTAAAGACTTACATGTTAGACCTAAAACCATAAAAACCCTAGAAGAAAACCTAGGCAATACCATTCAGGACATAGGCATGGGCAAGGACTTCATGTCTAAAACACCAAAAGCAATGGCAACAAAAGCCAAAATTGACAAATGGGATCTAATTAAACTAAAGAGCTTCTGGCACAGCAAAAAAAAAAGATATCATCAGCGTGAACAGGCAACCTACAGAATGGGAGAAAATTTTTGCAAGCTACTCATCTGACAAAGGGCTAATATCCAGAATCTACAATGAACTCAAACAAATTGACAAGAAAAAAACAACCCCATCAAAAAGTGGGCGAAGGATATGAACAGACAATTCTCAAAAGAAGACATTTATGCAGCCAATAGACACATGAAAAAATGCTCATCATCACTGGCCATCAGAGAAATGCAAATCAAAACCACAATGAGATACCATCTCACACCAATTAGAATGGTGATCATTAAAAAGTCAGGAAACAACAGGTGCTGGAGAGGATATGGAGAAATAGGAACATTTTACACTGTTAGTGGGACTGTAAACTAGTTCAACCATTGTGGAAGTCAGTGTGGCGATTCCTCAGGGATCTAGAACTAGAAATACCATTTGACCCAGCAATCCCATTACTGGGTATATACCCAAAGGATTATAAAACATGCTGCTATAAAGACACATGCACACGTATATTTATTGCAGCACTATTCACAATAGCAAAGACTTGGAACCAACCCAAATGTCCAACAATGATAGACTGGATTAAGAAAATGTGGCACATATACACCATGGAATACTATGCAGCCATAAGAAAGGATGAGTTCATGTCCTTTGTAGGCACATGGATGAAGCTGGAAACCATCATTCTCAGCCAACTATTGCAGGGACAAAAACCCAAACACCCCATGTTCTCACTCATAGGTGGGAATTGAACAATGAGAACACATGGACACAGGAAGGGGAACATCACACATTGGGGCCTGTTGTGGGGTGGGGGGAGGGGGGAGGGATAGCATTAGGAGATATACCTAATGTTAAATGACGAGTTAATGGGTGCAGCACACCAACATAACACATGTATACATATGTAACAAACCTGCATGTTGTGCACATGTACCCTAAAACTTAAAGTATAATAAAAAAAAAGTTTTGTTACAAGTTCAGTAAGAAATGTTGGTTTAGAGGCTCCATATTTTAAGAGTAATGTAGAGAAGTGAAATAAAATGATATTAAATTTAACATAAATGCAGTCTGTGAAGAAATAGCCAAGAGGAAAATAGTTGCACAGTTACCTGGATGTGTAGATTTCCTTTCCCAAAATTCTTCTACGCGTTTGTTTTGTTTTCTTTGAGTACTTGTCATATTAAACTTTCCACATTTGATTGGTTTTTATCATATTTCATCACATCAATGACTCAAGTGATTGTACAATATACCCTATGTTATGTACTTCTAAGGAAGAAAAGAGATTTTGCCACTTAAACTATGCCAACATCAGTTATAAGACTCATTTTGATTATACAGATGTTAGAATATGTGGGGCAAGGAGAAGTGCGTTCTTAGAATCAAGGACATACCAGCTCTTATAGTAAGATGCCCCATCTTATCTTTCCTAGTGAGTCACAAATACCTTGAAGGTGGGAGCTGTGGTCTCATCTATCTCGCTGGTATTTTCCATAGAGCCTTTTATGCAACATGTGCTCCATAAATATGTGTTAAATAAATGAATCCCTAAGAGAAGTAACTCCAGGAGCAATAAAGTTACAACCAGAAAGTTGTTGCTATTGTCTTTTAACTAACCAGTAAAGAAAGTTATGAAATCAACCAGTCTATAAAATATCATTACATGTTAATTGGAAATTGCTTAACTACCTAGAAGTAGGAATATTCCTAGGGGAAGCCAAAAAATAAAAATAAAAATGATAGTCCCTACAATTTAAAGAGCTAATAATCTAGGAGGACAAATAAGGAATATATAAAAGGAAACTTAAAAAAAACACCAATTATTACGCAAGATAATATAAAGAGGAGTGGCATGGACCCAAGTAATATAGACAGTGGTTATCACAATTATTGATGATCCCTTAGGACTTTCTTTTTGGTAGGTATATCTATTGATATTTGCCATATTCAGTTCAAATAAAAATTTTAAAGAATTAATTCACTCAAAATAATTAAAAATCAATACAGGCTAATAGTAATGTTTTATTTTGAGGACAAAAAGCTATATTTGTCAAAACCAAAAGTAAGAGTCACATAGACATTATTTCAAATCTCTTTAATGTCCAACTTAACAGAAGTAAGCTGAATTCTCACATTTGCTTCTGCATTGATTCTGTTGCAATACTGTATGTCATGTAGCCTCTGGAAATCTCCACACTATTTTCATGAAAGAATGAGAGAGAAAAAGGCAAACAAGGTTTTGTTATGATTATAAAAATGGTTTTGATGTTGCTGATCTCCTGAGAGGATGTGGTGGCTCTAGGGTGACAGTTTCACACCTTGGGAATCCCTGATATAGAAAGTCAGGACAGACATAGGGAGTCAGAGACAGCAGAGAGAGTGATGAGTCTGGAAGAGTAGGAGAAACTTTCATGGGACGTTTTCTGAAGTGTCTACGCTGGAAAGAATTCAAGTCTAAAGACGTAGAATTGAGACTTGATGAGTCATTTAAACATTTCGGCATTTCAATTTCATTGTCCACACTTACCAAGGTTGCTGTAAGAATGTAATGAGCTAATATATATAAAAAGGCTTTGTGAAATATAAAGCTTTTTATACCTGCCATTACTTTTGTTTAGTAGGATGGTGAATTAGGATTCAAAGGATGAATAATCAGCATATGGGTGTCTAGATCAGGGAGAATAGAATGTTCTATTTCAGTGTATGTCCAATGATCCGCTTTAGTCCTTATTGTAGTTGCCTTACCCAAATATTTGACCCTGTTGATCAGTCTTTCCCCCTCTAAATGCTGCCTTTATTGGGCTATCAGTCAGAACACTGCTCTCCTATTTTTCTACCTGGGGACTCTATTTCAGCTGTCTCTGCTGGCTCTTGCTCTTCTCCTGGAGCAATTACTGTTGCGAATCCCCAGGCCACTGGCCTTGCCCTTCTCCAATCCATCTGCCCTCTCTCCGTAAGCAATTTTGCCCCATCTCGTGGATCTCATGGCCTGAAATAGCATCTCTGTGCTGATGAAACCCAAATTTGCATCCCTAAACATGAATAACTAGCTGCCTATTTTACATACCTACCTGGATGTCCAATAACAATCTTAACATGTCTAAAAGCAACCTCTACCTCCACCTTACTGAATCCATCTCTTATTCCTAGCTCCCTTCCTGTTTCATTATACAGGATTCCTTGGCCTTCCAACACACCTCACAGCCTCTTGCTCAACACCCTTCCATAGCTCTTCTCTCCTACAGTGATCTTCCTGCAAATATGCCCCGGCCCCTTCCCTATTGAATCTTTGCTCTGATGTCACTTTTGCAGTCAGACCTATTTAGAAGCTGCATGCTTATTAAATTTTTCAACTCTATGGTCCTCAACCTTTCCTGGCATTCTCTATCCTACTTCGTATCTACCTTAGCATACTATAGGATGTAGTACATGCTAAAATATTGTATAACTATTTATTTTGGATTTGTTTTTCTCTTGAGTTCCAATTTTATTCATTTTCTTTCTACATAAGCTCCATAAGGATATAGATTTTTGGTTTATTCACTGATATACGTACTTCACAATAATGAAAGGTAAACCTTGAAATAGGCTTTCCAGGGATGCTGTGAAAGTCTTGTTCCATGGAGACTGCTAAAAATAGAGACAGCCATTTGTAAGCCATTGTTTAGAGTAATCTATCTGGAGGCTGAATAAAACGATTCCTTGGTGCTTTGCAGTTCCATGTCTTGTGATATATGAATACGAATTTCAACTTGAAAAACAAGTCCCTCATTAGTCCGATATGGGCCCAGTCTGTTACCTAATACATATAATTTAGTTTAGATAAGCCTGTTTTTGACAGACTCCAAACAAGAGAAAGAGAATGAATGGGAATATGAATTGAGGAGGATTTGAATTATCTTCTATGAGTTGCTTTTTAAGTCATATTTTTGTTTTGCCACATTGCCAAAAATAAGGCTGGCAACTGGGCTTTCCGTTTTTTTCAAATGTCTCTATGGTTTTCTGTGCCGTTACAAAGCATTTCCCAATCTTCAACAAAGATACATTTTTCAATAAGGGAAAAACCTGTAGAATCAAGTTTGAAGGTTAAAAACTCAGTAATGAATGTTCTTGCTCTTGTGAGTTATCTCAGATCCTTAGCATTATTTTAATGTCATTTTTAATGTGAATTTCCATGCTATTTTAATTCATTAGTCGTGGGCTATCATTTTTTGAAGTAATTACTGTAATTTCATCAAATGACATAATTATAGTAAATACTTTGATGTAATTACCATAAATATGGAAAGAGACACCCGAAGGTGTAATAATGTCACAAACTAAGATATTTATGATGTGTAAAGACAAATTATGATGACATTTATGACATGTAATAACATCACTGAGTTCTATGTTTATGTTGTATAAAGAATAATGATATAAATAGAGTGTAAAATTACATCATGTAGATTAATTTCTTTTATAACTAGTATAGAAACTTGAGAACACCACAAGGCCTCAGGTTCAGATAAATAGATCATTGCCACTTTTTAGCACTTTTCTCTTTGAACCCTAATAAATGACTATGCTATTTTATTGGGGTAAAAGCATTTTCCTTTCTAAAAGCTTAGACATAGACACAAAGCAGAAACACAAAATGAGAACACATATTTAGTGCTTGAAAAAAATGTTCATTTGAAGATTTGAAAATAACTAAGTGTTTGGGAAATAAGCCAATGTTTGGTCCATATTGTCAGTTCAGACTATCAGGTCACTTTAGCATTTTCTTAAAAATGAATCAGCAGCAGGGCGCGGTGGCTCACACCTGTAATCCCAGCACTTTGGGAGGCCGAGGTGGGCGGATCACAAGGTCAGGAGATCGAGACCATCCTGGCTAGCACGGTGAAACCCCGTCTCTACTAAAAATACAAAAATTAGCCGGGCGTAGTGGCGGGAGCCTGAAGTCCCAGCTACTGGAGAGGCTGAGGCAGGAGAATGTCGTGAACCCAGGAGGCGGAGCTTGCAGTGAGCGGAAATCGCGCCACTGCACTCCAGCCAGGGCGACAGAGCGAGACTCCGTCTCAAAGAAAAAAAAAAAAAAAAAGGAATCAGCTTGGCCATTTGGTACTTACCAAAGCAGACACCTATTTAATTGAAATACTTCTTCTCTCATCAGATTGTTAAGTTTTTAGTTCATGAAGAAATAAGTTTGCACGTCTTCATTCTGCCTATTTGAATAATGTGAAATAGGTTTTAAGAAAAAAATGAAGTAGAAGATATCAAGCCTGAAACAAAGCTTAATTTTGTGAACAATTTAGTTCTGGTTAGACTGAGGCAGACAAGTACTGTAAAAATAATTTCTACTGCAAAGTTGTAGCTCAGGCTGAGAGGTATTATGGGCATCAATCAGTTTATTTATGGTACTATTACTGATGAGTCTCTCCTTGTATACAAGGGAAATTCAACGACAGAAAATGATAGCCTTTTCCTAATGTATTAGTGAAAGGAATTTTTTTTTTGAGCATTCACTTAATCTGATTGTACCTTGAGCCTAGAATTTCGTAGTTTGAATTAGTCATTCTTTCTTAGTCTCCCGTGCATTTTGAAAGATGCTTCCCATTCCACAGCCTTCATATCCTCCTGTCCTTGATAATGTTTTAGGGCGTGGTGATTTTCCCTCCGTGGATACTGAATTCCGGATGAATGCAGCTATGATGTTGTTAAGTGTTTTGCCACTTTTTGCCATGAACTGCCCAGGCTCCTATCACTATATAGCAAGTGGATTAAGTGGATTAAGCTTGTGTTTTGTTTGCAAAACCAATAAGACCCAAGAGTCAACCACGGATTCCTATTTCTTGGAAGGTTTTTTGAGTGCAGTAGGCACTTCTGATGCAACTTCTGAAATTGTAACTTAATTGTAAACAACAGAATCAACTCCAGCTAGTTAAAGCTGTAAACAAATTACTCTGAAGTTTACATAATCACCACAAGGGCCAGCAAATTAGGCTCAGAAACTACACTATCTGGAAAAAAATTCCAAATTATGCCACAAGACTGCTTGTAGGCACATCACTTTCACAGGGAAAGCTTAGCCCTTCCCTGGGAATATGATCACACAGCCTTGAAAAGTTACTGCTAGGATCTCTGTCCCTGCTATATCTGAGAGCTCAATGTCCCTGTCCCATGTTCTTCTACACATGTCATCAACAGGATGGTTGCTGAACTTGCCTCATTCCTCACATTGCTCTTTGCTGCAGCGAAGTCATTGCCTTTGTTTCATCTGCTTGTTGAAATCTGGGTCATGTGACTATGCCTCGCCTACATAGGAGGTAGAAAGATGAGGTCTTGGCCTCAAAATTGAAGAAGAAATGACAATGTGGAAAATTATCTTAGAATATTATTTTCAAAAATGTGGGGACTGACAGAAACTTTATACAGATGCTTCTCAGTTTACCATTTTGTTATGTCCTGATAAGCCCACTTTAAGTAAAAAATAAAAATATCGCTAGTTGAAATGCATGTAATATCCCAGTAAAACCTAAAGTTAAAAAATCATTCAGTCAAACCATTGTAAGTCAAGATGCTCTTTGACTAATGATAGAATTATCCTCAAAACATAACCTTTCATAAAGTTGAACTTTTGTTTAAAGTTAAACATAAACAGTCTGGGTGCAGTGGCTCACGCCTGTAATCCCAGCACTTTGGGAGGCCGACGCGGGTGGATCACCTGAGGTGAGGAGTTCAAGACCAGCCTGGCCGACATGGTGAAACCCCATCTCTACTAAAAATACAAAAATTTAGCTGGGCATGCTGGTGCGTGCCTGTAATCCCAGCTACTGGAAAGGCTGAGGCAGGAGAATCACTTGAACCAGGAGGCAGAGTTTGCAGTAAGCCAAGATCGTGCCACTGCACTCCAGTCTGGGTGACAAAGTGACACTCTGTTTCAAAAAAATAAAATAAAATAAAATAAAATAAATAAAAAGTTAAACATAAACATAAACTTCCATAAAGGTGAAAAATCAAGTTACACCATTGGTAAGTTGGGGGCCATCTATACACATTCCCTACATCTAGGTAATGTTCTATGGGACTTCAAGTTTAGAAAACATGGTAATATCTTAAAATGTTCCCCAACAATGCCACTCCAGGTTTACCTTTTTGTTAAATTACAAAGACATTTTCTTGCTTTTGAGTTTCTCTCACTGTCTCAGTTACTCTGCCTCTTAGAATGAGGCTGTGGTCTGAAGAGGAGAACACAAATTAACCCTTTTCTGAATGGTTACAAGAATGGGAAAGCATTGTTCTGAAAACTAAACGTCATTGTAATTTATTAAATTTCATCTGTTTTAATTTAGAATGCTTTTGATTTCTACTAATTTATTGGGGTCACTACCATATATCTGCCACCACATTGACCTATAGATAACATGAGTTCAGTTACAGTTTCTCACAATGATTTGGACAGGCAGGAGAGTCAGTACCAGCCAGTCACTGGGGTAGCCGTGAATGTTAGATTAACCTTCTTTTAAGCCAATGGTTTTCATTTTGGAGAAGAGAGTCACAGTGATTTAGGATCATGCTGTAAGTAAGTAAGTGTCCACACTCAGCTGATCCTGTTTTTGGACCAAGTTGCCCTCTACTTTAGCTCAAAGTTAAGTAGTTTTCCCAATAGAGAAGTTCACCTTACAATCCTGCAGGATGAGGATGCAGATAGTTTGAAACACAAACAAAATAGAAAGAAAAAGTATTACATACAAAATTTATGAGATTTTCCAGATATTTGAGAATGGGGTAAATTATTAAATACTGTCAGAAATTTAGTCTACTGTGTTGAAAAACACAAGGCCTACTTTGGGGAAGTCCAGCTAAGCAGCTGAGGAATAAAAGTCAGAATAATCATTTTTATCAGAGTACTGAGAAGCAAATGGCTGAATGTTTCAGAATGTATGTATTTAGCAGAGATGACACAAAGTTAAAATTTGCATGTAAAACTGGAGAGTACGATAAATATTTTTTGTGATTGTTAGTTTCCTATAGTGAATTATTTTCTTAAGTCTACTATCAGCGTTTCCAGTACAGATGTGGAAAATGCTGCACTTTAACTCCATTTTGCCCTGTTTCCCGTTTAAGCCACATTGCATCAGTAGTTTCTCAATCACTAGAATTACTTCCTATCTAAGGCCTAAATGGTGTAATTGTAACCAGCTCTTTTATTTTCCACTTTATTCCATTTTATTGTTTGTTTGTTTGTTTTGAGATGGTCTGTCGCCCAGGCTGGAGTGCACACCATCTCAGCTCACTGCAACCTCCGCCTCCCAGGTTCAAGCAATTCTCTTTGCCTCAGCCTCCTGAGTAGCTGGGATTACAGGCACACGCCACCATGCCCAGCTAATTTTTTTGTATTTTTAGTAGACACGGGGTTTCATCATGTTGGTCAGGCTGGTTTTGAACCCCTGATCTCGTGATCCGCCTCCCTCAGCCTCCCAAAGTGCTGGGATTACAGGCGAGAGCCACCGTGCCCAGTCTATTCCATTTTAAATTAGTTTTATGGCACCGAACTGTTTTGGAGGTTTGATTGAAGGCTCCACTTTCTCCACACCATCTTCAATGAGAAGATACCTCAATTAGAAGACTTTCTGAAGAGGTTAGTTAGGATAATGGAGGCCACCATTTCTGAACATCAGCTATCAGGGGTGCTAAGGGAGAGACGTTCAGCGGCCCAGAATGGCTGGTGTATTTAAGACCTGTGAGTTCTTAATTTGCTTCCATTCCTGCCTTCCCGTGTGCTGCCCTGGACAGATAATCTAACCTCTCTTGCCTCTGTTTCTGTTTTTGTTCATCTAGTGAATTAAGAACAGTAGAACAGTAGGTTTGTCAAATTGCCATGGTATGACAGGAATATGTTTGAAATTAGTAGAAAGTGTTCTGCCCATCTCCTCAGCAAAATGAAACAAGTCCCCATTTTATTTTAATAGTGAACTCAGTTGCCTGATTTATGCTGTCACAAGTTTGCAAAGAGTGTAAATTGATTTTCAAACAAAACAGACTGAAAAGCCAAAGTACTTGCCAAACTTGACATTACTAACCTGTCTGAAAAAGCTCACCAAAATCCATGGAAGCTGATGGACTATAAATGTTTAAGTCAGATTCTTGGAGAGAGAAACTCTAACCAGAAACATCTCACAGAAGTAAGCTAATTGTAAGCCATACAAGCAAACCAAAAAATTCTCCATAGAAGTGCAATGCTCAGTTTTTCTCCAAATTGATTAATTCAGTACAACCAGACTAAAAAGACCTTATATGTATTTATTTTGAGAAAACTAACTTCTCACGGCAGATATACAGGGTTTACATGGACCAACTTTTTTAGGGGGGAGGTGGTACTTTTTAAAAATGTAGTTGACTTGGGGTAGACTTGGAAGTTTCAGAGTGTTGGAAAAAAACTCAGTAAGAACATGACTTGCCATTTCACTGTATGTAAACATGAAGGCTAAGAGCTTAATGCAAGCTTTTGACAACCCTGGGTTTGAAATTCAGTTCCGTGATTTAATATTCTGTGCTTTTTTCATCATCTGTGAAGTGGCAATGATAATAATTTTTACCTCATAGTGTTGTTGTGAGGGTTAAACAAGGTGAAGCCCACAAAGAGATCAACACAGTAAATGCTGAGTGAGTGGTTTTTATCAACATCTACGCAATCAAAATTTCTTTTTATACCTTCTTGAATAAGAAAGAAGGGAAATAGGCTCCAGAATTTTTGTAGGGCTTTTCTAGAGCAATCAACCATCCAGGTTTATTCAAGACTTGGCTTTTATTATCATTATTATTATTATTATTATTATTATTATTATTTTGAGAATGCAAACATTCAATGCTAAAACAAGGAGAGTCCTTGGCAAACTGGAATAGTTCGTTACCATAGCCTTTGCTAAGGAGAAACTAAGACCTAGTAGAGTCAGAATCAGGCCAAAAGGGAGCCTGGAATAGAATCAAAACTGACTGTATGCTTTTTACTTGTCCATATATCCCTTGGTGTCATAAACATGAATCCGTAAATGAGTCCAGTCTTCTCATTCATTTAATCATTCAACGAATGAGAAGTGAACCAGATGACCAGATGTTTCCACAAACTTTTATTGAGGATCTGCTATCCTCAATAAGTAAGTGTAGTTGGAATGATAAATATGTGACTTCATAAGTGAGATAAAGTGTGACAGCTGCTACAATAAAGGTAAGTGCAAGGCACAGCACATAAACAAATTTAGCTTTATTGCAGAGCTCATAGTGCTATTATTTGTTAACATGTGCCTCTCTCAGCATATCCTAAACTCCTTAACAACAGGACATGTGTATATCTTCTTCACCTATAAGTCTGTGGTATGTACAGCAGTGCCTGCCATATAATAGTTGCCCTGTAGGCATTCATCAAACAAAGTATTATAGGACATTAAAAGCATGCTCCTACAGCACATTATCACAACATCGTCAATAAGTATTTCTTACCAAGAGATATATTGAGTTTTATATGCCTAAAAGATGACCAGATCAAGATGTTTGTTTAGCAATATATACATACGCAAATGCATGCTTATATAATGTGTGTGTGTGTGTGTGTGTGTGTGTGTGTATCAGGGAAGAATCGGAACTAAAAATAACTACTTGGGGATTATCAATACAGAGGAAGTTGGTGAACACATTTTTAGACATCCTCAATGGAGAGATATAGATAGGATGATAAAGTGACTGAAATAAGATTTTTAAAAATAAGCTTTCATTGTTTGAATGTTTTTAGATTTACAAAAAATGTGTAAAGACAGAGCAGAGAGTTTCCATGTACCCTGCACCCAGTTTCCTCTATTATTAACATCTCGGATTAGTGTGGTACACTTATCACAATACCAATGTTGATACATTACATTATTATTAGCCAAAGCCCATACTTTATTCATATTTACTTCGTGTTTTCTTAACATCCTTTTCTGTTTTAGGATCTCATTCAGGATACCACATTACATTTAGGTGTTGTGTCTCTTCGGCTCCTCTTGGTTTTGACAGTTTCTCAGACTTTTTTTCTTTCTGATGACCGTGACAGTTTTGAGAAATACTTATCAGGTATTTTATAGAATATCCTGTACTGGGACTTGTCTGATATTTTTCTTATGATTCGACGGGGGTTATGGGTTTTCAGGAAGAAGAACACTGAGGTAAAGTGCCACTTTCATCACATCATATCAAGGGTGCATGCTCTCAACATGATTTATCACTGTGGATATTGACCCTGATCACCTGCCTGAGATAGTAGTGTTTGTCAGGTTTCTCTACTGTAAATAAGGTTTTATGTTTTTAATAATGAGTTTGTACTACACATATAATTTTCCTGAAAATTACTTAAATTTTTCAAGAAAACTAATTGAAATGAATCTGCAAGAGTTACTGAAAAAAGAATGGGTAAGGGTGTCAGGGCAAATCAATGCATTCTCCCAGATATTTGAATCTTCCACTAAGACAGAAAGTAGTCAAAGCTGGTTCAATATGAGTGTGGCACTCCTAAGAAACTATTCATTAATTCTGACTGTCTAGTTTCTCAAAGCTCTTTAAATTCCTGTCCTTCTGGTTCTTCTTCTTTATTTCCTTTGATTTTGTAACCGACTCTATTATCTTTCCATTTACCCATTCATTTTTTTTTTCCTTAATCTAGTTGGCCTCTGATGCTTACAGTGGAAATCATTAGCTAATACAGTATTTAAAAATAATAATGAAAAAGTTTATGTTTCAATATTATATTTCTTCCTTTCTCAGCTAATAAGAGCTATCTCTCACTTTCTCCACTGCAGTTTTGTTAGTTGAGCTATTGTTTTATATTTTCATGCAATCTAACTGTAATGCTTAGTTAATCTGGTTACAAGCAAACTTAGATCTTAATGGCTCAACAAAGTTTTCCCCTGACTCCTGCTTTATGTGCATCTCAGGTATACTGGATGCTCTGCTCCATGTTGCTTTACTCTAGATAGGATTTCCATATTCCCAACAGGCAGCAATCTTCAGCATTGGAGAAAGAGAAGTCTGAATTCCTGATAATTCTTGAGAATTTCCCAAATCATAGGTTAATCAGGATGCTTCATTGCACTCTACATACATATTATTTAAAATAAAAGAGTGACCATAGCAATAAAAAGTAAATCCTTTTTCTGTTATAGGGTTCTACTAAAAGTTTCAGAAGTTTTCCTTAAAGAGAGAAAGAAAAGATTCTTTTGATGGGTACAAGACTTCTTTTGACTGTGCTAATCATGCTTAAAAATTAGGTAGTAATGTTACTTACACAACCCTGTCATTATACTTAAAACCACTGAATTGTATGCTTTGAAACAGTGAATTGTATGGTATGTGAATTATATCTCATTAAAGGTGCTCTAAAAATAATAATAATAAAAGCATAGTTTATAATTATTATGAACCAATATATTATGAGTTTTATATATAATATAGTCTAATAAAAATTTACTATATCATATAAATATATATTATATAGTATATATTACTATTAACCAATATGTGATACTATACATTTGTATATAGTATATATTAGAATATATAACATAGTAAATGTAGAGCATACATATGTTTATTATATAATATATACTATATAATATATATTCTAATATGTACACTATATATAAATATATGGAATCTTATGATAATATATTGGTTAATATTAATAAACTAAACTGTTGTTATATATAACTATATTTATAAAAATATTTATTGTAAGTTGTATATATTATATGTAATTGTATATACATATATATACATACACACCCATATAAGAACACATGAAAATTATATTTACCTAATATTGATATTTGATAAAACAAAAAACTATCATTATCATTATCACTAAAAAACTATCATTATCATTATCACTAAAATTAATGTCAAATAAACATAATTTAAATAACTGATAGATAAGACTGTAAGTATTTAAATATTAAACTCCCCCGCCAAACTTACTATTTTTCGATGTTTAATTGAGGCTTGATATTTTTGGATGAGTATAAGTTTATTCATCTATATGTACTATTGAGAGAGTAAGTATGTATGAGTACTGACCCATGTCATTTGCTAAAGTACCTCTCAGACTTTCCCAGTATCTCCATTTTCCCTTGAGTCTCTCTAATTCCTTTATTTTCCTCAGTATTCTGAAATTCTGAGTACAATCCTCTCTAATATCAGTCAGTTAAGATGTTTCCTATTTTACTTGGTGTATATACTTATATTTAATATAATTTCCTACATCTCTTTTATATTATAGATTGAGTATCCCTAATCCAAAAATCTGAAAATCAAAATGTCCCAAAATCTGAAACTTTTTGAGAGCTAACATTAAAATATGCAAAGGAAATGTTCACTGGGGCATTTAAGATTTCGGATTTGGGATACTGCACCAGTAAGTATAATGCAAATGTTCTAGAACCTGAAAAAATCAAAATACTTCTGGTTCCAAGCATTTTAGGTAAGGGATACGCCACCTGTATTTCTTGTTCATTCATTCTTCTTTTTTGATTACTTGACAAAAAATGTGTATTCATTATTTGCATCTATTAACTTGTAAGTTATACATTCTAATTTGTAATTTAGACTACTTATTGTTAGCTATACGTTTCCTGATTATCATAGAGATTACAACACACATTTATGGTTTGAATGGAAATAATTAAAATTACTACTTTTACCACTTTACTAAACATGTAGAACCTTCTAACTTTTTTTGTCTGTTGATCCCCTCCTATTTTTTGTATTTTTATTCTCTTGCATTTTAGCAGTGCATACCTTTTTAAATACTATAAGATGTTATTACTGTTGTTTGGAACAGCCAATATCCATTTCTAATTATCCACATACTTATCTCATCTAGTTTTCATCCAATCCTTCCTGCATTTCAATGTATCTATCTGGGATCAATTTTATTGTTCCTGAAGGGTTCTAGTTTTTGTTTGTTTAATTTTGTTTTTAGTTTTTACATTTTAAGTCTGCTGTTGACCATTTTCTGTGTTTGTTTGAAAATATATTTATTTCATTTTCATTTTAAAAATAGTTATTAAACAGCCTTCACAGCTCTTAAAAATATCACCCTATTGTCCTCTGATTTTTATTATTTCTGCTGAAAAATCAGCTGTCAGTCTTATTGCTACTTTGAAGTTAATGTGATTTGTTTAGAGTTTCTCCTAATCTTTGCTTTACAGAAGTTTTACTCCATTGTGCATAGGGTTTTCTTTGTGTTTATTCTGAACTGGGGCTCTCTGCGATTCTGAAATCTGTCAGTTGATGTGTTCTTTATCCCCATAAATTATGTTTCTGCACCACTCTCCTTCTCCTGAATCTTCAATTATATATACATTAGAACTATTAAGGATGTCCAACATATCTCTTATGCTCATTTGTTTTTCTTTATTGAGATATAATCGATGTACCATTAACATTCACCCTTTAAAACATTATAAGTGAAATAAGCCTGTCATGAAAGGACAAATATTGTATGATTTCACTTATATGAGGACTTAGAGGGGTTGAATTCATAGAGACAGAAAGTAGAGTGGTAGCTGACCGAATTTGAGGAGAGCTGGAAATGGGGAGTTATTGCTTAATAGGTGCAGAGTTTCAGTTTTGCCAGATGAAAAATGTTTTGGAGATGAATGGTGATGATGGTTGTGTAACAATGTGAATGTACTTAACACCACTGAACTGCACAATTTAAAATGGCTAAAATGAGAGTGGGGCCAAGATGGCTAACTAGAAGGAGTGCCCTTTGGAGACTCCCAGCAAAAAAACAAAAAAAAACCAACAAAAAAAAACATAATAAGCATGTGAATCCTTCACCAGCAACCAAGGTATCCAGGTTCTGTCATCAGAATTGACTAGAAGGCTGGTGTGACCCATGGACACAAGGAAGAGCAGTGTGATGTGGCGGCCCACCTGAGAGTCACATGGGAAAGGGGAACCCCCTCCCCCCAGCCAAGGGAGGCGGTGAGTGAGCACACTACCCAGCCAGGGAAACTGTGTTTTTTCCATGGAACTATGCAAGCCATGGATCAGAAGATCCCAGTTGCGAACCCAAGCCACTGGGTACTAGCACCCCAAACTGGGAACCTGGAGATTCTTGTAGCCTCTCAGCTGGAATCTGCTTAAGCCCAGTGAACTCCTGGGGGGAGGGGTGACCAGCACTGCCTGGACTGCCTGCTGTCTAAGCTTTTGAACTCCTTGTGGGAGGGGCAGCAGTCAGCAATGGGACTGGCAACTGCCTAATACACTAAGCTCCCTAAATGGGGGGAAGGGCAGCACCAACTTCTATAGCTCCAGGCTGCAATTTTCCCCTGCTGGAGGCAGGGAGGCTGGATGGCTTTGTCCCAAGACTTGTCCCCACAGCCCAACACACCGGCTTTGGCCGTCTGCAGCCAGGGTGGCTCTTCAGGTCTAACTCTGACCCATCCTTCCTTATTGGGCGGGGCTTCCCTACAGGATCTCCAATAACTCCAGCCAGGACAGAATTCAGATCTCCCTGAGCCTGAGTCCCTAGTGGGAGGGGTAGCCACAGTCTCTGTGGACCAGCAGCCCTAGCCTCTCCTCCTGGTAGTTCTGAGGAATCTGGGCAGCCCAGATGAGTGGGTTTCCCCCCAGCAAAACACACCGTCTCCACCAAGGGACAAAGTACTTCATTAAATGGGTCCTGTTCCCTGTGCCACCCAACTGGGTGAGGCCCTGCAACAGGGGTTGTCAAACACCCTATATAGGAGTAATCCTACTGGCATCAGGTTGGTGCCCCTTGAGGTCAGAGGTCCCACAAGAAGAAGCAAGCATCCATCTTTGCTGGTCTCCAGCCTCCCTGAGTGACATCTCCAGGCACAGGAGCAAATCAGATGAATAGGGACTGAAGTGAACCCCCAGAAAACTACAGCAACCTTACAGAAGATGGACCTGACTATCGAAAGAAAAACAAGCAGAAAGTGACAACAACAGCATCAACAACAACAACAACAACAAAAAGGTCCCCACAAAAACCCCATCCAAGGGTCAGTAACCTCAAAGACAGAAACTAGACAAATTCACAAAGATGAGAAAGAATCAATGGAAAAATGGTGAAAACCCAGAAGGCCAGAGTGCTTCTTCTCCTCCAAATGATCACATCTCTCCATCAAGGGCAAAGAACCAGAGGATCAGATGGACAAATTGACAGAAGTAGGCTTCAGAAGAGGGTTACAAAAAACTACCTCTGACGAGCTAAAGGAGCATGTTCTAACCCAAAGCAAAGAAGCTAAGAACTTTGATAAGAGGTTAGAAGAAAGTGCTAACTAGAACAATCAGTTTAGAGAGGAATATAAATGACCTGAAAGAGGTGAAAAACACAGCACAAGAACTTGGTGAAGCATACACAAGTATCAACCGCCAAATTGATGAAGCAGAAGACAGGGTATCAGAGTTTGAAGACCACCTTACTGAAATAAGACATGCAGACAAGAATAGAGAAAAAAGAATAAAAAGGAATGAACAAAACCTCCACAAAATATGGGACTTTATAAAAAGACTCAACCTATGATTGATTGGAGTACTGGAAGGAGACAGGGGAATGGAAACGAGCTGGAAAACACACTTCAGGATAGTATCCAGGAGAACTTCCCCAACCTAGCAAGACAGGCCAACATGCAAATTCAGGAAATAAAAGAATATCATTAAGATACTCAATGAGAAGATCAAACCCAAGACATATAATCATCAGATTCTCCAAGGGTGAAATCAAGGAAAAACTGTTAAGGGCAGCCAGAGAGAAACGCCAGGTCACATACAAAGGGAAGCCCATCAGACTAACAACAAACCTCTCAGCAGAAACTCTACAAGCCAGGAGAGATTGGGGGCCAGTATTCAACATTCTTAAAGAAAATCATTTCCAACCCAGAATTTCATATCCAGCCAAACTAAGCTTCATAAGCAAAGGAAAAATAAAATCCTTTCCAGACAAGCAAATGCTGAGGGATTTTGTTACCACCAGGCCTGTCCTGCAAGAGCTCCTGAAAGAAGTACTAAATATGGAAAGGAAAAACTGTTATCAGCCCTGCAAAAACACAGCAAAATATAAAAGCCAATGACACCATGAAGAAACTGCATCAACCGTTGTGCAAAATAACCAAATAGCATCATGATGACAGGATTAAACTTCCACATAACAATACTGACCTTAAATGTAAATGGGCTAAATGCCCCCAATTAAAAGACACAGACTGGCAAATTGAATAAGGAGTCAAGACCCATCAGTGTGCTGTATTCAAGAGACCCATCTCACGTGCAAAGACACACACAGGTTCAAAATAAAGGGATGGAGGAAAATTTACCAAGCAAATGGAAAGCAAAAAACAGCAGGGGTTGCCATCCTAGTCTCTGACAAAACAGACTTTAAACCAACAAAGATCAAAAAAGACAAAGAAGGGCCCAACATAATGATAAAGGGAGCAATTTAACAAGCAGAGCTAACTATTCTGTATATATATGCACCCAATACAGGAGCACCCAGATTCATAAAACTAGTTCTTAGAGCCCTACAAAGAGACTTAGACTACCACACAATAATAGTGGGAGACTTTAACACCTCACTGTCAGTATTAGATCAATGAGACAGAAAATTAACAAGAATATTCAGGACTTGAATTCAGATCTGGATCAAGTGGACCTACTAGATGTCTACAGAACTCTCTACCCCAAATCAACAGAATATACATTCTTCTCAGTGCCACATGACACTTATTCTAAAATAGACCACATAATTGGAAGTAAAACACTCCTGAGCAAATGCAAAATAACTGAAATCATGACAAATAATCTCTCAGACCACAGTGCAATCAAATTAGAACTAAGGATTAAGAAACTCACTCAACTCACCAAAACCACACAATTTCATGGAAATTGAACAACCTGCTCCCGAGTGACTCCTGGGTAAATAATGAAATTAAGGCAGCTATCAAGAAGTTCTTTGAAACCAATGAGAACAAAGAGACAACATACCAGAATCTCTGGGACACAGCTAAAGCAGTGTTAAGAGGGAAATTTGTAGCACTAAATGCCCACACCAGAAAGCTAGAAAGATCTCAAATCAACACCCTAACACCATAATTATAAGAGCTAGTGAGGCAAGGGCAAACTAATTCAAAAACTAGCAGAAGACAAGAAATAACTAAGATCAGAGAAGAACTGAAGGAGATAGAGACACAAAGAAACCCTCCAAAAAAATCAATGAATCCAGGAGCTGTTTTTTTTAAAAAAAATAACAAAATAGATAGACTGCTAGCCAGACTAATAAAGAATAAAAGAGAGAAGAATCAAAAAGACACAATAAAAAATGATAAAGGAGATACCACCACTGACCTCACAAAAATACAAACTACCATTAGAAAATACTATAAACACCTCTATGCAAATAAACCAGAAAATCTAGAAGAAATGGATAAATTCCTGGACACATACACCCTACCAAGACTAAACCAGAAAAAAGTTGAATCCCTGAATAGGCCAATAACAAGCTCTGAAATTAAGGCAGTAATTAATAGCCTACCAACCAAAATCAGAGGGATTCACTGCTGAATTTTATCAGAAATACAAAGAGGAGGTAGTACCATTCCTTCCGAAAATATTGCAAACATTGAAAAGGAGGGATGCATCTGTACCTCATTTTATGAGGTGAGCATCATCATGATACCAAAACCAGAATGAGACACAACAACAAAAAAACCTTCCGGCCAATATCTCTGAACATCAACATGGAAATCCTCAACAAAACACTGGCAAACCAAATTAAGCAGCACATCAAAAAACGTATACACCACAATCAAGTCAGCTTCATCCATGGGATGCAAGCCTCATTCAACATACATAAATCAATAAACGTAATTCATCACATAAACAGAACCAAAGACAAAAACCACATGATTATCTCAATAGATACAGAAAAGGCCTTTGATAAAATTCAACATCTCTTCATGTTAAAAACTCTCAATAAACTAGGTATTGATGGAACACATCTTAAAATAATAAGAGCTATTTATGACAAACCCACAGCCAATCATACTGAATGGGCTAAAGCTGGAAGCATTCCCTTCGAAAACCAGTACAAGACAAGGATGCCCTCTCTCACCGTTCCTATTCAACATAGAACTGGAAGTTCTGGCCAGGGGAATCAGGCAAGAGAAAGAAATAAAGATTATTCAAATAGGAAGAGAGGAAGTGAAGTTGTCTCTGTTTGCAGAGAACATGATTTTATACTTACAAAACCCCATCATCTCAGCCGAGAAACTTCTTGAACTGATAAATGACTTCAGATGAGTCTCAGGATACAAAATCAATGTGCAAAAATCACAAGCATTCCTTTACACCAATAATAGGCAAACATAGAGCCAAATCATGAATGAATTCCCATTCGCCATCGCTACAAAGAGAATAAAACACCTAATAATACAGCTAACAAGGGATGTGAAGGACCTCTTCAAGGAGAATTACAAATCACCACTCAAGGAAATAAGACACAACACAAACAAATGGAAAAACATTCCATCCTCATGTATAGGAAGAATCAATGTCAGGAAAATGGCCATACTGCCCAAAGTAATTCAAAGATTCAATGCTATTCCCATCAAACTACCATTAACATTCTTCACAGAATTAGAAAAAAACTATTTTAAATTTCATATGGAATCAAAGACCCCATATAGCCAAGACAACCCTAAGCAAAAAGAACAAAACTGGAGGCATCACACTACCTGGCTTCAAACTATACTACAAGGCTACAGTAACCAAAACAGCATGGTACTGCTACCAAAAAAGACATATGGACCAATGGAGCAGAACAGAGGTCTCAGAAATAACACCACACATCTACAACCATCTGATCTTTGACAAACCAGACAAAAACAAGCAATGGGGAAAGGAGCAAGTATTCAGTAAGTGATGTTGGAAAAACTGGCTAGCCATATAAAGAAAACTGAAACTGGACCCCTTCCTTACACCTTATACAAAAATTAACTCAAGGATTAAAAACTTAAATGTATAACCTGAAACCATAAAAAAACCCTAGAAGAAAACTAGGCAATACCATTCAAGACATAGGCATGGTCAAAGACTTCAAGACAAAAATGCCAAAAGCAATTGCAACAAAAGCCAGAATTGACAAATGAGATATAATTAAACTAAAGAGCTTCTGCACAGCAAAAGAAACTGTCATCAGAGTGAACAAGCAACTTACAGAAGGGGAGAAAATTTTTGCAATCTACCCATCTGACAAAGGTCTAATATCCAGAATTTACAAGGAACTTAAAAAATTTACAAGAAAAAAAGCAAACAATCCCATCAATAAGTAGGCAAAGGATATGAACAGGCACTTCTCAAAAGAAGACATTTATGCAGCCAACAAACATATGAAAAAAAGCTCAACATCACTGATCATCAGAGAAATGCAAATCAAAACTACAATGAGATACCGTCTTATGCCAGTCAGAATGGCAATTATTGAAAAGTCAGGAAACAATAGATGCTGGTGAGGCTGTGGAGAAATAGGAACACTTCCACACTGTTGATGGGAATGTAAATTAGTTCAACCATTGTGGAATACAGTATGGCGATTATTCAAGGATCTAGATAGTTCTAGATCTAGAAATACCATCTGACCCAGCAATTCCATTACTGGGTATATACCCAAACGAAGTTAAATCATTCCACTATAAAAACACATGCATACATATGTTTATTGCAGCACTATTTACAATAGCAAAGACATGGAACCAACCCATATGCCCATCAATGATAGACTGGATAAAGAAAATGTGGTACCTATACACCATGGAATACTATGCAGCCATAAAAAAGAATGAGATCATGTCCTTTGCAGAGACATGGATGAAGCTGGAAGCCATCATCCTCAGCAAACTAACACAAGAACAGAAAACCAAACCCCACCTTTTCACTCATAAGTGGGTGTTGAACAATGAGAACACATGGACACAGGGAGGGGAACAACACACACCGGGGCCTGTTGGGAGGACGGGGGGTGAGGGGAGGGAACTTAGAGGGTGGGTCAATAGGTGCAGCAAACCACCATGGCACACGTATACCTATGTAACAAACCTGCACGTTCTGCACATGTGTCCTGGCACTTTAAGTAAAAAATTTTTTTAAAGTGCAGATTTTAATAATTTAATCATTTGTTGTCTGTGTTTTCTCTTACTCATCATTTTGTTGTTTTTATTACTGTTTTCTCTTGTAATGTTTAGTAATTTTTTTTTTTTGGGACGGAATCTCTCTGTCGCCCAGGCTGGAGTGCAGTGGCAATCTCGGCTCACTGCAACCTCCACCTCCCAGGTGCAAGCAATTCTCCTGTCTCAGCCACCCAAGTAGCTAGGACTATAGGCACCTGTAACCATGCCTGGCTAATTTTTCTATTTTTAGTAGAGCTGGGTTTCACCATGTTAGCCAGGCCTGTCTCGAACTCCTGACCTCAGGTGATTCACCTGCCTCAGCCTCCCAAAGTGCTGGGATCACAGGTGTGAGCCACCAGGCCTGGCCTGTTTAGTGAATTTTTATTCAATTTTGTCATTATCTATAAAATAAACATAGAAATGTTATTTTGTCCAGAGATATTACCCTTTTTTTCTTTTAAACAAATAGAGTGAGAGGCTGATTACCTCAATCAGGGATTCAGCTGGACCTGGCAGCATTGCCATTTTGGTAAAACTGAATCTATCTTGGGTGTCCCCCTGTTTTGAGGGCATGGCTTTCTTGGGCTTTTGATTTAGAGGATGATGGACCTTTATCTCATTCATTATAAAGTATTTGAGGAAATTTAGTTCTGTCATTCAATTTCCTAGCCCAGCTCTCTAGCATTGCACTCTGCAACCTCAAAATCTGGTAAATATTTTGAGGAGACAATGGACATGGTTTGATGTAGGCCCTTTCCCCATGGCAGGACTTTCCTAAGCACAGTGAGCCTGGTTTTTATATTCTGTGAAATCCCTGACCAACAGTGACCCAGGTGCTCACTCTCATATCACTCTTGGAAAGGAAATGAGAAGAAGTATGCATTCAGTTATTCTCAAACAATCCATGTTTTTCAATAAAATTCTGAAAAAGCAAAAACTAAGTTTGAATAATGCTGTCCTCTGTGTCCCTGACTGTATATAGCTCATCATAGCATGTAAAGGCTCTGAAAAGAACTGTAGTGAAGAAATTGTTGGATTTTGTTTAATCAGATACTTTCCCAAGTTTTAAAATCTCAGAACTCTATATTTAGAAGGCCCATTTAATACTCTGCCCAACATATTTTGGGAAATGTTATTAGAAGATTGGTAATATCTGGAACATATAAATCTGCCTATGACCTAACATGGTAATTGAGGATGTTTGTATATATGTTTAGGTATCCAATCTTTATTTAATTTAAAATGATTTACAAAGATATATATAGTTTAATATTATAGTGCAAATAAAAGTGAAGTGACTGAAGGGGAAAAAGGGAGGTAAGAATGTTTTAAGCCAGAAATGAGACACGCTAAAAGTACATGCTAAAATCAATAAGAGTTTTTTCCCCCAAGATGGCAGACTAGAGGCTTTTAGTGTGCCTCAGCCACTTGGAAATAGCAAGATAGTACATAAAGATCAACTCTGTGTGCTTTATTTCAAGAAGGAAAATGAGAGTCCACTGGAATTGTGAAGGACACCCCAGATCCCAGAGAGGAGAATTGCCGGCAAACAGCCGTTGTGATGGCATACAGCTGATAAAAGTGAGTGAAGCCCCAGTAAGTGAAAAAGGCAAAGAACCTCCCTCTGTCACTCTCCTTTCCACTGGGGACCCAAACAACCCAGACCTTTGTTACTCCCAAGCACTGGAGATAACATGGGGAGAAGCTTGGAGATGCTGTGAGAGAAAGAAATCAAGAAAAGTTGCAGACATTTTCCCAGACCCAGGACCAAGAGCAAGATACCATTTTTAATCCAGATGCATGCAAAGTCAGCCATTCTTTGACAACTTGGCAGCGTGGCTGTGCAGGTATTTTAGCGTTGGGCCAGACACTGGAACACCTGTTCTGGGGTAGGGTAGGAACCTTCACAGCCAGAACTGTAAAAAGCACCTCAGCAGTCACTGCTGAATTGCAGTCTTTCCTGTCACAAGCCTGGGGTGGCAGTAGAGCTGCTACAGCTGAAGTTTCTGCTGGGTGGAGAGACTTGCAGCCAGGGCCAGCTGAACAACATGGAACTAATCTGCATGTGCCACAACTAGGTGCCCTCCCCTGCCCCGCCCTGATATTGTGGTGCAGCTAGGCCCACTTCACTCCAGCCCCAGGCAGAAATCTAGGTATTTGAATTACCTGCTTGCCTGGACAGCAGCCTCAGCTGCCCCACCCTTCCTGGACATAGATCATGATGAAGGGGGATTGGGGTGCCTCCGCTCCACACCCAGGAAGATCTCCAGGTAATTAGAGCACTTGAGCACCTGGATCAGCAACCTGATTCATCTCACCCTTCCTGTGCAGAGATCCTGGTGCAGGGAGGCCTTTTCTGCTTCACGCCCAGGCAAATCTCCAGGCATTCGGAGCACCTACTCGTCTGCTTCAAGAGCCTGAGTCACTCCACCACTCCTGGACATAGATTGTGGTGTAGGGGAGCCCTTTTTCCTCCACACCCAGGCAGATCTCCAGGCATTCAGAGCACCAGATCACCTGGATCAACAGCCTGAGTCACCCCACCCTCTTATGCAGAGCTCCTGGTGTAGGGCAGCCCTCTCTGCTCCATGCCCAGGCAGATCTCCAGCTATCTGGAGCACCCACTCTCTTGGATTAGGAGTTTACGACAGAGAACAGACAGCAGCCCCTTTACAGAGAACTTGGGGATGAGGAGGTTTCCCATTTGCATGCCTAGGCAAACCTCTGGGCACTTGATGGTCACCCACGGGATACTCCTTCATTGCTGGTGCATATGTCTGCCATCAGTGGACCTGTAGGTCGACCTGCCTAGTCTAGCCCTGCGCTTCATGGTTCCTGGCTCCCCAGGGGTCAGAAGGGAGCTCAGACCACTGCACATTCCAGAAATCAGTCCATTGCCTGAGGCAACAGAGAGCTACTGCCAGGTAAACAAGGATTAAGTATAAACACAGCCGCATTGGCTATAGCCCACTCTTACCTAGTGCTGGCTATCAACTACAGATTTGTATGTCAAACTTCACAGCCCAATATGAAACCTACTGAAAAAAGTGCATAGGGCTATAAGAGCAAAACCAAAAGACCCTACCCAGCATTCCTTCAGTTGTACCCCCT
This sequence comes from Homo sapiens, assembly GCF_000001405.40. Lineage (NCBI taxonomy): Eukaryota > Metazoa > Chordata > Mammalia > Primates > Hominidae > Homo > Homo sapiens. The sequence goes on from NC_000012.12 coordinate 23,473,514, forward strand.
ATGAAGGCAGGAAAGAAAAAATGGGAAAAAGAAAAACAAAACCCCGCAATATTATAGAGAACGAGAACAAAAAAGTCCTACCTGCACAAAAATAATTACAAAAATTGGAAGTGCCAGCATCTTCAGATGATAAGAAACCAGTGCAAAAATTCAGGCACCATGAAAAATATAAACATAATGAAACCAATAAATGATTGCACTAGCTCTCTAGCACTGGTTCCTAACTAAAATGGAAATTCAGAAATGACAGATAAAGATTTCAATTCATGGATTGCTAGAAAGTACAATGAAATCCAAGACAAGGTTGAAAATCAACACACAAAAACATCTAAAGCAATACAGGAAATGAACGAAGAGATAAACAACTTAAAAGAAATCAATCAGAGCTTCTGAAATTAAAAAAAAAAAAAAGACACAAAAAAACTCAAGGAATTTCAAAAATACAATCAAAACCTTTATCAATACACTGGACCAAGCAGAATAAAAAATTTCAGGCCAGGCACAGTGGCTCACGCCTGTAATCCCAGTACTTTGGGAGGCCAAGGTGGGTGGACTACCTGAGGTCAGGAGTTCAAGACCAGCCTGGCCAACATGGCGAAATCCCATCTCTACTAAAAACACAAAAATTAGTGGAGTGTGGTCGTATGATCCCAGCTATTCAGGAGGCTGAGGCACAAGAATTGTGTGAACCCAGAAGGCAGAGCTTGCAGTGAGCCAGAACCAAGATTGTACCACTGCACTCCAGCCTGGGCAACAAAGTGAGGCTCTGGCTCAAAAAAAAAACAAAAACAAAAACAAAAAAATTCAGAGCTTGAAAAACAGTCTTTTGAACTAACTGAGCCAGACAAAAATAAAGAAAAATAAATTTTTTTAGTGAACAAACCTTTGAGAAATATAGGATTATGTAAAGTGATGAAACCTATGAATGATTGGCATTTATGAGAGAGAATGACAAAAGGCAAACAAACTAGAAAACATATTTGAGGAAAAATTCAAGAAAATTTCTGCCAGTGCAAGCTTGTGGACACAGCTATCTTGCCCCCACCAGCATGCACCTGCACCCTGAGCTCTACCTCCCACTGACACGCACACATGCTGCCACACTGCTGCCACTGCCAGCACTTACTTGTGTGGACATGCTGTCCTGGGCCCACCAGCACATGTGCACCTTGGCACACTGTCACTGCTGGCACACCTATGCACACAGAGACTGCCACCCACCCCCATGTGGAGGGCGCCACCTCAGCCCCACCAGCATCCTGGCCCTGATGACATGTGCACACTCCACCACGCAGCAACTGCTGATGGCATAGCCACACATACTGACGCCACAGCCATGCCTCCACTGGCACACTCATGCAACCTACATCACTGCCACTCTGCTGATGTATGCACATGTGTGTGGACACCCCTGCCTCACCCCTGCTTATGCCCCACCCTCATCAACACGCATGCATCCCACTGCACACCACCACAGTTGGCACGTAAGTGCAAGCACAGACCCAACTGCCGGCACCCTGACGAAGCACTTTGGCCCACACCCTCCAGCAGACTGTTGTTGCCAGCAGACCAGTAGCACCTCAGCCCCTCCAGCACAGCAGGTGCTTAACCATGAAGGGCCAGAAAACAAAGCCTTGGGCCTGGTATCAGTCCCCCAGGGTTAGAGCATGCAGCCCAGAAGTGCTGAGCTGAGACTTGGGCCTCTAAAATTTTCCAGAAATGCAGCTGGTAAACCCAACTTTTACCATAGTTAAACCCCCAAGGGCATAAAAGAATATAAAAGCAAAAAACCCTGGCAACTCAAAATTCCAGAGTATCTTTTTACCTCCAAACAACTGCCCTAGCTCCCCAGCAATTATCCTTAAACAGGCTGAAATGGCCGAAATGACAGACATAGGATTCAGGATCCAAATTGAATAAAGATCACTGAGATTCAGGAGAAAGTCTAAACCCAATCCAAAAGAATCTAAGAAATCCAACAAACCAATACAGGAGCTTGAAGATGAAATAGCCATTTTAAGAAAGAACCTAACTGATCTCATAGAGCTGAAAAACTGACTACAAGAACTTCATAATACAATTGCAAGTATTAACAGCAGAATAGGCCAAACTGAGGAAAAAAATTTCAGAGCTTAAAGACCAGTTCTTCAAATTAACACAGTCACATAAAAATAAAGAGAACAGAATAAAAAAGAAAGAGCAAAACCACCAAGAAATAAGGGATTATCTAAGGAGACTAAAGCTTATGACTCATTGGTGGCCCTGAAAGAGAGAGAAAGGGTAGAGAGCAACATGGAAAACATTTGAGGATATCGTCCATGAAAATGTCCCCAACCTTGCTAGAGAGGTTGACATTCAAATTCAGGAAATGCAAAGAACCCCTATGAGATACTGCATAAGAAGACCATCCCCAAGACACATAGCCATCAGATTTTCCAAGTTCACTCAGAAAGAAAAAATATTAAAAGCAGCTAGAGAGAATGGGTGGGTCACCTACAAAGGGAACCCCATCAGGCTAACAGAAGAGCTTTCAGCAGAAACCCTCCAAGCCAGAAGAGATTACAGGCCTATATTCAGCATTCTTAAAAAAAAAAAAAAAAAAAAAAAATTCAAACAAAAACTTTATATCCAGTCAAACTAAGCTTTAAGCTTCGTAAGTAAAGGAGAAGGAAGATCCTTTTCTGACAAGTAAATGCTAAGGGAATTTTTAAGCACCAGACCTGCCTTACAACAGATCCTTAAAGGAGTGCTAAGCATAGAAATGAAAGACTGTTAGTGGCCAACACAAAACCACACTTAAAAACATAGACAGTTCAGCTGACACTATAAAGCAATTACACAATCAAGTCTGCGTAACACCCAGCAAACAACACAATGGCAGTACATATCAATATTAGCCTTGGACGTAAATATCAATATTTGTAGTACATATCAATATTAGTACATATTAATATTAGCCCTGAATATAAATGGGCTAAATGCCCCCATTTAAAAGGCTCAGAGTGGCAAGTTTGATAAAGAAGTAAGACCCAACTTTATGCTATCTTCGAGAGACCTATCTCACATGCAATGATACCCATAAGCTCAAAATAAAGAGATGGAGAAAAATCTACCAAGCAAATGGAAAACAAAAGATAAGGAATTGCTATTCTAATTTCAGACAAAACAGACTTTAAATCAACAATGATCAAAAAAGACAAAAAAAGGCATTACATAATGATAAAGGGTTTAATTTAACAAGAAGACTTAACTATCCTAAATATATACACACCCAACATTGGACCACACATAATCTTAAAACAAGTGCTTCAAGACCTACAAAAAGACTTAGGCAGCTACACAATAGTAGTGGAGGACTTCAGAAGATGAAAATAAATAATAAAGATCAGAGCAGAAATAAATTAAATTGAAATCAATAAAACAGTCCAAAAGATAAATGAAACAAAACTTTGGTTTTTGGAAATTAAACAAAATTGACAAACCTTTAACAAGACTGAGAAAAAAAGAGAGGACCAAATAAATAAAATCAGAGATAAAGTAGTAGACATTACAACTGATACTCAAAGGATCATTAGTGGCTACTATAAGCAACTATACGTCAATACAATGGAAAATGTAGAATGGACAAATTTCTAGATACATACAATCTACCAAAATTGAACCAAAAAGAAATCCAAAACCCGAACAGACCAGGTAATGAGATTGAAACAGGAATAAAAAGTCTCCCAGTAAGGAAAAACCTTGGACCTGACGGCTTCTCTGCTGAATTCTACCAAACACTTAAACAAGAACTAACACCAATCCTACTCAAACTATTGCAAAAAACAGAGGAACAGGAATAATTTCAAACTCATTCTAGAAGGCCAATATTACCCTAATACCAAAACCAGACAAAGACACATCAAAAAAATAAAAATACATGCCAATATCCTTGATGAAATTGATGCAAATATCCTCAACAAAATACTAGCAAACTGAATTCAAAAACACATTAGAAGTATTATTCATCATCATGACCAAGTGGAATTTATCCCTGGGATGCCAGGATGGTTCAACACACACGTATCAATCGACAGGATACATCATAGGAACAGAATGAAGGACAAAAATTATGTGACTATTTTAATTGATGCTGGAAAAGCATTTGACAAAATTTAACATCATTTCATGATTAAAAAATAAAAAACTTTAAAAAACTGGATATAGAAGGAACACTCCTCAACATAATAGAAGCCATATACAACAGACCCACAGCTAGGATCATACTGAATGAGGAAAAATTGAAGGCCTTTCCTCTAAGATCTGAAATATGACAAGCATGTCTACTTTCACCAGTGTTATTCAAAATAGTACCTGAAGTCCTAGCTAGAGAAATCTGACAAGAGAACAAAATAAAGGGCATACAAATTGGAAAGGAAGAAGTCTATTTTCCTTATTTGCAGATGATATGATCTTATATTTGGAAATCCTAAAGACTACATCAGAAAACTATTAGAACTGATAAACAAATTGACTAAAGTGACAGGATATAAAATCAACATACAAAAATCAGTAGCATTTCTATATGCCAACAGAGAGCAAAATGAAAAAGAAGCCAAAAAAGCAATTCCATTTACAATAGCTGCAGACAAAATTAAATACTTGGGAATTAAAGAAGTGAAAGATCTCTGCAATGAAAACTTAAAGCATTGATGAAATATATTAAAGAAGTCATCAAAAATGGAAAGATATTCCATGTCCACGGATTGGAGGAATCAATATTGTTAAAAATGTCTGTACTACCCTGAGCAATCTACCAATTCAATGCAATCTCTATCAAAATACCAATGGCATTCTTCACAGAAATAGAAAAAATAACCCTAAAATTTATCTGGAGCCACAAAAGACTTAGAATAGCCACATCTATCCTAAGCAAAAAGAATAAAACTGGAGGAATCGCATTACCTGACTTCAAATTATACCACAGAGCTACAGTAACCAAAACAGCATGGTCCTGGGATAAAAAACAGACACATAAACCAATGGAACAGAATAGAAAACCCAGAAACAAATCCACACACCTACAGCAAACTCATTTTTGACAAAGTTGCCAAGTGCTAGGGAAAAGAGAGTCTCTTCAATAAATGAGGCTAGGAAAACTGAATATCCATAAACAGAGGCATAAAAATAGATCCCCTATCTCTCAGCATATATAAAAATTAAATCAAAATGCATTAATGAGTTCATTCAAAGACCTCAAACTATGAAACTACTACAGAAACCATTGGGAAAGTTCTACAGGATATGGGATGAGAAAAATTTCCTGAGTACTATCCTACAAGCACAGGCAACTGAAGCAAAGATGGACAAATGAGATCACATCAAGTTAAAAAAAACCTGCAAAAGAAACAATAAAGTGAAGAGACAACCCACAGAATGAGAGAAAATATTTACAACCTAACAAACTGAGAAGAGATTAATAACCAGAATACATCAGGAGCTCAAACAACTCTACAGGAAAAAAAAAATCTAGTAACCTGATTAAGAAATGGGCAAGAGATTTGAAGACATAGAAATGATAAACATGCACATGAAAGGTGCTCAACATCATTGATCATCAGAGAAATGAAAATCAAAACTACAATGAGTTATCATCTCACCCCAGTTAAAATGGCTTTTATCCAAAAGACAGGTAATAACAAATGCTGGTGAGGATGTGGAGAAAAGGTAATTCTTACACACTGTTTTTGGGAATGTAAATTAGTACAACCACTATGGAGAACAATTTGGAGGTTTCTCAAAAAACTAAAAAGTGACCTACCATAAGATCCAGCAATCTCACTGCTGAGTACATACCCAAAAGAAAGGAAGCTGGTATATGAAAGATATACCTACACTTTCATATTTCATGCAATACTATTCACAATAGCCAAAATTTGGAAGTTACCTGTTAATCAATGAATGAATAAATAAAATGTAGTACCTATATACAATGGAGTACTATGCAGCCATAAAAAATGAGATTGTGTCATTTACAACAACACTGATGGAACTGGATCCATTATGTTAATTGAAATAACCCAGGCACAGAAAGGTGAACATTGGATGTTCTCACTTGTGAGATCTAAAAATCAAAACAATTGAACTAATGGAGACAGAGAGTAGAAGGATGATTACTGGAGGCTGGGTAGGGTAGTGGGGCAATGGCAGGGGAAATGGGAATGGTTAATTGGTACAAAAAATAATTTGAAAGAATGAAGAAGACGTAGTATTTGATAGCACAACAGGGTGACTCTAGTCAATAATAATTTAACTGTACATTTTAAACAACTAAAAAATTATAATTGGGTTGTTTGTAACACAAAAGATAAATGCTTGAGCGAATTGATACCTGATTTTACATGATGTGATTATTACACATTGCACACCTATATCAAAATATCTCATGTACCCAAAAATATGTACACCTCCTATGTACCCACAAAAATAAAAATGTAATAAGTAGTGGGGGATTTCAACATCCCACTGTCAGCATTAGACAGGTCATCAAGGCAGAAACTAACAAAGAGTTTCTGCATTTAAACTAGATGCTTGACCACTTCGCCCTAATAGACATCTACAGAATACTCCACCCATCAACCACAGAATATACATTCATACAGAACATACTTCAAGATTGAGCATATGCTTAGCCATTAAGTAAGTCTCAATAATTTTTTTAAAACTTGAAATCCCACCAACCATACTTTCAGAACACAGTTGAATAGAAATGGAAATCAATACCAAGAAGATCTCTCAAAATCACACAGCTACATGAAAGTTAAACAACTTGCTCCTGAATAACTTTTGGGTAAACAATGAAATTAAGGCAGAAATAAAAATATCCTTAAAATAAATGAAAACAGAGATATAACCTCTTGAAATCTCTCAGATGTAGCAAATCAGTGTTAAGAGAAAAGTTTATAGTATTAGATGCTACTTCAAAAAGTCAGAAAGATCTCAAATTAATGATCTGACATCGTACCTAAATCAACTAGCAAAACAAGAACAAACCAACTATAAAGCTAGCAGAAGAAAAGAAATGACTAAAATCAGGACGGAACTGAATGAAATGCAGACTCAAAAATCCATACTAAGTATCGTATCAGTGAAAACCAAAAGTTGATGTTTTGAAAGGATAAACAAGGTCAATAAGCCACTAGCTAGATTAACAAAGAAAAAATAAATGAAGATCCAAATAAGCCCAATCAGAAATTACAAAAGTGACATCGCAACCAATCCACAGAAATACACAAAAGATCCTCAGAGACTGTTATAAACACACACCTCTACTCACATAAACTGGAAATTCAAGAGGAAATGGATAAATTCCTCAAAAAACACAATCTCCCAAGATTGAATCAGGAAGGAATTGAAACCCTGAACAGACCAATAACAAGTTCTGATATTGAATCAGTAATAAAAATCCTATCAACCAAAAAAGCCCTGGAGTGCATGGATTAACAACCAAGTTTTACCAGACATGCAAAGAAGAGCTGGTACCAATATAACTGAAACTATTTGATAAAACCAAGGAAGAGAGACTCCTTCTTAACTCATTCCATGAACCAGCAGCACCGCCATACCCAAACCTGGTAAAAACACATTGAAAAAGGAAAACTTCAGGCCAGTATCCCTGATGAACATAGATTCAAAAATCCTCGACAGAATTCTAGCAAACTGAATTCAACAGCACATAAATATGTTAATTCACCACAATTATGTAGGCTTCATTCCTAGGATGCAAGGTTGGTTCAACATACACAAATCAATAAATATGATTCACCACATAAACAGAATTAACAAAAACCATATGATCATCTCAAAAGATTCAGAAAAAGCTTTTCATAAAATTCAAAGTCCTTTCATGATAAAAATCTTCAATAAACTAGGAATCAAAGGAACATAGCTCAGAATAAGAGCCATCTATGGCAAACACACAGCCAAAATCATACTAAACAAGGAAAAATTGGAAGTGTTCCCCTTGAGAACTGGAACAAGACAAGGATGCCCACTCTCACCACTCCTATTCAACTTAGTACTGGAAGTGCTAGCCAGAGCAATCAGGCAAGAGAAAAAAAATAAAAGGCATCCAAATAGGAAAAGAAGTTAAACTATCTTTCTTCATAGATATATGATCCTACACCCAGAAAACCTTAAAGACTGCCAAAAAGCCCCTGGAACTGATAAACAATGTTAGTAAAGTTTCAGGATCCAAAATCAATGTACACAAATCACAAGCGTTTCTACATACCAATAATCTTCAAGGTGAGGATGAAATCAAGAATGCAATCTCATTTACAATAGCCAAAAAATAATCATAAAATACCTAGGAATATAGCTAATCAAGAAGGTGAAAGATCTCTACAAAGGAAACTACAAAATACTGCTAAAATAAATCACGGATGACACAAACAAATGGAAAAACATTCATGCTTATGAATTGGAAGAATCAATATCATTAAAATGACCATACTACTTAAAGCAATATATAGATTCAATGCTATTCCTTTCAAACTACCAATGTCATTTTTTTCACACAATTGTAAAAAACTATTATAAAATTCATGTGGAACCAGAAAAAATCCCAACAGCTTAAGCAAAAAAAGTCAGAGGCATCACATTACTTGACTTCAAATTATACTATCGGACTACAGTAACCAAAACTGCATGGTACTACTGGTACCAAAACAGGCACATAGACCAATGGAATAGGTTACAGAACCCAGAAATAAAGCTGTATTTCTACAGCCATGTGATCTTTAAGAAAGTCAACAACAATAAGCAATGGGGAAAGAACTCCCTGTTCAATAAATGTTGCTGGGATAACTGGCTAACCATATGCAGAAGAATGAAACTGGACCCCTACCTTTCACCATATAAAACAATTCACCAAGATGGATTAAAGATTTAAATGTAAGACCTCAAGCTATAAGAATCCTAGAAGAAAGCCTAGGAAACACCATTCTGGACATCAGCCTTGGAAAACAATTTATGATTAAGCCCTCAAAAGCAATTGCAACTAAAACAAATAATGACAAGTGGGACCTAATTAATCTAAAGAACTTCTGCACGGCAAAAGAAATTATCAACAGAATAAACAGATAACCCACACAATGGGATGAAGTATTCATAAACTATGTGTCTGACAAAGATCTAATATACAGAGTCATCTAAAAGGAACTTAAATCAACAAGAAAAATAAATAAATAACCCCATCAAAAAATGGGCAAATACATGAACAGACACTTCTCAAAAGAAATCACACAAGCAACCAAACAAACATGAAAAAATGCTTGACATCACTAATCATCAGAGAAATGCAAATCAAAGTCATAATGAGATACCATCTCATACCAGTCAGCATGGCTGCTATGAAAAGGTCAAAATCAACAGATGCTGGCATGGCTATGGAGGAAAGGGAATGCTTAAATATTGTTGGTGAAAATGTAAATTAGTTCAGCACTGAGGAAAGCAGTTTGGAGATTTCTCAAAGAACCTAAAAGGGAACTACCATTTGGCCTAGCAATTCCATTACTGGGTATATATCCAAAAGAAAACAAATGGTTCTACCAAAACTACACATGCACTCATAAGTTCATCGCTGCACTGTTCACAACAGCAAAGACATGGACTCAACCTAGCTGCCTATCAACAGAGGATTAGACAAAGAAAATGTGCACCATGGAATACTACACAGCCACAGAAAGAATGAAATTATGTCCTTTGCAGTAACATAGATGCAGCTGGAGGCCATAATTCTAAGTGAATGAACCCAGGAACAGAAAACCAAATAACACACGTTCTCACTTATAAGTGGGAGCTAAGCATTGGATACATCTGGATATAAAGATGGCAACAATAGAAATGAGTGATGGGTTGATTCTTAACCCAAATCTCAGCATCACTCAATATACCCAGGTAACAAAACCTGCACATGTACCCTCTGTATCAAAAATAAAAATGAAAAACAAAAAAAGAATAGCACTTCTTTTTACTAGTGGACAATAAATTTCACTCAGGATTCTGATACCTAGAGTTAAAAATGTAAAGTAATGCCCTTCCAAAATGTTGTTTTTGTTATTCTTTATTATTGTAATGCATAATTCCTTGTATTTTCCATATATTAATACACTCTTCCCAATGACCTAAAGAGGGAGAATTTATCAATATTTCTTTTATGTATGAGGACATTGAGACTTAGGAAAATATGTAATTTGACCAAGATTGCACAGCTACTAGACGCCATTTGACTAACTTATTGACTCCATATAATGTTCCAGGCACATTACTGTAAAAATTACAAACTTACAGCACATCCGAAAGTATCATATAATCTACACTTTTTATTAACGAGTAGGTCCTCGAATGTCCAACTGGCATAGAAAAGTGCTTAATAACCACATCATTACCTTAACAGGATCAATAATCAAATTAATTTGACCACTAGAGTTACTTGTGAAAAGGAAGAAGGAGCAGGAATTTTCCTCCTAACATAGTTCCCAATTAACCCTGCAACAAACAATATTTCTAGAACCAGATAAACAGGGCCCTATAATTTTTGGAAAGGTGGACCAAGGTGGAAGATAAAAATTGTGAAGACAAGCACATGATTTTGTTTCTAGCTTGCACTGTCCCTAAAAATGTAATAGAAAAGAAAATATTCGGTATGTCATTGGTGATAAATTGGCTACCATCCTTAGCTTCTGTGGATCTTTGAGGCTTTTGTATTGCTAGTAAAGTCTGAGCTCAGTAAGGTTATCTTCCCTCTCTGTGCTAGAGAAATTTTGTTTAATTGCGGAGCAGCAGTGGACAAAATTTCTTATGAAGGACACTCCAGTGTCTCAAGTAAGCTGCTCAAAGTTGCATCCAGAGTCATTAAACCTTTGACCTATACTGTCTGGGCATATGCCCAAATGAAACAAACAAAATAAAAAAAACCTCAACCCCATTTACTACCTCTTGCCCTAAGCTCTTTGTCTTGGTGAATAATTTGTATATCACAGAATTATATCTCTTCTTGGCAAATGCTTGCTTACTTACGTACTCAGGTGTCTTTTGAGATGAAGAATATCCTCCACAAAACTGAAGCTTAATATTCTTACTTCATCCCTTCAGGTGAGAACATGGGAAGCGTATAGAATTTTCAATCTTATATACTTGTGTTTCTTCTACTGGTTCTTTTCATTTATTTATGTATAAGGGCAATTTCTGCAAGTCAGTGATTAAGCAAATAAAATGGCAATGCCAAGAAGTAACTCCCTGTACAGATCTTAAGACAATTAAATAGAGGGATAGTGAGGAAGAGAGGAAAGGGTTCTCAGGCAGCACAGAGAGAACTATTTTATAAGTGTACACATGTATGATCTAACTTTGTTACTGATTTTACATATAAAAATCCCTCAATTATAAATTTACATTATCTTTTTTGTATGTTCTCTTTAATTTTTATTTACATTTTTACTTAATGGGTGTTAAGCAAAAGCTCCTTCTCTCTTATTCTAATATTGCCACTTTACCTCCATCCCCCCAACACTAACACAAGGAAACCAATTTATAACTGAGTATATAGATATATTTTTCCATTCATTTGTAATTATATTAAATGAATATATGTATATATGAGCATATGCACTTATCTAAGGTGTTTTGGTCTTTGATATTGCTACTGACTGAATGTCGTCCCCTCCTACCAACCCCCAGCTCATATGCTGAAGCCCTAACTACCAAAGTGATGATAGCTAGAGATGGAGCCTTTAGGAGATACTTAATGTTAAATGAGGTCATAAGGGTGGCACTCTAATTTGATAGGACTATCTCCTTATAAGAAGGGAAAGAACTCCTGAGCCCAGGCAATCCACCCTCTTCGGCAGTGAAACCCTGTCTCTACTAAAAATACACAAAAAAATTAGCCGGGCACAGTGGCATGCACCTGTAATCCCAGCTACTCGGGAGGCTGAGGCAGAGGAATTGCTTGACCTAACCAGGGAGGTGGAGGTTGCACTGAGGCAAGATCGTGCCACTGCACTCTAGCCTGGATGACAGAGCAAGACTCCGTCTCAAAAAAAAAAAAAAAAAAAAAAAAAAAAACAAGGAAAGAAAGAGATCTTTTTCTCACTGTCTGCCATGTGAGGACACAATGAGAAGGTAGCCGTCGGTATTAGTTCATTCTCCCATTGCTATAAAGAACTACCCGAGACTGGGTAATTTATGAAGAAAAGAGGTTTAATTGGCTCACAATTCCACAGGCTGTGCAGGAAGCAGGGCTAGGGAGGCCTCAGGAAACTTACAATCATGGCAGAAGGTGAAGAGGAAGGAGTCATGTCTTACACGGCTGCAGCAGGAGGAAGAGAGAGAATGTGGAGGTGCTACCCACTTTTAAACAACCGGATCTCATGAGAAGTCACTCACTATCACAAAAACAGCAAGAGGAAAATCCTCCTCCATGATCCAATCACCTCCCACTAGGACCCTCCTTCAACACTGGGGATTACAATTTGACATGAGATTTGGGCAGGAACACAAATCCAAACCATATTATCTATTAGACAGGAGGAGAGCCTTCCCCAGAAACCAGCCATAATGGGAGCCTAATCACAGACTTCCCACCTCCACAACTGTGAGAAAATAAATTTCTATGGTTTAAGCCATCTAGTCTGTGGTATTTTGTTATGGCAGCCTGAGTAGCCTAATACACACAATAAATACCCTTCTTACATCTCATTCTTCCCTTTCAACAAAAGTTCTTGAAAATCCATTCAAGTCAAATGGTGTGATCCTAACTTACTCTTTTTAATGACTACAAAATATTCTAAAGTGTGGATTTACCATAATTTATTCAGTCTATCCCTATTCACAGTCATTCCATTTGTTTCCAGTTTTTTTAAATTCTAACAACTATGAATAATGCTGGAATAATTATCCTTGTACATATTTCCATATACACTGGTGCTTTTCATTCCTTAAGATAGATGCCCAAGAGACGAATTACCAGGTCAAAGCATGTGACAGAGTAGGCTGGGTGGGATAACTCAGGCTCTGCCATCTTCAGGGGCTCCCTCACTCACCAGCCTAGGCAGCTGGAAGGAGAAAAGAGAACAGAGGAGCATATACCAAGTATGGGAGGTTTAGATGGGCTGGGCCTGGAAGAAGCACACACCAATCCTGCCACAACAATCCTGCTCACAGTCATTGGATATATCTGTAAAGTGAGACCAGAAATTGCAATCTAACCACATGCCCAGTAAGAAGAGGAAACATACATTTTTAGAGAGCAGCAGACATTCTTTATCAATACGTGTATGTGTGTATATACGTGTGTGTGTGTGTGTGTGTGTGTGTTTATTTTACTAGATAATGCCCATTTGCTTTCTAAAAAGACTGCAATTCCTCATGTGTTTGTTGGATGAACATAGGTTTTTAACTTCAGGTACTGTGATAGTTTTACAGTGATATCTCATTTTTTAACTATAATTCACATTCGTCTTTCCAGCAAGTAAATTTGAACATCTTTTCAGATGTTTGCTGGCCAGTTGGGTTTGCTTCTCTATCAATTGTTACTTCATATTCTTTGCCCACTTTTTAAGTGAATAGTTTTTGCCTTCTTACCAGTTTGTAAAAGTTTTGTGACAGTTATTAATTTCTAAATTGCAAATATCTTTTTCAAATCTATAATTTTCTCTTTATTGTGTTTGCAGTACTTTTTCCTGTAAAAACAGTAGTTTTACATATTAAAATATCTACCTTTTCTCTTACTGCTTTTGGTATATGCCATCTTGGTTAAAAAATTCTACACCCCTCACCCAAGAGATTGTGCACATAATCTCTCACATTTTTATATGTAACTTTATTATACTGATAAAGTTTAAATCTTTAATCTACCAGGATATTATTCATGTTAGAGGAAGTGATAAAACTGTGGGTATGAGTAGCAAAATTGAGTTAATCCAAACAAACAGGTTGGCAGAACATTGGCCCATACCGTGTAAGACAATCCAATTTTATTTTCTTCCAAATGTATAAGGGTCTAACATCTAGGTTTTTATTTTTTCAAAAATATTTAAACCAATATTAAGATTTTTCTTGTCATTTTTTCCCATTGCCCTTCTCTTGGAGTTTGACAAAACAAGTCAAGGAGATCACTATAAAAGTCCTTTGAGAATTTCTGAGGAAGTGAACATCTCCTATCACATTGTAAAGAAGACATGCCGTATCCAGGCAAATCCAGGAACTGATCAAACTCTGTTTAATTCATCATTTGATGTCTCAGGGAAAAATAGAACTATAAAAAGTTAACTACAGTCATGTGTCACTTATCGATGGGGACATGAACTGAGAAGTGCATCATCAGGTGTTTTGTCATTGTGGGAATATCCTAGAGTGGGCTTACACAAACCTAGGTGGTGTAAGATGGGCACAAACCTAGAGTCCATTGTTCCTGGGCTACAAACCTGTACAGTGTGTTACTGCACTGAATACTGTAGGCAACTGGGACACAATGGTGTGTATCTAAACATAGCTAAACATAGAAAAGGTACAGTAAAAATCTGGTATAAAATCTTCTGGGACCACTGTCATATATGCAGTCAGCCCTTGATCAAACCCAAACTCTGAATGATAAAAGTAATACTACACATCTACACCATTAAAGAGACTACAAATGTGAATGTCTCACACATGAACATATTTTTTCCCCATCATTCTTTTCGCCTTTATGTTCAGGAAGTAATTGTGACCCACTCATTCTTTTCTTTCATTGTCAAAGAAAAATGTCAAGGTGAGAAACCACTTCCAGTCACATGACTCCGGAGCTACAGTCTATTTTCACTTTCCTCTTTTAAAAGCCCTTTGCTTGGGCTTAGTAGGGCAAATTGAATGTCTAAGATCTAAAATGTCATAAAGAAATGCTCTTGTTAAAAAAAAATCACATTTCCATGAACAGAAATATTCAGAACACAAGGAGAGGATAGCACATTTTAAAATACCAGAGTAAACCATGGTATTCTTTCCCCAATCAGCTGTACACAGCTTCTGTTAGATTGTATGCTAACGGAGCCCTCACACACAGAATGTCACTGACATGAAGAAATTCTAAGAAAAATTTTTAAATGAAGTTTGATTTTCCTGGCAGACATTGCTAAAGCTATTTAGATGTTCTGAGCACAGCCCTGAATTTCAGCACTTCTCTAGTTTCAATCACTTCCACAGGCATATCTTTATTTAATCATTCCAGTTTGAAAGGCATATTTGTTGTCCATTTTAAGCACATTTCTTTCATTATCACTTTGTCACCCGAAAATAGTATTTTCTTGAGGGCTCATTTTTATTTAGCAAAAATGACCATAATGCCCTTTAAAAGTTGTGAAACCTTCTTTTGAATATTTTCAAATACCTAGAGCTGCACACTCAAAGATTTTCCGAATAATTTAACTCATATTCATGTATCAGGCTAAAATATGTCTGGAGAAGAAATAAAATAGTGTGTGTGGTTGAGTGGTGATTTATTCGTTGTAAAATTTGAGACCACTCAAACAAACAATTTGTCAGGAACCTTTTCTGGAATTACTCTGTCCATCTTCTCAAAAGCATTTTCTAGTCTATGGTAAGTGACTGCCTCATGAAGAGAACCTTTGTGAAATACCTGGTTTCTCATTCCTCTTTTTGTAGTGCTGCATGTTTAGCAAGTGGCTTGACTCAGTAGCTTCTCTGATAGCTATCAAACATTATTGCATCCAGATGTCATGAGAAATGTAATCACTTGATTATCTCCAACAGTGGCACTTATCCACTTGGGTTCTAGAAAATTCTGAGAAGCTGAGAAAAAGTAAGTTCTTTCTCTCATGAAGAATGACTATAAGAACAAACATTGGCAGGTTGGTGAGGTGTTTCTTCGACTTCATGAAGTCCGTTAATTTAGACACTCTAAATATTAATTTCCTCTTTAAGGTAATCTATTCCTGTATAACAATATTGTCACAAGCTTAGTACTTAAAACTACACATATTGGCCAGGCACGGTGGCTCACACCTGTAATTCCAGCACTTTGGGAGGTAGAGGCAGGTGGATCACCTGAGGTCAGGAGTGCAAGATCAGACTGGCCAACGTGGCAAAACCCAGTCTCTATTAAAAATACCAAAATTAGTCAGACATGGTGGTGGGCGCCGGTAATCCCAGCTACTCAGGAGGCTGAGGTAGGAAAATTGCTTGAACCCAGGAGGCGGAGGTTGCAGCGAGCCAAAAACATGCCACTGCACTCCAGCCTGGGTGACAGAGCAAGACTCTATCTCAAAACAAACAAACAAACAAACAAAAACACCTGCACGTATTTATTCTCACAGTTTCTACATGTAGGTATTCAGGTTGAGCTTAGTAAGGTTCTCTATTTCAGAGTCTCACAAAGTTGCAGCCAAGAAAGGTGTTGGCTGGGCATGTGGTCTCATCTGAAGCTTGACTAGGGAAGAATCCACTTCCAAATTGTGTGGTGTTGGCAGAGTTCAGTTCCTTGCAGGGCCTTGAAGTCCTCAGTGTCTTACCAGCTGTTGGTCAGAGGCTGCCCATCATGCCTTGCCATTTGGCCTTCTACATTAGGGGTCCCCAACCCTCGGGCCACAGACTGGTACTGGTCCATGGCCTGTTAGGAACCAGGCTTCACAGCAGGAGATGAGTGGCACTGTAGCAAGCAAAGCTTCATCTGTATTTATAGCAGTTCCCCATCACTCACATTACTACCTGAGCTCCGCCTCCTGTCACATCAATTGTGGCATTAGATTCACATAGAAGTGCAAACCCTGTTGTGAACTGCACATGCAAGAGATCTAGGTTGTGTATTCCTTATGAGAATCTAATGCCTGATGATCTGTCACTGTCTCCCATCACCCCCAGATGGGACTGTCTAATTGCAGGAAAACAAGCTCAGGGCTCCCACTGAATCTACATATGGTGAGTTGTACAATTATTTCATTATACATTACAATGTAATAATAATGTAAATAAAGTGCACAATAAATGTAATATACTTGAATCATCCTGAAACCATCTCTGCATCCCTGGTCCATGGATAAATTGTCTTCCATGAAACCTATCCCTAGTGCCAAAAAGATTGGGGACCACTGCTTTACATGGTCAACTCAAGACATTACAGCTGCCTTCAGTACAGCCAGCAAGGGAGACAGAGTCTTCTAGCAAGACCAGTTTACAATCTTAAGTAACATAATAACATGCTCATTAAACATACTTGCTGTCACCTTTGCAGTATTTTACTGATTAGAAGCAAGTCACAGATTCCTCCTACACTCCAGAGGAGGAGAATCACACATGGGCATGAACACCAGGAGGTGGAATCAGGACAGCTGCGCTAGAATGTGTCTGTCACACTCATCTTAAAAAAAAATTGGCCATAAAAACGCCTGCATTATTTTCCTTACGAAGTTGTAAAAAAGATAAAAAAGAGATTGTGTATAAGAGATTCTGAAGGGGCCATTTGTTTTCATGGGAAGGACCCTGATATGGTTTGGCTGTGTCCCCACCCAAATCTCATCTTGAATTACAGCTCCCATAATTCCCACACGTCGTGGGAGAGACCTGGTGGGAGGTAATTGAATCATGGGGGTGGGTCTTTCCCATGTTGTCTTCCTGACAGTGAATAAGCCCCACGAGGTCTGATGGTTTTGTAAAGGGAAGTTCCCCTGCACATGCTCTCTTGCCTGCTGCCATGTAAAATGTGCCTTTGCTTCTCCTTTGCCTTACACCATGATTGTGGGACCTCCCCAGCCATGTGGAACTGTGAATCCATTAAACCACTTTCCTTTATAAATTACCCAGTCTCAGGTATGTCTTTATTAGCAGCATGAAAATAGACTAATACATAGCCCATACTTTGCCTGTCTGCAGGTTGTGTCAGCTGAGAAGGGGCTGGGGGAGTTTATACTGATTGAAAATTTTGCTGCCACAGGTACAAACAGGAGAAGCCCCTGTCTATGGGGAAAGCCAATGGTGGGAGGCATCAAAAAAGAGATCAGAGAGAGTGCTCTTCTTTTTTTTTTTTTTTTGAGACAGGGTCTCACTCCTGTCACCCAGGCTGGAGTGCAGTGGCATTATCTTGGCTCACTATAGCCTCGACCTCATGGGCTCAGATTATCCTCCCACCTCACCCTCCAGTAGCTGGGACCACCAGTGTATACCACCATGATTGGCCTTTTTTTTTTTTTTTTTGGTATTTTTAGTAGAGATGTGGTTTCTCCATGTTGTCCAGGCTTGTCTAGAACTCCTGAGCTTAAGTGATCTGCCCACTTCAGCCTCCCAAAGTGCTGGAATTACAGGTGTGAGCCAATGTGCCTGGCCTGATACTGCTCTTCTGATATGTAAGAATGGAGCCATAAAATCTGGAAGCACAACTGTAAATAAAGTCTGCTGGACAAAAAGCAAGTTCATCTGAAGACTTTTGATTACTTTTGCCTAATGCTAAACCTAGTCTTTAAACCTCTTAATGTTTTGAATTTGAATTGTGGCTTCTTCAAATTTGTTTTAAAATATATTTGGTTTTATTTCTCAATCTCATTGTCTCTTTAATTGCTAATAATATTTTATATTATTCATGGTATTTTGTTGTTTTATTCTTTTAGATCTCTGCTTTTAAATATTTTAAAATATATCCTCTTTCATGAATCCTTTCTTCATCCCAGATAGTTGAAATGACCATTGCCTCCTTGGGGCCCCCTTCATAATCTGAACATACTTCTATTGTGGTCCTAATAATCATATTCCATATTTACATTGCCATGTTTGTCATCTCCTTTTTGGACAGCATATTCTTTAAGGTCAGAAATGACCATTTCTTTTTATATTTACAGTGTCTGAAACTTAGAAGGGTTTATAAATGTTTATAGCATGAATACATTAATGGATAAATGAGTTCTGCCTTTAATCACTCGTTCTTAATCTATTTCATGTTAACCTCTTCTATTTTATACCTTTTTTTTTTTTTTTTTTTTTTTGAGACAGAGTCTTGCTCTATTGCCCAGGCTGGAGTGCAGTGGCATGATCTCGGCTCACTGCAAGCTCCGCCTCCCTGGTTCATGCCATTCTCCTGCCTCAGCCTCCCGAGTAGCTGGGACTACAGGTGCCTGCCACCACGCCAGGCTAATTTTTTGCATTTTTAGTAGAGACGGAGTTTCACCATGTTAGCCAGGATGGTCTCGATCTCCTGACCTCGTGATCCGCCCGCCTCGGCCTCCCAAAGTGCTGGGATTACAGGCGTAAACCACCATGCCCCGCCTTTTATGCCTCTTTTTTTTAAAAAACACGTGTCTCATAATAATTACCCTTTAAAGTTTGCGTGCTAGATGCCATAACTGTTCTAAGCCCTTTTTATATAGACTCATTTAATACTTACAGCAAGCTGTGGAGTAGGTATTGGTCATGAGCCTCATTTCCAGATGAGGAAGCTGAGACACAGAGATTAAGTAATTTGACTAAATGGCACTGCATGCCTGTGGCAGGAATAATACTCAAACCAAGACAGCCCGATTCCAGAGCATATTCTTAACCTTTATGATATGTTACTTCCAGTGCCAATCCTTCATTATTATATTTGATTATTTGCTTTGCATTTTTTTCTCTTTTATCTTTACGTTTTCTTTTTTTCTTTTTCTTTTTCTTTTTTTTTTCTGAGATAAGGTCTTGCTCTGTCACCCAAGCTGGAGTGCAGTGGTGCGATCTCGGCTCACTGCAACCTCCACCTTTTGGTTTCAAGCAATTCTCTGGCCTCAGCCTCCCGAGTAGCTGGGATTACAGGTGCCCACAACCACACCAGGCTAACTTTTGTATTTTTAGTAGAGACGGGGTTTCAACATGTTGGCCAGACTAGTCTCAAACTCCTAACCTCAGGTGATCCACCTACCTTGGCCTCACAAAGAGCTGGGATTACAGGTGTGAGCCACCGCACCCAGACTTATCTTTACATTTTCAATAAAATATCTCATTTTTTATGTTTATAACTTTATTTCCTTTGTCTTTCATAGTTTATTTTCACCAATGTTTTATCATTAATATTTGCAACATATAATAATGCTGAAAGAACATTACATGAAAATCTCTATCCCTACCATCTAGGTTCTACCTTTAATACTTTACTATACTGGATTTTTCACATATCTATGCATCTATACATCCCTCAATCCATTTTATTTTATTTCTTTTTGTATTTCAGAGTGTAGACACAGCAGACCAGTCTGGCTCAACTTTTACATAACAAAGTTGTGAGTCAATTGCCCTAGACCAGCAGGCTGAAGGTCATGTAAACAGAGCATGCCCAGATGAACCAAGTTCACAACCACAGGTGGAATCTAAGTGTCAGACCAAGGACTGGGGACTGAATTAAGAAGTGGACCTCACATGACAGGATCCATGATCCAATCAGATTGAACTGTGGCATTACCCTATGGCAGGATCCAGTCAGATTATGCCTCCTGGCATCACCTCATTGTAAGATCCAATCACATCACGCCTCATTACCCTCCTCTGCCTATAAAACCTGACCTAGCTCCCAGCCTGGGGAGACAGATTTGATTGTTTCCTCCTGACTCCTTGCCAGTGGACTTACAATAAATCTTTTCTTTTCTCAAAAGTCAGAGCCTTGGTATTGGCTTTCAGGTACATTGGAGAGCAAGCCTATTTATTGCTCAGTAACAAAAGTAAGCTATTGTCTCATATAGTTTTGATTATAGGGTTTTGTTTGTTTTTTGTTGTTTTGTTGTTGTCAAAGTCATTACATCCAAAGTTTCATTCCTTTTTAAGATTTTTCTTCTGCTATACTTTCTGTTATCTTAGGACATGGAAGACAGTAATGCCAATAAATTGTCAGCACTGTTACTATGAAACATTTGGACTTTTAAAATACTGCTATTTTCTCACATGGTAGCCCATTAACTGCTCCTAAAAAAGTTTATATGTTTAAATTTTGATCTGCACCTTCGTTAGACATGTAAATATATCAAACTACATAAACAGCTCACAGCAAAAGAAATGAAAAAAGGAAATAGTTGGGAGGTTCCTTGCAGGAAAGTGTTCTCAATTGAACTTCACAAATTTCATTTTCATAAAGATGTCTATGGTCTTGAGCATTCCCTAAAAGTCAACTGAGGTGCAGTAACAGGGCCAGCTGAGGCTGTGTAACCCTTCTCCACCAGCTGCCTCTGACCTGTTTATTACCAAGATGATGCTCATCCTTCTAGCTATAACTTAAGAAGACTCTTCATAATACAAGGTTGAAAATTCCTTTAACTTATGATGGGAATCAAGTGAAGGTTGGGGGACAAAAGCTGGAATTATTCCCAGCAGGGTCTTTAGAGTGAAGGAGGTTGCGCTTTCTTTTCTGCTGAGAATTATAAGGATCTTGCAAAAAGATATTTTAAATTGAACAAACCAATAAACAGCAGCTCCAATCATGCTTTCCTCCAGAAAGTGCAAACCTTAACCAAGTAGGTGTGTTACTTATTCAAAACTCATTGTTTATAAAGAATTGGTAGAGTTTAAACTTGTTGGGTGTCTTGGGTTAAAGTTCTAAATGTCATTCAATGTTTTAATGTATTTTTAATTAAAATAATGATAATAATTCTGAATTTCTCAGAATATGGAGTAAAACATTAACAGTTCTAACAACGCTTAAGCATGTAAGAGATTACCTAAAGCTGTATTTAAAACAGCTAAGTAGTTTTTATAAAATTGATGAGTTACTACATATTACTTATCTTTTTTCCTTTTTACAGAAAGGATTTGGGTTATATTTGTTATTTTCAAAAGGAACAGATTTATTATTTCCAAGCCAAATTATCAGTTATTTCATGGGTAAGGTGATATTTATTAAATAATTTTAAAACCCCATGAGTAATATAAGAATTATATTAGTTATAGTAATATAAGAATTGTTCTCTCTAGTGCCTATGTTGATCAAGGCTCTTGGGCGATAAGTTACCATTGGAGATGAGAAAAGGGAGAATTTAATGCTGGCTAAGGTGGTCACCAGAGGGCTTCAAAAAGGTGATCCATAAAAATTTTTTGAAAGTGGTTATAAGTTTATAACTTACAGTTATAAGATTGTCCAGTTCAATGACATCATTTTATAGATGTAAAGACTGACAAACATACCCTGAGTCATATGTACAGCTGGTAATAAAACTGGGCATTCAACCCTAGTCTGTCTCTACTCTCTCCACTTTGTTTTGCTATTTCTGTCTTCGAGGATTTCCCAAGCAGAAATGGGGTCTTTGCTTGAGTCAGACTTATGAATTGGGTTGCAGAGGAGTCCTTTATCATAAATGGAAGTCACCCATTCTTTCAATGGAGATTCTAAACTCTTTACTTTCAAAACAAGAAAAATCTTTTCTGAGGCAAACTGAGTGGAGGCTTAGGGTAGGAATTCAATTGCCTTAATGTGGGTATAGTACAAAATCGATTACAAGCAACAGAGATGTAAATTTGTGCATTTTATGGAAAGAAATGTAGCCTGAAATTTTTTAAACATGTTGTTTTACTTACACCTTTAAGAAAAAAAAAACAAAGGCTTATATACATAAATGTTCACAATATTATTTATAAAGCAAAAACTGAAAATTATCTATGTGTCTAAATAGAATGTTAAGATTTTAAACTAAAAGGGAAATATTATATTTATTATATTCTCAATTTCATAAAATGTCATGTGTAGAAGTAAGTCTCCAGGGGTTAAAAACTCCACCATGACCATTTCCTAATATTATTCCTATTTTATACTGACAACATTCTTAGCACATTACTTTTAAAAGCAGAAATAAATATATAGGTGTTTATGTTGTTTTGGTTTGTTTTTTTTTTTTTTTTTTTGAGACAGAGTCTCGTTCTGTGACCCAGGCTGGAGTGCAGTGGCATGATCTCAGCTCACTGCAACCTCCGCCTCCTTAGTTTAAGCCATTCTCTGCCTCAGCCTCCCAAGTAGCTGGGATTACAGGCGCATGCCACCATGCCTGGCTAATTTTTGTACTTTTAGTAGAGACAGGGTTTCACCATCTTGGCCATGAACTCCTGAACTCTTGATACATCCACCTCGGCCTCCCAAAGTGGTGGAATTACAAGCGTGAGCCACCGTGTCCGGCCTAGGTGTGTTTTTTAATTGGTGTTCATCCATACAGTCATTTTTGGATTATTAAATTAGAAGATTATGACATCTTAAATTGATATTTATTTCCTAAATCTCTTTGTTGGGTTAAGTCCATTCTGATATAAGAGAAGTGGAATGATGACTTAGCAGGTGGAACCATGCTAGTCTAAATCAAGTCAGGCCCGGTTGTGCTATCATTTTGGTAATTTGCAGAGCAACCGCAAATGATAAGAATTCCTAAGCTGCCAATAGATTATTGGCTCAAATGAATGCAGTTTCCATTTAGCTAAACTCTTTAAGAGGATAGTCATTAACATTTTGAAAACCTCCATCATTTGTTATTCCTGAAGTTAAAGGCTATAAACTGCAAACTGTAATACAATAAAATAAATTAAAAATCCTATATTAAAATAAAGGAAGAGTTTTCTTTTTTCTCAGTTGTTTTTAAGGCACTAGATACTGGGCAACAAAGCTAGCACTACAAGAAATTTTGAAAACATTGCTTCAAAGAACAGCTCTGTTATCTTATTGATAAACTGATATATTATTATTAAAACCATTTGCATTCAGTATTCAAATGTAACAGTTCTTTCAGAAAACTGGGAGATGCTTTAAGAATAATGCATTTTGTCCATCATTTACCTTCATCTGTCATTTAAACACTGACTTTTTTTTTTCGGGAAAAAAAAGAAACTTTTACCACTGTTTTCAACATGCTGTCAAGGACATCTTTATTGTCATTCGAGGACTTGTCTATGCAATTTCCCCCTCCCTGATAGGATAATATATTGACCTTCCTTATTCAGGCAGAATAAAGTAGGTTACGATGGTACTACCCACCTCCTACATAGAACTTCACTTTCTATCAGGAAAGAGACAAAAGAACCTTTGAGAATTAAAATCACTTCTACTTCATTTCCCCAGTGTTCCTTTCAGGTGGAATTTGGAAACTGAGGTTGAACAATAACTAAGGTCTAAAAATTTGCAAACTTGCTCTCAAAACCAACCCATTCATAAGTTGTCCTCTTCACTCATAAAAGAGAGAAAGCCAGAAAGTATTTTCTGAAATTTCAGAAACAGAACACATTCTTAAGAGATGCCCAGGAAAAGTGGCAGTTCCAATACGCCTCCTCTTTGATTCTTCTTTAAGTAAGAAAATACATACATTATGAATGCTATAAAGGCACAGTTTCTGGGAGCAGGTTTTAGGGGTTTTTGTGTTTTTGTTAAACTGATAAACTTGTGTCTTAATTGTTCAATTTAGGTTTTCAGAAAATTAAGAGTTAGAGCTTGCTCTCAAAACTACGAGCAAAGATCAAGGAATGTATAACAAATTGTTTACTCAGATAGATTAATGAATTTAATAAGAATGACTTCTAAAACATCAATAGAATCAAGGCCCCAAGGCTGAGATGTAGTTAGCCCAGCTCTGGGGACAAGTTTACGGACTGTCAATACAGTAAGATTATCACTCTTTAAAATTTAGTAACAATCTCACTGATGTCATTGAGACCACCTGTGCAAAAATTATGATAGTAAGAAAAATCTGACATAGGAAATTTGTGACAGTGAAAGAAATCTAACCTAACAGATTCCATCTGGCTTCTAATCTCCAAGCTGTCCTTGTTCATTCCTGGGTGTAGGCCAAGCTAACTCTGGGAAGAAGTCAGCTTAAAGTTTACCTTTGAGACAGAGATAATAACAGCCCCTCCTCAAAGCAAAACCCTCCTGGCCTAAGGGCCAGACCACCTCTATAAAGCTAACAATTGGCCACAAGATTAGAAATTCTTGTTTAGGAGTTATAACTGCCAGAGACCTCAAGATTCCTAAGCTCCCCAATTGCTCCTATACATAACATCACTGTTATAAAACCTAAGATTGATGTTTGAGGTGTTTTTCAGACCTTGTAGTCTGATGGAATAGCTAGAACCACCCAGACTGGTAATCTGGCGTAACTAGTTCTGCAATCTCACCCGGGAACAGAAGACAGCAAGACAAACCAGCTTTGACCCCATACAATTTCATCCTCAACCCAGTCAATCAGCATTTCCCATTCCCTAACCTCTCCCTGCCTGCCAAACTATCTTTAAAACACCCCAGCCTCTGAATTTTTTAGGAGGCTGGTTTTAGTAATAATAAAACTCCAGTCTCTCATTTAGCCTCCTTTACATGTAATAAAATCCTTCTCTATTGCAATTCCACTGTCCTGACAAATCAGCTCTATCTGGGCAGCTAGCAAGATGAAACTGTCATGTGGTTACATTATTGAAATCCTTAGTATTTTAACTTTTTTTTTGAGGGAAAATCTCACTTTGTCATCCAGCCTGGAGTGCAGATCATGGCTCACTGCAGCCTCAACTTCCCAGGCTCAAGTAATCCTCCCACCCCAGCCTCCTGAGTAGCTGAGACTACAAGGCATGTACCACCACGCTGCTAATTTATTTTTTGTAGAGACAGGTTCTCTTTGTGTTACCAAGGCTGATCTCGAGTTCCCATGAGCCACCAAGCCTGACCTTAAGTTAGCTTTTCAAGCAATTGCTTTTGCAGATGAGAATGGAAGATTCATTTGTATGAAACTATGAACAAGAATCATTAGTGAAATCTCCATGTCCATCATCCATGTATCCTTTATTATTTTTTCTCCAAAGTTATTGGCAAGTGTCATGTACTATCTTAGCCACTGAGAATATGTCACCAAAAAGGATACACTCCCTTCCCTCAAAGAAATTTACAGTTCAGGCCGGGCATGGTGGCTCATGCCTGTAATCTCAGCACATGGGGAGGTTGAGGCGGGTGGATCTCTTGAGCTCAGGGGTTCAAGATCAGCCTGGACAACATGGTGAAATCCTGTCTCTACACAAAATACAATAAATTAGCTGGGTGTGGTGGCATGCCATGCCTCTGTAGTCCCAGCTACTTGGGAGGCTGAGGTTGGAGGACCACTTCAGCCTGGGAGGTGGAGGTTGCAGTGAGTCGGGATCACACCACTGCACTCCAGCCTGGGTGGTGGAGTGAGACTCCATCTCAAAAAAAGTTCACAGTCCAATTAGCAAAACATTTGCAAAATAATATTGTGTTTTAAATAATATTTTTAAAGTATGCACAGCCTGCAAAGTGACACAAATGAATAACTTCTACTACAAAGAAGGAAAGGCAGAAGAGAATGTATGAAAAATATTTAAGCAGAGAACTATAGCAAAATTATCGAAAATGATGTCATTACTCTTACCTTGAATCTTTACCAAAAAACTGAGTATTACCATTACCTGTTAGAACTTCAGCTTAGAGACTCATTAACTTGCCTGAAGTTGCTTAGTGACTAGAAGTAGTATCAGATTTTGAATCCAAACTGTTCTGTCCCCAAATCCCATGCTCTTTATTTTTTATTGTTTTTAATTTATTTTAATAGTTTTGGGGGTATAGGTAGCTTTTGATTACATGGATAAGCTCTCTGGTGGTTATTTCTGAGATTCTGGTGCACCCATCACCCCCGCAGTGTACAAATGTACACAATATGTCATCTCACCTTTACTTCCCTCCCAACCTTCTCCTGCCATCCCCAAACTCCACTATATATATATATATATATTTTTTTTTTTTTTTTTTTTTTTTTTTTTTTTTTGAGACAGAGTCTCGCTCTGTCGCCCAAGCTAGAGTGCAGTGGTGCGATCTTGGCTCACCACAACCTCAGCCTCCCAGGTTCAAGCTATTGGTCAGGCTGGTCTCGAACTCCTGATCTCATGATCTGCCCACCTCAGCCCCCAAAGTGCTAGGATTACAGGCATAAGCCACTGCACCCGGCCTCCATTATATCATTCTTATGCCTTTGCAGCCTTATAGCTTAGCTCCCATGTGTAAGTGATGAGAACATACAATATTTGGTTTTCCATTCCCGAGTTACTTCCCTTAGAATAATGGCCTCTGGCTCCATCCAAGTTGCTGCAAAGGCCATTATTTCACTCAATTTTATGGCTGAGTAGTATTCCATGGCATATATATATATATCACATCACATTTTCTTTATCCACTCATTGGTTGATGGGCATTTAGGTTGGTTCCATATTTTTACAATTTTTAATTGTGCTGCTATAAACATACATATGCGTGTCTTTTTCATATAATGACTTCTTTTCCTTTGGGTAGATAGCCAGTAGTGGGATTGCTGGATTGAATTGTAGTTCTACTTTTAGTTCCTTAAGGAACCGCCATACTGTTTTACATACTGGTTGTACTAGTTTACATTCCCACCAACAGTGTAGAAGTGTTCCCTTTTCACCCCATGCTCTTCTATATAATACTGTTTGTAGCACACCTCCTTGTCAGCGTGTCTGCCATGGAGATTTTTCTCCTCTCCTCTACTAACTTGTTTTTACACCATTGTTATTCAAGACATTTCTTCCTGTTTTGGACACATTGTATTAACGTTCAATAAGCTGTAGAACCTTAGCGTTGGAAGAGATATTTGAAGCCATCTAACAATTTAACACCCAACAGAAAACAAACAAAGAAGAGAACAGAGATGTGACTTGAGCAAGATCCTAAAGCTAGTGAGTTGCAGAGTAGCTCCAGATCCACCTAGTCCAGCCATGTCCACTTACAGCTGAGCTGTCCCTTCTCTGAGTATCATAATGTCTGGTGCCTATCTCCAGTGGATAGTTTATTTTTAGGGAAAGAACTGGCTTTCTTCTTTTTTTTGCTTAAAAAAAAAAGTGCTAAGTATGTGGAGATAGGTAGCTTAGAGGGCAGGAGATGAAAGGCAACAACAAAATAAAGAACTCTATTTAGACTTAAGAAATGCAAAGGGTTTTGAGTATGAAAGAATGAGAAGAGAATCAAGAAATCAGAGCATTCAAGCTGGAGCCCCAAATTGTCAAGGCCAGAAGGCATTCTCAGAAGCATAATTGGCATTTTAATTTAGTTGTGTGGCTGCAAGTTGTATACTCTGTCTTCTTAAACTTTCAGAAAAACCTACCATGTATCCATCAATGTCTTGTAGAATGGAAATGAAAAGGAAAAAAATTACATTTCATTTCTGAATTTATTTTTGTCAAATAAAAAACAAATCCAGATTTAGCAGGAAAAGACTACATTCTAAAGGACATGGCAAGAAGGGAGTTTGGGGTTTCAAGGGGGACAATTACAATAGAGAGAACTCTCTGACCATCGAATCTGCAAGAATCTCTGGGATTAGGCAAAAAGATGTTTCCTATTTTATTTTTTTTTTTGAGACAGAGTTTTGCTCTGTCACTCAGGCTGGAGTGCAATGGCACGATCTTGGCTCACTGCAACCTCCACCTCCTGAGTTCCAGTGATTCTCCTGCCTCAGCCTCCCAAGTAGCTGGGACTACAGAAGTGTGCCACCACACCTGGCTAAGTTTTGTATTTTTAGTAGAGATGGGGTTTTGCCATGTTGGCCAGGATGTTCTCAAACTCCTGACCTCAGATGATCCTCCCACCTCAGCCTCCCAAAATGCTGGGATTACAGGCGTGAGCCACCACACCCCGCCAAAGAGTTTTCTTTTATAGCGAGAAATAAACAAGGCTAGAAAGAACCAGGTGTGGGGGAAGTGGTATGGAAGGGTAGCCTGGTGAACTAGTAGATCCAGGCATGTTTGACCATCAGGCCAGGCTACTCTTAGAAGGGGCTATAAGCTGGCTCAAACTGAGGGTGAGTCAATGTTCAGGGCCTGAGGGAAGGAGAGAAGCTTAACCAAAATTTGATAAACCAGTATTTTGTTCTGAGTGAGACAAGCAGTTCAGCTAACTATTTAGGAGGTGAAGAATGGAAATTTGAAAGACTGCATCTGGCCTTATCATAGGAAAACAGGGCAGACATCCTTGAATCTTATCTAAATCATTTGGGGAAGGGTAATTCTTTGCGGTAAGCCATTTTCTGAAACACAAAGCGTTTCAGAAACTACTCTTCTCCAGGAACGTAGGGATCAGGCAAGATTCAACACTGTCAACTTGGAGCAAGAAGGAAATAGCTGTGAGAAGTGACATGAGAGTCAGATAAGAGACCTGTGGAAGTAAGAATTGAAAGTCACCAAGATGATACCTGAAGCCTCCAGAAATGCACAGAAATCTTGTGCAAGCTTTGTGGAATAAACAGTCATGGCTGGTCCTATTCCATTATAATAATGAACATGTGTCTGCCTCCATGCGAACACTAGACTGTAAGCTCCTAGAGGACACATAGTTTGCCTTCTCTCTCTGTGTCCATTGCACCCGACATCAAACAAGTGACAAAAACCAAACCTGTGTTTCTAGTGCCCTGTCCCTTAATACATGTCATTATTATAGGGAAAGCACACAGGTTTTTTTTTAACCAAAGTAAAGCTGAACTTACTCTGTGGATGCATAAGACAGCCATGGGAAGGAGCACCCGAGACGACAAGCCCAGCACCGGGTAATGCAGGTAGAGGACGGGCGGGCACTGACTGCCTCTACTGTGGGAGAAGCAGGAAGAGCTGAGAACTAACAGGAGTCAGCAGTGGAGAAAAGGAGAGGAATTGCAAAAGCACCTGGTGTGAATAAGCCATGAATAAATTGAGACGTAAAAGTCAGGGACCCAGTTCTAGGACACAATGCATTTATTAACAATGGATAGGCATGGCTTATGTTTTTTAAGCTTGTTGTTAGTAGAACTGCTGAAGACTCACTTATATTATTGCTGGGATTTTAGTCAGTTAATTCTTTCCTTCCAAAGTACTGAGTAAAATAATTTTTAGTGATATGGTGTCAATCATTAATGAACAACAAGCTAAGTGGTCGACATCCAGGTGTTTGAGGAAACTCCACCGTTGCTTCCATCAACTCAATCAGATTTACACGGGCTGGTGTCCACCATTAGATATAGCCTGGCCACCTGGTCTTAAACACACATTTACCCACTTGGTGGAGATTTGTTGAAAAGACATGACAAAAAGAGCTTCACAGCATTAATACCCAGACACAAGAGTGAGTATGTTCTCACAAGGGGACTGTATTATGATTGGGGTATACTTTGCAGTGTTCAGTAAGCTCTAGTTAGTCTTTTAGAAGATAACACTAATGTGAATTCAAACCTCCTGTTGCCATTATCTAAGTCAAGGCACAGCTGGAAGCCCTCAAAGCCCGGACTAGTCTTTCTTATTCCATACTGTTTGCAGGAGGAGAGAAGAAGCGCAAAGGGATATTCTAATTTGAGAGGAAAGCCCACAAAGAAAATGTGATAAAACAGCAAAGGCTATATATAAGGTACAAAAAAATAAATAAAAGCAAGGGAAGAATTCATGCATTCAGAAAAACCAGGAGCAGAACAGAAGGTAGAGGAAGTACAGGAATAGAAGGAAGGGGAGAACAAAAATGCCAGAGCCACTTGGGCAATTTCTTTTTCCTGAAGCTTGTTATGGGGACAAAAGAATTCTCCATTACTTAGTTCATAATATGAAGACCTTGGAAAGGGACAAGAAAAGAGACTGGAACTAGCCTGGAGGGAGGGGGCTTATGAAATCTGTTTGAGAAAAGACTAGGCCCACACAAGAGTGCAGGGAGATCACATGCACCAGGAGGAGGCAGTAGTGGATCCATCTCCCTGCAGACAGTCTGCTCTGGAAGGAAGAGAAAGCCCTGAGGTACCAGCCCACACGTGTTCCAATGGTAGCACTGGGAGAGCAAGTAGAACTCACGGACATGTGGTCATGGTAAATTTTGTTGCCTATATCTAGAAACAGATGGGGACACAGGAAAAATAAGCAAAGTGGAAATGAAGCAATGGAAATTAAGTAGATTCCAACAAATAGAAATATGTCAAAAACGGGTCAGAGACAAGTGTACCAGCCAGGGAACAAACCATTTATTCCACATATGGTAGCTATATTGCTAACTGGTAGTTTTTAAAGTGTTACTATGGCTTTGGGGAACTAGGAGTCCTGATATTATTCTTAATTTCAAAAGATATTTTGTCTTGTGCCTGTGCTTTTGTTGGTGCCTCAGATCTCTGTTGGAAGCTGTAACAGCACAAATATAGTGTAAAGCAAAAATAAAATTCCAGGGTCTGTTTTCTGTAATGTGATGTTATATCAGAGTCAGGCCTTACCAACGGACTGAATGAAACCTCTTCTTGGCCACGGGGACCCAAAGAAACCTGAAAAACTAGTTCAGGCCATGATGGGAATGTGGGGTGGGACATGCCTCATTATACTCTCCTCCCTTTGGAGTTCAAGCACAGCTGACCAGTATTAACGTACTATAGAGATCCTAAGACTGGCAGAACAGACTGTTCATAGCAATAAGATACTAACTCCAACCTGACTCTGATGTAACATCACAAGACAGAAAATAGACCCTAAAAGGAAATCAAAGTATTTTACTCCAAAATATATTTCTTTGACATACTTTGAAATGGTTCTGCAAAGCTGTCTCTTGTTGGGGAAATTTGCATTCTGTAGAGAATCCCCTTTCCTTATTAGGTCTCTCTGGGGTCTGACACATTTGATAAGACACACTCACATCTATTCTCTTTGAAGCCAGCTACCTGGAGGCTTCATCTACATGACAAGACCCATGACTTCCACTATCCTGCCCCTTACCTTAACTAAAACTGACTTCAACTCTTCAGGGAGAGCATAACCCTTTCAATCAACTTCCAATCAGGAAATCTTTACATCCGTCTATGACCTGGAAGCTCCCACTTCCTGATGTCCCATCTTTCCAGGCTGAACCAATGTACACCTTACATGTATTGATTTATGTCTTTGCCTGTAACTTCTATCTCCCTAAAATGTATAAAATCAAGTTGTAACCCAACCACCTTGGTCTCCTGTTCTCAGAACTCCCTGAGGCTGTGTCATGGGTCATGATCCATAACCTTGGCAAAATAAACTTCTAAATTGATTGATACCTGTTTCAGATACTTTTTACTTTACAGTAGAAAACTTGAGCATTTTCAATCACAATGGTCAGTTATAAATTGCTCAAAAGTAAATATTTGAGAAGTTTTTTTTTCTTTTCTTACAAATATACTTTTAGATTAAGTAAATGGAATATGTGATTTGTGTTTGGAAC
Source organism: Homo sapiens (assembly GCF_000001405.40). NCBI lineage: Eukaryota > Metazoa > Chordata > Mammalia > Primates > Hominidae > Homo > Homo sapiens. The sequence goes on from NC_000012.12 coordinate 23,505,711, forward strand.
TTATTTAAAATACTTCATGATATCAACCTCATAAAATAAATGATGTGTTTTAAGAAGAACTATGTCAGAACACTACTTATAATTCTCTGTTAGAAATACTATCACTAGTATTATTCAATTTCACTCATGTCCCTGTGAAGAGACCACCAAACAGGCTTTGTGTGAGCAATAAAGCTTTTTAATCACCTGGGGGCAGGCAGGCTGAATCTGAAAAGAGAGTCAGCAAAGGGAGATAGGGGTGGGGCCATTTTATAAGATTTGGGTAGGTAAAGGGAAGTTACAGTCAAAGGGGGGTTGTTCTCTGGTGGGCAGGAGTGGGGGTCACAAGGTGCTCAGTGGGGGAGATTTTTGAGCCAGGATGAGCCAGGAGAAGGAATTTCACAAGCTAATGTCATCAGTTAAGGCAAGGACCGGCCATTTTCACTTCTTTTGTGGTGGAATGTTATCAGTTAAGGCAGGAACAGGCCATTTAAATATCACTTCTTTTGTGATTCTTCAGTTACTTCAGGCCCTCTGGATGTATACGTGCAGGTCACAGGGGATGCGATGGCTTAGCTTGGGCTCAGAGGCCTGACATTCCTGCCTTCTTATATTAATAAGAAAAATAACATAAAATAGTATTGAAATGTTGGGGCAGTGAAAAAAACTTTTTGGGGGGTGGCATGGAGAGATAATGGGCGATGTTTCTCAGGGCTGCTTTGAGCGGGATTAGGGGCAGCGTGGGAACCTAGAGTGGGAGAGATTAAGCTGAAGGAAGATTTTGTGGTAAGGGGTGATATTGTGGGGTTGTTAGAAGAAACATTTGTCGTGTAGAATTATTGGTGATGGCCTGGATATGGTTTTGTATGAACTGAAAAACTAAACAGAATAAGAGAAGGAGAAAAACAGGTATTAAAGGACTAAGAATTGGGAGGACCCAGGACATCTAATTAGAGAGTGCCTAAGGAGGTTCAGCATAGCCTTGCCAGCAAAGATTATTTATTTACTTTAAGAGGAAATTTATTTATTTACTTTAAGAAGGGTGGTTTGGGGATAGCACCAGGAGATATCAGCTGTGATGGCTTGGAGAAACAGTGTAAACTGGCAGTGTAAATAAGAGCAGGGCATTTATGAGTAGTTGAGAACGGTGGATAGGAGTATGACTAGACAGAAGATAGTAGGGATGACAAGTTTTTTGAGGCGCAGTCGAAGTTGGTCTGGTGTCTGGAATGAGACAGGGGCCTAATAAAAAGGAGCGCCTATACAGGAGCTTAAATGGGCTGTACCCTGTAGCATTCCGAGGACAGGCCTGAATTCTGAGAAGGGCAGGTGGTAAAAGTATTGTCCAGTCCTTTTTAAGTTGGGGGCTGAGCTTGATGAGGTGTGTTTTTCAAAGACCATTAGTTCACTGAATACTAAGACCCTGAGAAACTGCTTGGGTGATTTGACTAATAAAGGCCGGTCTGTTATAGGACTGTATAGAGGTGGGAAGGCCAAACCGAGGAATTATATCTGACAGAAGGGAAGAAATTACCGTGGTGGCCTTCTTAGACACTGTGGGAAAGGCCTCTACCTATCCAGTGAAAGTGTCTACCCAGACCAAGAGGTATTTTAGTTTCCTGACTCGGGGCATGTTGAGTAAAGCCAGTTTGCCAGTCCTAGGCAGGGGCAAATCCCTGAGCTTGATGTGTAGGGAAGGGAGGACGCCTGAATAATTCCTGAGGAGTAGTAGAATAGCAGATGGAACACTGAGAAGTTATTTCCTTGATAGATTTCCACGATGGAAAGGAAATGAGAGATTCTAAGAGGTGAGCTAGTGGCTTGTACTATAGCATAGCCTGCCTTTGCTTGTGTGTGGTGATTAGGCCTGGTGGAACTGCCATCAATAAACCAAGTGTGATCAGGGTGAGGAACAGGAAAGAAGGAAATATGGGGAAATGGGTGAATGTCAGGTGGATCAGAGAGATTCAGTCATGGGGGTCAGGTGTGGTATCAGGAATAATGTGGAAGGCCAGACTGAAGTCTGGGCCAGAAACAATGGTAATTGTGGGAGACTCAACAAAGAGTATGGCTGAAGGAGCCGGGGAGCAGAAAGTATATGTGTCAGGTGTGAGGAAGAAAATAGACTTTGGAAGTTATAAGAACTGTAGAAAGTGAGTTGAGCATAGTTTGTGATTTTAAGGGCCTCTAAAATTATTAGGGCGGTGGCAGCCACCACACTCAGACTTGAGGGCTAGGCAAAACAGTAAGGTCAAGTTGTTCACATAAAAAGGCTACAGGGCGCGGTCCCAGTTCTTGTGTAAGAATTCCGACTGCACAGCCCTGCACTTCTGCTGTGGGTAATGAAAAGGGTTGGGATGAGTCAGGGAGAGCTAGAGTGGGGGCAGTCTCTAAAGCTGTCTTCAAGGAACAGAAAGAGGAGTGGGGAAAGGATTTAGGATCTATGGGGTCAGCTAAGTTCCCTTTTGTGAGTTTATATAATGGTTTTGTTAGAATGGCAAAACCAGGTATCTAAAGTCAAACCATGCCTAGGAAGAAAAGGAGTTGTTGTTCTGTAGAAGGTGCTGGGGTTTGAGAGATCAGATGGACACGATTGGCAGGGAGAGCACGTGTGTCTTTATGAGAATTATTCCGAGATAGGTAACAGATGAGGAAGAACTTTGGGCTTGACTGAAGTAATTGGGGCTGTCTGTGAAGCCTTGTGGCAGTACAGCCCAGGTAATTTGCTGAGCCTAATGGGTGTCAGGGTCAGTCCAAGTGAAAGGGAAGAGAGGCTGGAATGAAGGGTGCAAAGGAATAGTAAAGAAAGCATGTTTGAGATCCAGAACAGAATAATGGGTTGTGGAGGGAGGTATTGAGGATAGGAGAGTATATGGGTTTGGCACCACGGGGTGGATAGGTGAAACAATTTGGTTGATAAGGCGCAGATCCTGAACTAACCTGTAAGCCTTGTCTGGTTTTAGAACAGGCAAAATGGGGGAATTGTAAGGGGAGTTTATAGGCTTTAAACTGCTGTAGCAGGCGAGTGGTAACAGACTTTAATCCTTTTAAAGCGTGCTGTGGGATGGGATATTGGCATTGAGCGGGGTAAGAGTGATTAGGTTTTAATGGGATGGTAAGGGGTGCATGATCGTTCACTAAGGAGGGAGTAGAGGTGTCCTATACTTGTGGGTTAAGGTGGGGAGATACAAGGGGAGGATGTGAAGGAGGCTTTGAACTGGGGGAAAAGGCAGCAATGAGGTGTGGCTGTAGCCCAGGAATAGTCAGGGAAGCAGATAATTTAGTTTAAGTGTCTCAGCCTAACAAGGGAACTGGGCAGGTGGGGATAACTAAAAAGGAGTGCTTAAAAGAGTATTGTCTAAGTTGGCACCAGGGTTGGGGAGTTTTAAGAGGTTTAGAAGCCTGGCCGTCAATACCCACAACAGTTATGGAGGCAAGGGAAACAGGCCCTTGAAAAGAAGGTAATGTGGAGTGGGTAGCCTCCGTATTGATTAAGAAGGGGACAGACTTACCCTCCACTGTGAGTTACCCAGAGCATTTGTGTTGGTCTTGTAGGCTTCCGAGGCAATCGAGTAGTGTCGGTCTTCAGCTGCTAAGCCGAGAAGATCTGGGAAGGAGTCAGTCAGACAGCCTTGGGCCAGAGTTCCAGGGGCTCTGAAAGTGGCTGCCAGGTCAGTTGAACAGTCCGATTTTCAGTGGGGTCCTGCACAGATGGGACACGGCTTAGAAGGAATCCTGGTCTGTGGGCATTCCTTGGCCCAGTGGCCAGATTTCCGGCACTTGTAGCAAGCTCCTGGGGGAGGAGGTTCTGGAGGAACCCCGGCAGCTGTGGTTCAGGCGTTTGGAGTTCTTGTGTGCTGGAGATATGGCTGGGGTTTGTCTCACGGTGGAGGCAAGGAATTGCAACTCAGAAATACATTGCTACTTGGCTGCCTCTACTTTATTAATTGTACACCTTGAAGGTGAGGTTAATTAAGTCTTGTTGTGGGGTTTGAGGGCTGGAATTTAATTTTTGGAGTTTTATTTAATGTCCGGAGCGGATTGGGTAATAAAATGTATATTGAGAATAAGACGGCCTTTTGACCTTTTAGGGTCTAGGGCTGTAAAGCGTCTCAGGGTTGCTGCCAAATGAGCCATGAACTGGGCTGGGTTTTTTATTTGATGAAAAAGAGCCTAAACGCTATATGATTTGGGATAAAGAAAAAGGAGCATTAACCTTGACTATGCCTTTAGCTCCAGCCACCTTTTTAAGAGGAAATTGCTGGGCAGGTGGGGGAGGGCTAGTTGTGGAAGGAAACTGTAAGCCGGACCGGGTGTGAGTAGGGGAGGTGATAAAAGGATTATAGGTTGGGGAGTGGAGGCTGAGGAAGAATTGGGACCTAGCTCGGCCTGGCGAGGAGCAGCCTGGGGAGGAGGGGAGAGGTCAGATGGGTCTGTAGAAAAGGAAGATTGGAAAGAGGAAAGTCTCAGCGACGCTTGGGGTTGGGACTGAGGGGACAGGCGGGAGGGAAAGAAGGAAGATTTGGGACAAGTTGCACTGTGAGCAGAGACTAGGGAGGGACCAAAGTGTAAAAGAATGCCTGGACGTCAGGCACCTCAGACTGTTAGCCCATTTTACGACAAGAGTTATTTAGATCTTGTAGGATGGAAAAATCAAAAGTGCCATTTTCTGGCTATTTGGAACAACTGTCAAGTTTGTGTTGGGGCCAAGCAGCATTGCAGAAGAAAATAAGGCATTTAGGTTTTAGGTCAGGTGTGAGTTGAAGAGGTATTAAGTCTTTGAGAACATAGGCTAAGGGAGAAGGAGGAATGGAGGGTGGAAGGTTGCCTATAGTGCAGGAGGCAAGTCCAGAGAAAAGAGAGGGTAGAGACACAGAGAGAAGGGGTTGGGGGGTTTTTGCCCTCCAGAAAAGCGGAGAAGTGGTAGAGATCATGGAGAGAAGGGGTTGGGGAGTCCTCATCCCCCAGAAAAGCGGTACTTGCCGCTAAGGGTGAAGGACCAGGGCAGGCGTCCCCGCATGGTCAGACACCTCTGAAACGTGGGTGAATAACCAGGCAGGTGTCCCCACATGATTAAACACCAAGGGAAGACTGTCTTCCTGAGTCCGTGACTGGAGCCAGAGTTTTGGGTTCACAGATAAAACGTGTCTCCTTTGTCTCTACCAGAAAAGGAAAGGGACTGAAATTAAGAGAAGGGAGAGATTGAAGTGTGGCGCCAAGATTGAAAGGAGAAAGAGGTTGAGGGATAGTAAGAGAGGTTGGAGAAGAGAGTAAAAAAAAGGCCACTTACCCGATTTAAAATTGGTGAGATGTTCCTTGGGCTGGTCGGTGTGAGGACCCGAGGTCGTAGGTGGATTTTTCTCATGGAACAAAGAGCAGGAGGATAGGGGATTGATCTCCCATGGGAGGTCCCCCAATCCCAGGGCACCAAATTTCACTCATGTCCATGTGAAGAGGCCACCAAACAGGCTTTGTGTGAGCAATAAAGCTTTTTAATGACCTGGGTGCAGGCGGGCTGAGTCTGAAAAGAGAGTCAGCAAAGGGAGATGGGGTGGGACAATTTTATAAGATTTGGGTGGGTAAAGGAAAATTACAATCAAAGGGGGGTTCTCTGGGCAGGAGTGGGGTTCACAAGGTACTCAGTGGGGGAGCTTTTTGAGCCAGGATGAGCCAGGAGAAGGAATTTCACAAGGTAATGTCATCAGTTAAGGCAAGGACCGGCCATTTTCACTTCTTTTGTGGTGGAATGTCATCAGTTAAGGCAGGAACAGGCCATTTAAATATCACTTCTTTTGTGATTTTTCAGTTACTTCAGGCCATCTGGATGTATACATGCAGGTCACAGGGGATGTGATGGCTTAGCTTGGGCTTAGAGGCCTGACATTCAATACTATATATGATTAATTTTAAGATGCACAATTTTTTTAGATTTGTAACATCTTTGGAATCAAGATGCATCTTGCAATCAATGTGACAAGAAATTATCATATTTTAGTTAAATTAGTGACTTTTTTTACTTTTTAAATGTCCGTGGATTAATAGTATGCTGTATAGAGGATGGCTGGAGTCTTAGGGTTAATGAAGATGTGTGTGTTGCTACTTCTTCCTGAATGTGCCTTTCAGTCAAATCTTTACCTGTGAATTACAGATTTTGCCTGTGAATAAGGAAAGGGCACCCTCATTTAATAAGCCACATAATTCTCCTCCAACATCTCATGTTCCATAAGCTTCATGCATACCACGGTTTTGCTCATTTCCTTGCTCACCTGGATTCCTTCTTCAACCTCCTTGTTCATCTCTCTTCAGTGAAACCAAAGATAGGGCCATATAATTCTGCAGCTTAAAAAACAATCATGCCCTAATAGTAGACTAGGGCTGGGGGTTGAGAGAAGTGAAGATTGGTTGCTAGTGGGTGCAGATGTCTTTCAGGTATGATAAAAATGCTACAAAATTGACTGTGGAGATGATAGCACAACTCTGTGAATATGATAAAAACTATTTAATGAAAACTTTAAATGGGTGAATTTCATGGTATGTGAATTATATCTCAATAAAGCTGTTATACATTTAGTCTTAAAAAGTTATTATTTCCTATCTCTTAATATTTTCTGGATAAAATACAGATTTTTTTATGATGTTCTTCTAAGAGAAGGAAATTAAAGTACTGGTTAAGAGCTCAGTGACTGGGGGTGGGGGAAGCAAGATGGCCAAATAAAAGCCTCCACTGATCATCCTCCCCACAGGAACACCAAATTTAACAACTGTCTACACAAAAAGCAATTTCAGAAGAACCAAAAGTCAGGTGAGCAATAACGGTACCTGGTTTTAACTTGATATCACCAAAAGAGGCATGAACTCATGTCCTTTGATTCTACAGTTGTATAGTTTCTAAAAACAATTTCCCAAGTATCTTTTCAGTCAGGTTCTAACGTGTGTTCCCAGCCTGGTCTCCTGACAGCTTCTTCCATATTATATGTACGAGGAGTCCACATCTCTGAAACTGCCATACATTTTCAGAAGCCCATGAGTCTGTTCACTTTGTTTCCACTTAGGGAAACACCGTGCCTGCATTCTCTATGTGACAAACTCAGATGTACCCATTAGGGCCCAACTCAAGTTTCACTTCTAGGAAATACTTCTTTGACATTTCTAACCATAATTAATAAACTCCTTCCTTTTGCTCCCATTTCCTACAACATGACTAAAATGATACTTAACAAATATCCAGAATTACAACTCAAATGCTTTCTTTCTGTGGAGAGATACTTATGTAAATATACAAAACAGCCAGGTGTAACAGCTGGGAGTGGTAGTAATGTTGCCTACTGGAGTAGGCGGGCCCAGCCTAAAGGCATTCTAAATTGGATTAAAAACAAAACAATGTGGCCGGGCATGGTGGCTCAGGCCTGCTGTAATCCCAACACATTGGGAGGCCACGGTGGGTGCATTACCTTAGGTCAGGAGTTCAAGACCAGCTTGGCCAACATGGTGAAACCTTGTCTCTACTAAAAATACAAAAATTAGCCAGGTGTGGTGCCGTCTGCCTGTAGTCCCAGCTACTCGGGAGGCTGAAGCAGGAGAATCGCTTGAACCCTGGAGGCAGAGGTTGTAGTGAGTCAAGATCATGCCACTGTACTCCAGCCTGGGTGACAGAGCAAGACTCTGTCTCAAAGAAAACCCCAAAAATACCCCCCAAAAATAAAACCCCAAAACAACAACAACAAAACAATGTGCTGGTGAAAAAAGCCACAGGACGGATTCAGATGGTAACCTCCCAGTTCACATCCTCAGTTCCATGACTTCCCTCTTTTTGTTAGACTAAGAACTTTTGTGAGTAGACAGTCTTTTATCTTCAATGCTTTACCCAACATCTGAAAAGCAGCCATTATTGAATGAATGAATGAATAATTAAAGCAATATGCCCTTCTTTTTATCAGAATCAAAACAATCTTGAAATTTGCTTCTAATTGAACCAGCCAAGAATCCTATGATTGAAGCAAAACAAGGTGGTGTAGTAGCTCAAAAGACAAACTCTTTTTGGGTGGATGCTTTCAGAGAGTTGCATAGCCCACCACTGACACTATGTGCTTTCATTCAGCCCACAGATATGTCAGTCATGCTTTAGTGAAAGAGACAGATGTGAAATAGTCAACATGAAAACTATTATCACAAATACCAATTTAATCTGGAAAAATATGGTGATTTTCTAAAAAGACTTACTAGAGTTCTCCAAAGTACCTGGTAAGGTACCTGAACCAGATAGGAAGAGCTCTCTGTCCTTCCTTCTATAGTCTGAGAAGTTCTGAGTTTATCTGTTTTACTTGTTCATGATGAAAAGAAAGGAGAAGAAAAGGAAAAGGAAAAAGTAGAAAAAGGAAAGTGAAATCTTCAAGCCAAGGAGAGACCTTAGAAGAAATCAACCTGCTGGCACCTTAATCTTGGACATCCAGCCTCCAGAACTGTAAAAAAAAAAAAATATAGCAGCCTAAACTGACTAATACAGCAACTATTGCAGCAAGTGAAAAACAATGAAAAAGCTCATCCATTTTTCAAATAGTCTTCAAAAAGTAAAGGGATAACTTTGAAACCTGGATTTAAATTTCAGTGCTTATGAAATAGACAGCATTGGCCCACTTCATTTTATCGTATTTATTCTCTTATTAACTAGAGAGACATAAGTTAAATTTGTCACTGATTATTCCTCTTTTAAATTCTTTTTCAATAATTTAAAAAATTAAGGAAAAAAAGAATTAGTTGACTGTTTCAGAGTCAATTTACAATCTGGTCCAATCTCCAAAGCAAGCCAAGAAGCTAATCTACATACAGTTTGCCTGCAATGAGTGACTCCATCTCTGCTTGAATAGATGATGACATTCTTCCTGCAGTTCCACGTTGGAGAGCTCTAAACTGATTGGATACCTGATTTCTTGCAAATTCCATTAATCAATCTCCGTTGTATACTCTGCAACAATAGAGAATGAGGCCATTCCACCTATTTTGTGACAGTCCTTAAAGTACCTAATGACATCTTTTATGGTTATTCCCCAGATCTTTCCACAGGCTACTTTTCTCTGATTTATTCTGCTGCTCCTCAGTTGACATATTTCTAGAACCCTCACCGTTCTTCCTATATATGTTCCTTGTTTTGTTTTCCCTTTCAAGTATGAAACTGCAAATGGAAGTTTCCCCCAGAATATTGTTACGATGTCCTTATATAAACAATTTAAAAATGGCTTTTAGTACACTAAAAATTACTATATAAATTTTAGAGAAATCATGATCATCACTGTATGCAATTATTTAATATAATCTGATAGTAATTTATAGAATAGGATATCCTAGCTTTATACCTTTTAGAGAAGATACAAAAAGAAATTTGGCATTTTTATTTTTAATCATTTCCTTCAGACATTTCTTCTTTTTGAGCTTTCATCTTTTTCCTTTCAACTCTTAAATTATGGTTAGTTCATGTATCATTTACATATATAACTTATAGTAGATATTTTTTGTTTTTCCTTGTGAAGATTCCCTGATGTTCTTAAGCTTTAATACTATACTCTCAAATCTATGGTTGTGGAGTATAAATTAGATTGTTTGCATATCAGAGTAATTTTGTTTTATTCTTAACCTCATTCAAGAAGACTCAGTTGTAAAAGAAAGTATCCTGGTGGATTGTGAAAATTTTACAAAATTTACAAAAGCGATTACCTAAACAATGTCTTAGGTAGCATCATTTTAAAATTCAATGAAAAGGCTGTAATTAAAAAAAATTGGTGATAATTTTTCCATAACCTTATCTATTCCTGGAAATTTAACTACTATCATCTTATGAGTGAAATCTTCCTAAAGTACTCTAAGTGACTATGGCTACCGTGCTAAATAATTGCTCAATAATAAATAAACAAATAATTGCTCAATAAATATTATCAATTCTATTACTTTTCAAAGAATCATTTTTTTTAAATTTTATTATTATTGTACTTTAAGTTTTAGGGTACACGTGCACAACGTGCAGGTTTGTTACATATGTATACATGTGCCATGTTGGTATGCTGTACCCATTAGCTCGTCATTTAGCATTAGGTATATCTCCTAATGTTATCCCTCCCCCCTCCCCCCACCCGACAACAGTCTCCAGTGTGTGATGTTTCCCTTCCTGTGTCCGTGTGTTCTCATTGTTCAATTCCCACCTATGAGTGAGAACATGCAGTGTTTGATTTTTTGTCCCTGCGATAGTTTGCTGAGAATGATGGTCTCCAGTTTCATCCATGTCCCTACAAAGGACATGAACTCATCCTTTTTTATGGCTGCATAGTATTCCATGGTGTATATGTGCCACATTTTCTTAATCCAGTCTATCGTTGTTGGACATTTAGGTTGGTTCCAAGTCTTTGCTATTGTGAATATTGCCGCAATAAATATACGTGTGCATGTGTCTTTATAGCAGCATGATTTATAATCCTTTGGGTATATACCCAGTAATGGGATGGCTGGGTCAAATGGTATTTCTAGTTCTAGATCCCTGAGGAATCGCCACACTGACTTCCACAATGGTTGAACTAGTTTACAGTCCCACCAACAGTGTAAAAGTGTTCCTATTTCTCCACATCCTCTCCAGCATGTGTTGTTTCCTGACTTTTTAATGATCACCATTCTAACTGGTGTGAGATGGTATCTCATTGTGGTTTTGATTTGCATTTCTCTGATGGCCAGTGATGATGAGCATTTTTTCGTGTGTTTTTTGGCTGCATAAATGTCTTCTTTTGAGAAGTGTCTGTTCATATCCTTCACCCACTTTTTGATGGGGTTGTTTGTTTTTTTCTTGTAAATTTGTGGGAGTTCATTGTAGATTCTGGATACTAGCCCCTTTGTCAGATGAGTAGGTTGCAAAAATTTTCTTCCATTTTGTAGGTTGCCTGTTCACTCTGATGGTAGTTCCTTTTGGTGTGCAGAAGCTCTTTAGTTTAATTAGATCCCATTTGTCAATTTTGGCTTTTGTTGCCATTGCTTTTGGTGTTTTAGACATGAAGTCCTTGCCCATGCCTATGTCCTGAATGGTATTGCCTAGGCTTTCTTCTAGGGTTTTTATGGTTTTAGGTCTAACATGTAAGTCTTTAATCCATCTTGAATTAATTTTTGTCTAAGGTGTAAGGAAGGGATCCAGTTTCAGCTTTCTACATAGGGCTAGCCAGTTTTCCCAGCACCATTTATTAAATAGGAAATCCTTTCCCCATTGCTTGTTTTTGTCAGGTTTGTCAAAGATCAGATAGTTGTAGATATGCGGCGTTATTTCTGAGGGCTCTGTTCTGTTCCATTGATCTATATCTCTGTTTTGGTACCAGTACCATGATGTTTTGGTTACTGTAGCCTTGTAGTATAGTTTGAAGTCAGGTAGCATGATGCCTCCAGCTTTGTTCTTTTGGCTTAGGATTGACTTGGCAATGCGGGCTCTTTTTTGGTTCCATATGAACTTTAAAGTAGTTTTTTCCAATTCTGTGAAGAAAGTCATTGGTAGTTGGATGGGGATGGCATTGAATCTATAAATTACCTTGGGCAGTATGGCCATTTTCACGATATTGATTCTTCCTATCCATGAGCATGGAATGTTCTTCCATTTGTTTGTATCCTCTTTTATTTCACTGGGCAGTGGTTTGTAGTTCTCCTTGAAGAGGTCCTTCATATCCCTTGTAAGTTGGATTCCTAGGTATTGTATTCTCTTTGTAGCAATTGTGAATGGGAGTTCACTCATGATTTGGCTCTCTGTTTGTCTGTTATTGGTGTATAAGAATGCTTGTGATTTTTGTACATTGATTTTGTATCCTGAGACTTTGCTGAAGTTGCTTATCAGCTTGAGGAGATTTTGGGCTGAGACAATGGGGTTTTCTAGATACACAGTCATGTCATCTGCAAACAGGGACAATTTGACTTCCTCTTTTCCTAATTGAATACCCTTTATTTCCTTCTCCTGCCTGATTGCTCTGACTAGAACTTCCAACACTACGTAGATAGGAGTGGTGAGAGAGGGCATCCCTGTCTTGTGCCAGTTTTCAAAGGGAATGCTTCCAGTTTTTGCCCATTCAGTATGATATTGGCTGTGGGTTTGTCATAGATAGCTCTTATTATTTTGAGATACGTCCCATCAATACCTAATTTGTCCAGAGTTTTTAGCATAAAGGGTTGTTGAATTTTGTCAAAGGCCTTTTCTGCATCTATTGAGATAATCATGTGGTTTTTGTCTTCGGTTCTGTTTACATGCTGGATTACATTTATTGATTTGCGTATGTTGAACCAGCCTTGCATCCCAGAAATGAAGCCCACTTGATCATGGTGGATAAGCTTTTTGATGTGCTGCTGGATTTGGTTTGCCAGTATTTTATTGAGGATTTTTGCATTGATGTTCATCAAGGATATTGGTCTAAAATTCTCTTTTTTTGTTGTGTCTCTGCCAGGCTTTGGTATCAGGATGATGCTGAACTCATAAAATGAGTTAGGGAGGATTCCCTCTTTTTCTATTGATTGGAATAATTTCAGAAGGAATGGTACCAGCTCCTCTTTGTACCTCTGGTAGAATACAGCTGTGAATTCATCTGGTCCTGGAGTTTTTTTGGTTGGTAAGCTATTGATTATTGCCTTAATTTCAGAGCCTGTTATTGGTCTATTCAGAGATTCAACTTCTTCCTGGTTTAGTCTTGGGAGGATGTATTTGTTGAGGAATTTACCCATTTCTTCTAGATTTTCTAGTTTATTTTCATAGAAGTGTTTATAGTATTCTCTGATGGTAGTTTGTATTTCTCTGGGATTGGTGGTGATACCCCGTTTATCATTTTTTATTGCAACTATTTGATTCTTCTCTCTTTTCTTCTTTATTAGTCTTGCTAGCAGTCTATCAATTTTGTTGATCTTTTCAAAAAACCAGCTCCTGGATTCATTAATTTTTTGAAGATATTTTTGTGTCTCTATTTCCTTCAGTTCTGCTCTGATCTTAGTTATTTCTTGCCTTCTGCTAGCTTTTGAATGTGTTTGCTCTTGCTTTTCTAGCTCTTTTAATTGTGATGTTAGGGTGTCTATTTTAGATCTTTCCTGCTTTCTCTTGTGGGCATTTAGTGCCATAAATTTCCCTCTACAGCCTGCTTTGAATGTGTCCCAGAGATTCTGGTATGTTGTGTCTTTGTTCTTGTTGGTTTCAAAGAGCATCTTTATTTCTGCCTTCATTTCATTATGTACCCAGTAGTCATTCAGGAGCAGGTTGTTCAGTTTCCATGTAGTTGAGCGGTTTTGAGTGAGTTTCTTAATCCTGAGTTCTAGTTTGATTGCACTGTGGTCTGAGAGACAGTTTGTTATAATTTCTGTTCTTTTACATTTGCTGAGGAGAGCTTTACTTCCAAGTATGTGGTCAATTTTGGAATAGGTGTGGTGTGGTGCTGAAAAGAATGTACATTCTGTTGATTTGGGGTGGAGAGTTCTGTAGTTGTCTATTAGGTCCACTTGGTGCAGAGCTGAGTTCTATTCCTGGGTATCCTTGTTAACTTTCTGTCTCGTTGATCTGTCTAATGTTGATAGTGGGGTGTTAAAGTCTCCCATTATTATTGTGTGGGAGTCTAAGTCTCTTTGTAGGTCACTAAGGACTTGCTTTATGAATCTGGGTTCTTCCGTATTGGGTGCATATATATTTAGGATAGTTAGCTCTTCTTGTTGAATTGATCCCTTTACCATTATCTAATGGCCTTCTTTGTCTCTTTTGATCTTTGTTGGTTTAAAGTCTGTTTTATCAGAGACAAGGATTGCAACCCCTGCCTTTTTTTGTTTTCCATTTGCTTGGTAGATTTTCCTCCATCCCTTTATTTTGAGCCTATGTGTGTGTCTGCATGTGAGATGGGTTTCCTGAATACAGCACACTGATGGGTCTTGACTCTTCATCCAGTTTGCCAGTCTGTGTCTTTTAATTGGAGCATTTAGCCCATTTACATTTAAAGTTAATATTTTTATGTGTGAATTTGATCCTGTCATTATGATGTTAACTGGTTATTTGTTCGATAGTTGATGCAGTTTCTTCCTAGCCTTGATGGTCTTTACAATTTGGTATGTTTTTGCAGTGGCTGGTACTGGTTGTTCCTTTCCATGTTTAGTGCTTCCTTCAGGAGCTCTTTTAGGGCAGGCCTGGTGGTGACAAAATCTCTCAGCATTTGCTTGTCTGTAAAGTATTTTATTTCTCCTTCACTTATGAAGCTTATTTTGGCTGGATATGAGATTCTGGGTTGAAAATTCTTTTCTTTAAGAATGTTGAATATTGGTCCCCACTCTCTTCTGGCTTCTAGAGTTTCTGCAGAGAGATCAGCTGTAAGTCTGATGGGCTTCCCTTTGTGGATAACCCAACCTTTCTCTCTGGCTGCCCTTAACATTTTTTCCTTCATTTCAACTTTGATGAATCTGACAATTATGTGTCTTGGAGTTGCTCTTCTCGAGGAGTATCTTTGTGGCATTCTCTGTATTTCCTGAATTTGAATTTTGGCCTGCCTTGCTAGATTGGGGAAATTCTCCTGGATAATATCCTGCAGAGTGTTTTCCAACTTGGTTCCATTCTCCCCGTCACTTTCATGTACACCAATCAGATGTAGATTTGGTCTTTTCACATAGTCCCATATTTCTTGGAGGCTTTGTTCGTTTCTTTTTATTCTTTTTTCTCTAAACTTCTCTTCTCACTTCATTGCATTCATTTTATCTTCCATCACTGATAGGCTTTCTTCCAGTTGATTGCATTGGCTATTGAGGCTTCTGAATTCATCACGTAGCTCTTGTGCCTTGGTTTTCAGCTCCATCAGGTCCTTTAAGGACTTCTCTGCATTGGTTATTCTAGTTATCCATTCGTCTAATTTTTTTTCAAAGCTTTTAACTTCTTTGCCATTAGTTTGAATTTCCTCCTGTAGCTCAGAGTAGTTTGATCGTCTGAAGCCTTCTTCTCTCAAATCATCAAAGTCATTCTCCATCCAGCTTTGTTCCGTTGCTGGTGAGGAGCTGCGTTCCTTTGGAGGAGGAGAGGCACTCTGATTTTTAGAGTTTCCAGTTCTTCTGCTCTGTTTTTTTCCCATCTTTGTTGTTTTATCTACCTTTGGTCTTTGATGATGGTGACGTACAGATGAGTTTTTGATTTGGATATCCTTTCTGTTTGTTAGTTTTCCTTCTAACAGAGAGGATCCTTAGCTGCAGGTCTGTTGGAGTTTGCTAGAGGTCCACTCCAGACCCTGTTTTCCTGGGTATCAGCAGCGGTAGCTGCAGAACAGTGGATATTGGTGAACCACAGATGCTGCTGCCTGATCGTTCCTCTGGAAGTTTTGTCTCAGAGGAGTACCTGGCCGTGTGAGGTGTCAGTCCGCCCCTATTGGGGGGTGCCTCCCAGTTAGGCTACTCAGGGGTCAGGGACCCACTTGAGGAGGCAGTCTGCCCATTCTCAGATCTCAAGCTGCATGCTGGGAGAACCACTAGTCTCTTCAAAGCTCAGTTGGAAATGCAGAAATCACCCATCTTCTGCATTGCTCACGCTGAGAGCTGTAGACTGGAGCTGTTCCTATTTGGCCATCTTGGTTCTTCCCCCTCAAAGAATCATTTTTATAGACTTGCTCCTTTGCTCCATCATTCGTTTTGTCTTTCAGTGATTTATGTCCTTATATTTATTATTGCTTTTTTTTCTAATTTCCTTAGGTTTTATTTATTATTCCCTCTAGCTTCTTGAAATGGAAACTTAAGTCATTTTTCTCATTTCCTCTTTTATAATTTACTTATTTAAGACCATGCACTTCCCTTAAGCACTGATTTAGATGCACTGCATGTTTTGATAGGTCTTATCTTCAAATTTTCTAATCATCATTTTGATTTTTTATTTATACTATTATTTAATATCCATGTAGTTGTAATTTTTAAAGTTATATATATTAGTTGTATTTTTTCATTCAATTCCAGTGCGGTCAGAGAATATACTATGAACAATTTCTTTTTTTTTTCTTCTATTTCTTTTTTTTTTATTACTATTATACTTTAAGTTTTAGGGTACATGTGCACAATGTGCAGGTTATTTACATATGTATACATGTGCCATGCTGGTGTGCTGCACCCATTAACTTGTCATTTAGCATTAGGTATATCTCCTAATGCTATCCCTCCTCCCTCCCCCCACCCCACAACAGTCACCAGAGTGTGATGATGAACAATTTCTTTATGGGGCAGACTCTTGTCAATTTTGGCATATGTTCCACAGGCACTTGAAAAGAATTTTGTTTTGTTTTGTTTTATTTTGAGACTGAGTTTTGCTCTTTTTGCCCAGGCTGGAGTGCAGTGGTGTGATCCCAGCTCAATGCAACCTCCACCTCTTGGGTTCAAGCGATTCTCCTGCTTCAGCCTCCTGAGTAGCTAGCTTGGGTACCCACCAGCACACTCAGCTAATTTGTCATATTTTTTAGTAAAGATGGGGTTTCACCATGTTAGCCAGGCTGGTCTCAAACTCCTGACCTCAGGTGATTGACCTGCCTTGGCCTCCCAACGTGCTGAGATTACAGGCATGAGCCACCACGCCTGGCCGGCACTTGAAAAGAATTTTAATTCTGTCATTGTTGTGATCTGCATTCCATATATGTCAAGCAGGTCATGTCTGTTAATTGTATCATTCAGATCTTCTATATCGTCACTAATTATCTTTCAGCTTGTTCTAGCAGCAATTGAATGAACTGTATTAAAGCCTTCTGTTATGCTGGTGGAGTTGTGTATATTTTTATTCACTTCTGTTGATTTTATTTGTTTTATGTCATTTGCAGTTTTAATATTTAGTATATGTAGACTTTTAAAATTCTCATATCTTCCTATTGGATTGAATATTTTATCATTGTGAAATACATTTATTTACCTTTGGTAATAATTCTATCTCCTATAGTCTGATATTACTGTAGGTACAGTAGCTTTTCTTCATTAATGTTTGCATAATATAGCTTCTTCCATGCTTTTACTTCCAATTATTTTGGTATGTGTGTGTGTGTGTGTGTGTGTGTGTGTGTATATATATATATATATATATATAAAATTTTTTTTTTCCTGATTTTTTGTAGAGGCAGGGTCTCACTATGTTTCCCAGACTTGTCTTTAACTGCTGGGCTCAAGTGATCCTCTCACCTTGGCCTCCCAAAATGTTGAGATTATAAGAATAAGCAACCACACGTGGCCCCTGGGTTCTGGGTTACATTTCTTGTGGTAGCATACAGTTTTGTTTTGTTTTGTTTTGTTTTAATTGTATTCACTCTGACAAGTTAGACTTCCTTTAGATTAAAATTTTTTTATTTCTTTTTTTCACTTCTGTGAATAAGTGAGTTGTACATTCTTTTTCACCATTCTGTTTTTTGATTAGAGATCACAGCATGCATCACTGAATTCCTGATATTGCTAGAAATTTAGAATCTTTTAAATCCATTTAACCTTTTTCTCTTTCCTTTATTATTGTCATGTATTTACTTCTACATTTATTTAAAAATTGAGAAGGCATTGTGTACAGATTCACCTCATTTATATTAACACACATATGTTACCATTTTCAGTTCTCTTTATTTATAGCTTCAGTTCCATTTTTCATGTAGAATCATTCCCTTCAGCTTGAAGAAATTTCTTTGGTATTTCTTTTAGTCAGATATGCTAGTGATGAATCCTCCAAGCTTATTTGTCTGAAAATATCTTTATTTCAACTTCATTGTGATAGAGTAGTTTTTGTTGTATTTAGAATACTAGTCAGACACATTTTCTTGTAGCACTATAAAATTGTGATTTCATTGTTTCTTGATTCAGTTGTTTCTGTTGAGAAATCAGCTGTCGATCTTATGGTCACTTTTCTGAAGATAACATATTCTTTTCCCTGGTTACTTTAAAAAATTTATCTTTATCTTTGGTTTCCAGTGGTTTCACTGTAATGTTATATGTGGGGTTTTTGTTTGTTTATACTGCTTGGATTACTTGAGCTTCTTGAATCTGTAGAATATCTTCGATCAGTTTTGAAAAATTCTCAACAATCACCAGTTAAAGTACTTCTTGTGATAAATATGTATATTTAAAAATTAAACTGTTTTACTTTTCACTAATCTCGTGCTTTTCCATTTCAATCTGATTATTTATAATTTCACCTTTTTATCTATTTTTATGATTTTCATCAATTTTCTTGTATATATTAGGTATAGTTGTGTTAAAGTCTTTATTTGCTAACATTGATATCAGTATCATTTGTATAACTACTTCTAATGTTTGCTTTTCCCTTGATTAATTTTTTAAAATATAAATACATAATTTATTTTTAAAAAATACAATACATCTTATATAAAATAAAATACCTTTTCAGGCATTTTTATGTATTTTTTAAAAAAATTGATTCCTAAGCATTTTATGTAAAATTAACTACAAAGAACCCATAGATTTAATCTTTCATCAGAGTGGAGTTTCTAACTACACATTCTTATCTAATAAGACTAGGGCAAATAGCTGATCACTTTAATCTTATCAGGGATTTAGCTGTGTTGAGGCTGATTGGCAATTTAGTAGTACTCAGGCTTCCTTTATTTTGTCTCAGGACATGATTTTCCCAAGATTTGCTTGTGAACATGGTATTTGTCTCCTTAACCATGAAAGACTACAGGGAATTCAGATCTGCTCTTCCAATGTTCCCAGCTCAACTCTCTAGTATCCTTACTCCTTCAAGATGAAATCTGGCAAATATCAAGAGCCAAACTAGTTGTATGCTTGAGGTGGGTCCTGTATTTCTGTTTTGTCTTTGTTTTTTAAGCAGTAAATCATTTCAGTCTTTCTTTTAGAAGCTTTGTCATACACTACCAGCAGAATTCCACAAAGCCCTACAACTTATCAAATATGTCATCAGTAAAACTAGTCTTGCATTTCAGGTCCTTAAGATTCCAATTTGTCACTTTAGAGCTACACAACTGCTTTGCTGGTTTGCTTTCTACCAGCAGTTGCCAAGGCTTTTATAGCAACACCCAGAATTTGCTTATGCCTTCACTAAATACAAATGGCTAGCAATCATCAGTTTCACTTTGGATGGATTCTTGCTTATCTGGAACTGTGGTTCATCTAGCTCTCATTTCTTCCAAAGCTTTTTAATGCTTTTAAGACACAATTTTTGTAATTTTCCAGCTTTTTCTAGTTCCTAGTACGAGGTTGGCCATTTGCCACCTACTACATACTATTTGGAAGCAGAAGTCTCAGTAAATATTAAAATGATTCTTGTTTTCATTTGGAATCCTGTATCACCTAGTTTCTGGTTCATTAATCATATCTTATATTGTTTTGTTGCTTAATGTGTGTTGGTCTTATTTCCTTGCATATTAGAAACTTTGAGGGAAGGATTATTGTTTTGTATTTTGTATAGACCTATCATTATACTACATATAGCATAACTAAAACTCAATTTGAAACACCTGATAGTTTAAAAAATCTAGTCTGGTGACATGCTATTCATCATAATCACAATTCTTCCAGTTTTATCCTTGTAAGTTCTTGTTTAATCATATATCCAGTTATCTATCTATATGTATACTAGCTCTCTCTGACCCCTTGCAAATTGTCTTTATTAAACTCTCCTCAAGGACTGATACACATATGTAAAACAAATCTACAGCTTTTGTATATCTATTTACCAAAAAAAGATGGGTATTTGAATTGTTTCTTATCCCTTAAATGTGAACTCCATCTGAGAATTTATGGCAATGAAAAGCTTATTTCTCATTATAAAGTTGCATGCTTCTTTCAATTAAGCAATACGAATTGTCTAATTCATGAACTTTCTTATTTACTCTAACTGCTATGAAAATAAGAGCTTGATTGGAGTTGTTCTCTTCAGTCAGTGTATATATACACACACTTACGTGTGTGTGTTATTGTATGTGCAGATATTTGTGTAAACACGTGTGCATGTATGTGTATATACACATATATATACATACACACATGTGTATGTTTGTCTAGTGTGTGGATTGCTGTATGATTCCTTATTTCTTACTGTTTATCTTTTTCCTCTTTATTTGTGCTGTGTTAACTGTGTACGTATTGTTAAGGCACATCAAATTTTGAAAATGGATAAATGAGCCTATGAATTGACATAAGCTAATACAATGACCTAAGGTACCAGTGACTCATCAACTTTGGCAAGAATTAGGCTTTTGATTGTCAGACAGACCAGGTTAGCAGCGTTCATGTAATATTTGCCAAATATTGAATCATTAAGACAAGAGAAAGACAAACCACAAAATCTCTTAGGGTTCTTTATTCTTACCACTCATTTTCCCTGACTTGCATTTTTTATTTATAAAAATGTCTAAATATCTTTCCATGATTCAAAGTGAGTTTTTATATGCCTAAAATTTGTGTGAAAAGTATAAAATTTAGAAAGCTTTCTTAGTTTGTTGACATGAATTTTGGGAATCTTGAAGTATTTGAAAAAATTAAGTGATCTTTTAAAGTTTTTACTATGACAATAAAAGACAAAGGTATATCTCCAGCAGAGGATTTGATAAGCAAGAGGTTAAGACATAAGTAACGTAATAGGCTATAGTATCAAAACTTGTAGATCTGTGGGATTAGTGGGTTAGGAGGAAATTGATAACTCTTTAATGAGTATAATCTAAAATTTTCTCTTTGAAATCTATAGTTAAACGCTATTGTTTCCAAATTGTATACCACCAGAAATTTCAATCCGTTTTCCAGATGTTAAAAAGTATCTGCCCAGGAGTTCGAGACCAGCCTGGCTGGTCCATCCCAGCTACCTGGGAGGCTGAGGCACAAGAATTGCTTGAACCCGGGAGGTGGAGACTGCAGTGAGCCTAAATCACACCACTGCACTCCAGCCTAGGCAACAGAGTGAGACTCTGTCTCAAAAAACAAAACAAAACAAAAAACCCCCAAAATCTTCCCATAGAAAACCAGGTTGTTAATTCTGCTCATGTATGCCTACCCAGTGGAAGACAATGTTGCTAGAAGGATCATTTCCAAATAAAAATGACAATTTGTGTAATTATTTGGGGTCTACTAGTGACTGATTATAGTCCCAAAAAGAAATTTAAGACTAAAGAAACTTAGGTTCATATAACCACAATTTTAAATTTGTACTCTACGTAATTGTAGGTATGAAATACAAGGCAAAAAGAATCCTTACTGAGGGCCAATGCTGGAGTAAGTTGAATACAGTCAGCCTTTGGTGTAAATAATTGTCTAAATATGTTCTATGGGTCCCCCTACCTTCTTGCAGGACCACATGAATTTAGAAAAAAGTTGTCACAGCAGTAATTTTTATAAACAAAAGACTTTATTTCAAATATATTTTACAGTTTGTGTGTAATTAGGATTGCTTTCCAGATTGTGAAATTTAAGAATAAATTGAACAAGCAATGTACAAAATAGTGGTGTTTACTTAGGCCTACTGAATTCCTACAATTGTTCTTGTAGCTTTTTTTTTTTCTTTTTAAATTGTATCAGTGGAGACATCAATGATAACACAAATTTTATCCTCTTGGTTATATTTTGAATAGCAAAAAAGTACCATTCCATTCCATATTTGTTTGCATCTTTAGAAACTGGCAATAAGGGGAGTAAAAGCTCATGTATCTGGACCTAATTGAAAAATAATATATTGTTAACAGAGCTGAACCAATTCATTCTTTGTGGTAAAAATAGTTTGCTAAGCAAATTGGTAGAATAACTAAAATTGTAGGACAGATGTTTAGCCTCCTTAAGAAAACATACTATTTTAGAGAACTTTTAGCAATACTATTGCATACACTTTACATACTAATTACAATGCTTACTTATAAAACAGGTCTTCTCAGCTAGCTATTAGATTGCTTTAGAAACTCAAGAAAATAGATTGGATTTTTTTCATAAATATTCTTTAAATCAGACATTGAACTAATTCATGCTTACCTTCACCTCCATTGTTATAACTGAGGTTTCAGTGATGATGTGAAGTTATAGAGATGACTTCAGAACTTTTAAATTTGGTAAGAATGACAGTATACCGATTTTAAAAACACATACGTGAACTTCAAACACCAGCAACTAAAATTAGCAAAATTGAGATTTTAAAAACAAGGTGTTTTCTTTTCACTATTGCCAGTATTGTTTTTGTTGTTCAAGGCATTGGCAATAGGAAAATAATCTATTATTATATTCTAGTCATAAATACTACATAAGAAACTAAAAAACCAAGAAAAGAATGTTTCCAAGTAAACTTTATTTGGTAGAAGAAAGAGGGTGGTGGTTGGGGCTTTCCACCTTGGTGAGCCAAGTTTCCTAAACAAGCAAGATTTTCCCCATCCACATAATACTTAGCATATCCTGGTAATGTTATTTCCCGGAGAAACGTAGGGTGAGATCATGACCATTGTAGCCATAGGTGGTCTATTATAAACACTGTACAGAATGTTTACTTCTCATCTTCTACAATGGATATTTTCCTTTCAAAGAACATCAATTTGTTTTGCAAATATTAAGTGGCTTGTAGTTTTCCATGTTTGTTATATTTTTAGTGTTCCACTTGCCTGGAGTCTCTGACGTCTACTGCTTTGCCATGACGGGCAACGTAAGACAGGTAAACAAGGAGTGGCAACCTGGTTCTGATGGACCAAATGCCCTCCAAACAATAGAGGGATTGGGAGCTCCTTAAAACCTCAAACCCTTGCCTACTTACTGACCCTGTTTCAAGGTTTTCTCAGAGGCCTAAAGAGAAAGTATGGTAGGTAATAGGAGCTGCAGAATTTGACATGCAAAGATAAGGTAGGCAGAGGAAGAGACAAATATCCCCACCTCCTGGTTGTTTTGGAACATCAGAGTATGCAGAATTATTTAGAGTTGTTAAATAGCAAAAGCTTTGTTCTATCCCCAGAGATTCTGATTCACTACACCTGGGGTTGGGCCCAGGAATCTACATTTTTCACTGCTGATTCTGAAGTAGGTGGTCCGTGGACCAGATTTTGTAAAATACTTCTGTTAAGGGATACAGTGGGCAGTGTTTCCAGAATAAACCCTTTTATATACTTGTATTCATTTGAACCAAATGTTACCTGACCCATTGTCTTGATACCTATTTAGAAAACCCACCCACCCAACCAACCAACCAACCAACCAACCAACCAGCAAACACCCTTAAATGAAACTATTACATATAGAACTATCAAGGTAGAAAAACATATTATGGTGGAAGAGACAAGCAAAAATGGCCATTGAAAGGAAAGGAGACTTCTTGTTTTTAACATTCACTAAAAAAGTTTAAGGTAGAACTGAGAGGCTAATGTTAAACAATTCAGAAATATCCATTATTCAAAATGAGATACCAGCGAGGTGAAAATTATTCATAGTTCTTAGTAATTTCATGATCTGAAATTTATAAATCTTCTATACAAACGAAAGGATAAAGCACAATTCTAAAGCATAGAAACCCCCCATCCCCCACCCAAGGATAGTGTCCAGCCAGGGAAAACAACAATATTAAAGGTGCTTTAGACTGTTGGGTTTTCAATTGTGTTGAATCAATTACATATAAGAACAGTATCTTTTGACAGTATGGTGAAGCTAGATCTGTCTGAGTGAAATGCATTATATCAAGTCCTGACTGTCTTTCTGGGAATGTCCACAGCTAAAAATTAAACCTTTAGTTCTTAAAGTCAACTTCAATAAGAGGGATTATTTATATTAAAAACAAAATTAAATTTCCATACTTTTGTTCTTTTCATAATAAAACTAATTACACCCTCATAACAATAATTGTGAAAAGAAACACAGTATAATAAGTAAAGAACACATTTGCTGTTTTTATTGGTGCCTTGCATGGCAGTAATACTGAAAAAGGAGAATGCAAAAAAATAAAATAAAATAAACAAAAAACAAAAACGAAAAACAGGTTGGTGGCAACCCACATCTTTTTTTTAAGAGCACATAAACTCCTGTTTTATTTTTATTGTGGCATGAATGATAACATAAAACCAAAAACATGAAAATATACAACTTATATTACACTATGTGTTATGAACAAAATATAAATCTATAACTCTATGTTATATTTACATAATTACTTATTATTTTATTAAATTTCAAGTGAGATGGTAGGTTGCACATACTTTGTTTTAAGCTCCAGGCATTTGATTGTCTCTTTTCTATTTTTTTTCCATTTTTACTTGTAAAATCCAAAATATTAGAAGGACTAAGAGCTTTAGAGCCAGTGGAGCTATATAAATACTGTTTTAGTGAACCAGTGACGGAAACACTGGGGAGGACAGGAATCAATCAATCAGTAGGAAACTCAACACATCGTCTTCAACCTGGGAAGTTGATAGTTATAGGATACTTTAAAATTAAATACTGTAAAAGCCTGGCTAAACCAACAGCTATGCCCTACAAGACAAAGGGATACCTGAACCACTTTAAGTGGCCTTCATAGTTTTCCTTGCAGACCCCGTAAGTTTTATTTTATTATTAATTTGATAGACAAATACCTTATAAACCTGTTTGTAAATATACAGTTGTTTATTACAATTCAACAATTTACCCATTAGAATGAGTGAAAGTGTAATTATTTTTTATGTTTTAAATGTGATATAAGAGGTTTCTTCTGGGAACAGTCACAGCTTCTGGATTAAGAAAATATCTGAAGTTGGACCAAAAAATGGTTAATTTTCTTTAAGTGAATTAAGGTAAAATTCTACTCCGGAAATCAAATCTATAAAATAGCTTCACCACAGAAAACTTTTTTATATTTGTTCTTTATAAGAGGATTTGGTTCTAACGATGATTATGTTCTTTGGGAGGGATTTTATACATGGTTAACTCTTAACTGCAGATGCCAAATGAACTTCACAAATGGACTTCACTAATTTAGGTATAAATGTGCTGAAGAATAGTTTTATATTTTATCCAATTGTGGTAAGTTAATCACTAACTTATTATTAGTAACTATAAATGAGTAACTTTATTTTCTCCGGTAATGTTCTCTTAGATTCATATGAAAACAGGACTATTTTTAGAGAAACGGACTACAACAACTATAAAAACCAGAATTCTGGCAAGATTATTTCTCAGTGTTGGGGCAAGTGTGTGTGTGTGTGTGTGTGCGCGCGCGCGCGCGCGCATGTGAGAGAGAGAGAGAAAGGGAAAGAGATAAAGTGTGAACAGATAGGTAAGAAAGCAGACAGGAAGGAGACTGTTTATGTTTTAGTTTGATCTTTTGATCTTACTCTCATTTTCTTTATCTTTTTTGGTCATTATGGGGCACAGAAAAAGAATACAGGGTTTTAGGATCCTTTACCAAAATTATAAATCAACCAATGCCAAAAAGGCAATGTAGTAACACAGTAAGTTGCTATTCATAGCACCTTTTATCAAGTGACTTCAAAGCACTTTCAACATTAATATAACTATTTTTGCTTTTGTTTTCTTTTGGGGAAAACTAGGGCAAAGAAAATTTGATGTCCAGTGAATTAACCGTCAGAACAAGAGAACAGAATGCAGCGGTATGAACTTGCTTTTTGTTTCGGTTCATGCACAGTTTAGTCTCGGACATAAACCTAACTAAAATCAAATTTTGAATTTCAGCAGTTAAAAGTCACCATTAACAATTTTGTTTTCCCCTTCAAATAAAACAAAATATAACAAAAAAAAGACCAAACACCAAAGTGTTGTCAATTCATCGGTAAGTGTGTTAGAATTGATTTCAGCCATGAATGCCTTCAATGGCATCTACCTGGAGCTAAAACAAAGTATTCTTGTAGCCCAAACTCATGAAATGAAAACAAAGCATCTTTCATAACATGGTGTAAAGTAAGTATCCAGCAAACGTGAGAGGTGAACCCACATAAATCGGAAGGAATTTGTTAACAAAGACAGAGAACAAATTTTTTAAAAATCTGTTTTCACATTGTACATAAAAATGATATAAAAACAAGTGTCTATTTTTTCCTTATCCAGAGTGCTTAAAAACAAAACAAACAAAAACAAAAAAAAATTGGCTCTAGATGACTGTGGCAATTAAATAACTAAAATGAGTGATGAGAGCATAAGTTAATTAAGATTGAACACGACCCTCCTATTAATTCACTCCTTTGTTTTAAACATCAGAACTGATATTGTTGGGGCCAAAATTCTTAAAAAAGAGAAAACTTACGGAAAGAGAAGTAAAATTGTGGGTAAATGTGTGTGTGTGTGTGTATATGTGTGTATATATATGTATATATATATATACATATACATACATATATGAGTTGGAGATGGAAATTTGTTTTAAATATCTAACAGCTTATTGGCTGCACTTCCAAATCAGAGCAGAATAAAATAGAAAGGGAGAAATAAAATAAATTATACATAACTTACTAATCTGGGAACAGCTGACCATTATTATTATTATTACTATTATTATTATTATTTTATCATCATCATCATTACAACACTAGCAAAAAGAGGCAGTTCAAATGTAAATAAAGTCATCAAAAACAAACAAACAGAAAAACAAACAAAATGAAATCTCTGACATGCAGGATATGATCAGCTCCTCCAAGCAAAACCCCAGAGCAAGTCTTCTGAGAGAGAGAAAAATAAAAGGGATTCTTTTTTTATTTATATGTAAAAATCCAACTTTAGGGTGGTGTTTCGGGGGGTGAGATAGGAAAATGATGACTGGAGTGAAAACTATAGCACATCAAGCTACTAGTTGCAGTATTTACTATCTATCTGATACTTCAATACAAATAATGGCAATTGACTTGAAATGATTTTGCATTTATTTGTACAGGCCCTACAACTGCCTTGGCATTTGGCTGGCAAAATCTACATAAGCAGTCCCATCACATTCAGTTGTTGCTCTTTGCAAATACTCTGCTTGAACCAAAGTTGGACTTCAGTGGATTAATCTGACAGCAAGGGAAGAGCAGTGGCAAGGATCCCTGGGTGCAGCCAGGCTCCATTTTATTGGGCTGCAATGACTTTTAATTAAATCCTACTTTTTATGGCATGAACTACATATGGCCCACACTTCTGAAATGCTAAAGGCCTCCACCTCACTTCATGGAGGGGTGAAAAATACCTTATAAAATCATCAGTTTCATTTCCTGATCGGGAAAGGATGGAATGTTGAAGAAATAAGCTAATTCTATTTGTCTGAAAAAATGGCCAAATATATTCAATGAAAACAATGATTGTTTTGCTCAAAATATCAACAGGAAAAACAAAAATCACTAAGTAGCAAACGTTAATGGAACCAACTGACCAGGGAGAAAGGACATCTGGGAGCAGTTTGCTAGTAGCTTCCATGTTATACATGCACACCTCTATTACACAGGGCCACCTGATCCATCCAATAATAATCAGACATTTAAAAATATAATTTCTGAGCCCTATACTTGGTTAAGTTGTCATTTGAAGTGCAAAGTCAAGGTCAAGATTATTTCTAGACCAGTCACTTGGGAGGATGTGGGATTTCATCCCCAGATGTGGGTTTAACTCACAATGGTCCAACGTTATTCCTATTATTAGTACCATAATCACATACATACATACACACAAAAATCCAAGATCAGAAAATATTTTTCTCTAAATTTCTTATGTCTCTCTCTCTCTCTCTCTTTTCACCTGAGAACAGCACCTACAGTTTCCATTAAAAAAAAAAGTCAAATCTCACCAGCTGCTGGTATTTCAGGTTTTTCAAGGGATTGTCTAAGATTTAACACTGTCCTAACTTAAGAAGGAAAAGGAAAAAGTAAAGAGAAAAAATGAACTTGGTCAACACTTCAGTACAAATTTGGCACTTGCTCAAAGATGTAGTGTGGTGTGCAATAGATAAAGTCCTCTAAAGAAAATAATTGCTTATTTTGTGGTGGATAGCAAGGAAGTTAAAAACAGGCTCTTTTTCCCTCTTTCCCCTCATGCACAGACTTCCATCTTTAAAGTAGAGAGATGGAGAAGGTGGAGAGAAGTAAAGAGAAATTCATTTTTCTTTTTTTTCTGTCAGGTGCATTACAAAGAAAAAAAATGAAAGGAAAGAAAAAGAAAAGGAAAAAACCCAGAAACCCCAAAAAACAAAACAAAACTTTTTTCTTTTTAAAAATTGTAGCACAAAACAACAAAACACATTCACAAGCCACTTGTTGGCACTGTGTACCTGAGTGAGAATTTCTAGAACATTGTAGAACAAACAGCCATAAAGTTTATTTAAAAAAAAAAAAAAGTTGACGGGTAAGACTTCAGTGCTTGGATGTAGCAGCTGAATTACTGGCATTATTTTACCCATAGCTTATTTCAATCTCTTGTTGTTGATATTGTTGTTTGCTTGTTGTATTTGTTTTTTCTTTCCAAGCCTTTTGAGGCTGAGGTCTATTAGTCAGCTGATGTCCCAACTATTTAAGACTAACAGTTAAAGTAACAGTCAGTGTATGAGAAAGTTAATGTGCTTGGCCACTGGTAAGGATGAACCAGTTAGGGCTTCTTTAAGTCCTAAGGTCACAACAATCTTTTGACCCTTATCAGTTGGCTTGTCCTGCAATATGGTTTTCACTGTCACTCCCATAATCTACATCTGGATCATCCTCTTCCTCGTCGTACTCATCATAAATTTCTCCATTGATGTCCTCGGCCTGTATCTCTTCTTTGATATGTGGCTCCTCTCCTTTCACACCGTAAGTGCTCTGGATAACAGGCATCCCAGGCTCTGGGCTGCTAGACACGCTTGAGTGCTCCGAGGGCAGGTGAGGGGAGGGCATCCCAGCCATGGCGATGGCTCCAGGGTACACAACACCAGCAGTGGCAATGGGGATCTGTGCTTGTTGCCTGTCAAGAAAGGAATTTCCAAAAAGACATCGTGGGTAAGTGAATAGTTAGATGTGGACTTTACTACATAATTAATTTGCTCAGCAATGTCCAATTCTAAGGTACTAATTTTATCTAATTGCCTAACATTTTTCAAACTCCATCCTACTTGAACTTTAATACCTTGTTTTTCTTTTCTTTTCTTTTTTTTTTTTTTTTTTTGAGATGACGTAGTTTCGCTCCTGTTGCCTAGGCTGCAGTGCAATGGCGTGATCTTGCCTCACTGCAACCTCCCCCTCCAGGGTTCAAGCGATTCTCCTGCCTCAGCCCCCCAAGTAGCTGGGAATACAGGCGCCTGCCACCACACCTGGCTAGCTTTTGTATTTTTAGTACAGACGGGGTTTCACCATGTTGGCCAGGCTGGTCTTGAACTCCTGACCTCAGGTGATCCACCTGCCTCGGCCTCCCAAAGTGTTGGGATTACAGGCGTGAGCCACCGCACCAGGCCTAATACCTTATGTTTAGGTAGTGCTTTATAGAGTACAAGATATTGACATGTGTTGTCCATCTTATTCTTAATCCTGTTTGTTACTACTGTTTTATTAAAAAACTGAGGTGCAGAAAGATGAAGCAGAAGAACCCAGGTCCTTGATTCCAAGTTCATTTTTCTTTCATTATAACATGCAGAAATAGTATTTTTCCCTAGAATTAAATCTAAAGATAATTAAATTTTAATGGGAAAATCCTAAAGCATTAGAGTTCTCAAAATAAAACTTTACTGCCCAGAACACACCAGAACTGAACAAATTCACACTGTCCACTGAGTCTCTGAAACAGTTCTGGCCTCGTAGTGGTAGGAAGCAGGAGCAGCTTCATGGATGTACAAACTGTGCAACTGCACTAAGGTCCCATACTTGGTTTAAAGTTGTGCTGCCACAGACTTGAAATTCTTAATAACTTTTTAACAAGAGACCCTGTCTCCTCATTTTTGCATCTGGTCCTATAAATAATGTAGGTGGTCCTATTGGAAAGGATGAATAGATGATGTGCATTTATGCTTGTTTTTATTCATTCGTATGTTTACTATTTGCCCAAGAACTGTTGGGCATTGTGTTTAGCTTTGTGAGGAGTCATGTGCTTGCATATGAATCACAGACCACTGGACAGAGCATGCAGCCTCTTCCAAGGAACTGGAGGGGACAGAGCAGATTTGGAAAGGTTTTATGAGTCCTTCTCTGCCCATATTTAGAACAATATTTATTATTCTAAGAAGCTCTTAGAAACTAACTTCTGTTTCAAATATGAACAACTTTATTTTGGGTTTTTGAGAGAATTCTATAGAAGCAATGCATTTCTGTAGCCCATCTACAGCACTGTCAACAACCTTGCCACGGGAGCATTGTAAAACATCTCGGAGCTGCGTTCTCAATTCAGAATGAAACCTCCTGTTCCCAACCTTGTTACACCCTAAATATAATCCCTAGCTTGTGTGATCCACAAAGGCCACACATGTACCTTGATAGCTCACTAACCTCTCTATATTTAGAAATAAGTATTTTTGCTTTTGAAATGATTTTTATTTTGTATTGTCTCAACAAAGTTGTTAGTTTTAGAATTTATCATGGTGAAGCTTAGGAAGTAATGCAAACCAATGAAGAAAAGAACCAGTTATACTTCTAAGTTTTTAATAGAAAACTTCAAAATCATTTGCTTGTAGATATCTTGTTTTTAAACCAGTTGTTAACAAATCTCATGGTAGAGCTAGGAACTTGCAGTGGATTCATATGGACATATTTTTCAAGATCATGTGGGAGACTATTTGTCTCTGAAAATACTGTGAGCTCAGATTCTTTTTCAAAATGTCTTTTTGCAACTGAACAAATATGTTTCACATCCCATTAAGTATAACAGGAAGTTTGCCCCATGAGAAAAATGACTAAAAGGTACATACCCAACATTGAAGTACTGCCGCATTTCCTGCCGCCTGTTGCGCATGATTGCCTTGTATTCACCAATGCGCAGCTTTTTGCCATCCACCAGGCAGGTGCGCTTTGGCCTGGGCTTGTACTTATAGTCAGGGTACTTCTCCAGGTGCTGCTTGCTGAGACGGGCTTGCTCCTCATAATATGGCTGTTTCTCTAGGTTTGTCATAGCTTTCCAGCGAGATCCTATGAAGAAAGGAGGTTAGGATTCCAATTTGCACAGCTTCTAAGCATTCCAGAAAGTGATATGGCTGAGAACAAGAAAATCTAAAGTTGAGATGTTAGCCAAAACCCAGAAATACATAAACCTGTTTTTGATTAGTGAGATCCCACAAGAACAGAGGTGGTGGTGGTTTTGTACCTAAAGATATAAACACTGGGCAGTATTTTTTTTTTTCTGGTTTGCATTCTAGCCAAACTTTTGTATTATGTCCCTTAAAGCTCATAGATAATTTAATGGATACATTTCTCATTTCTACATTAGATCATGATATAATTCACATGTGAACAGAAAAGTTACATGATATGTTATCATGCATTTTGAATCTGAGACTAATTATCTAGTTATTGAATATTTTTATGTGGGAGATGTTTTTTACTACAAAAGTTCCCAACATATATCATGTAGTCTCATCCTCCCCAAAATGTTTAAGTATTTTAAGCTTACAGGAATGGTAGTAATTAAAAATTCCTTTGATTAAACATTTAATTATAATTAAAATTATAATATTAATAAACATGGAGTGGGTAACTACTATGTGCCAGACACTGTGCTGAAACCTTGACATACTGATGTCTTTTTCCTACCTTTCACCTCAATCTTATAAAAGAGACAGCATTTCTATCTATTTTCATAGATGAGAAAATTGAGATTCAAATAGATGGACTAACTTAGCCAGGGTCATAATTACTGAAGTACAGATCTGTGACTCAAACTCAGATTTGATATAACTTAAATTGTGCTATAATGTATGCCCTTTCCTACATATGGCCACCTACTATACAAAATATAGCAGAGGTCACAATTACTGTAAATGCGTATTACGATTTTCTCTTAATAAATCAATTTCAATAACATACAAAGACGTCACTTCCCATGATACAGTCTGCTTTAGTAATAATAACCCAAATTGTTTTCCCCCTTTCTTTTCACTATTAATTTTGGTGTGAATTTAGCTGGGATTAAAAAAGACAAGTTTGAAGCTTAAATAAAAATAGTTTATGCTAATTCACATTTTAGATATGGTTTAAAACTTGGATTCTGTCAGTATGGCTATGTGTAATAGAAGTGGTAATGTGTCCGGAATTGGTGGGTTCTTGATCTCACTGACTTCAAGAATGAAGCTGCGGACCCTCGCGGTGAGTGTTACAGTTCTCAAAGGCGGTGTGTCCGGAGTTTGTTCCTTCTGATGTTCGGATTGAGAGGTGACAGCGTGCTGGCAGCCCTCAGTAGTAATAGCGTTTTTTTTTTTTTAATAGTGATTTAAAAATCTATTTGCAGATGAAGTGTGTTTATCTGCAAATAGTCATCTCAACTCAACGCGAATGCACAAAGACCGATAAACTGGAACTAGGATATCCCTACCAAATGGCCTTATACCTGCCTTCAAATGTCATCTAAGTAAGATCTTAGAATCTTTCGAATGAGTTCATTACTCACCCGTAACTCCCTATCTTAAATGCAAATAGCTCACTGTTGAATAGTTCTTCCTTACACATGTAAAGAGTTCCTCAATATGGGCTGTTACATTTATTAAAGCATACAGTGAAAGAGGCAATATCTCTTCCCTTAGAAATGTTACCATTGGAAGAGATATTGTATTGCATAGGTATAAATATAGATTTTTCCAAATCTAGAAAGCCAATGTGAATTTATTCTATTTACAGTATAAACTCAGGTTACAGTGCAAATAATAGAGTTTCTTTTTCTATTCCTTTCGTAAACTTCTGTTTAAATAGCATCATCCAACATTAGGTTGGTTGGTCAAGCCATATCATTTGTAGGGACAATCTCAAACTCCTTGTTGGCCCAGCATTATTCTCTGAAGATACTTGAATACCATTATGTTATTCTCAGGGCCTATATAAACACAGATATGGTTATGATCCTATTGAACTAGAACAACCGTTTTCATTGAGTTTCTTCCAAGCATTTATACCAGTTTTTTGAACTTCAGATCAGGGAGTGGAAAGTGAGCTTACCATAAATAACTCACAAATAGGAATACACTGATAAATGGATCAAGGATGGTTGATCTAATATAAAATTTATTAGCTAGCTTTATCCCAAAATTCGAAAACGAAACCAGCATTTTCTTTTTTT
The DNA here is from genome assembly GCF_000001405.40 of Homo sapiens. Classification (NCBI taxonomy): domain Eukaryota; kingdom Metazoa; phylum Chordata; class Mammalia; order Primates; family Hominidae; genus Homo; species Homo sapiens. Next base: position 23,538,807 of record NC_000012.12, read on the forward strand.
TTTTTTTTTTTTGAGACAGAGTCTTGCTCTTTCGCCCAGGCTGGAATGCAGTGGTGTGATCTCGGCTCACTGCAAGCTCCACCTCCCGGATTCACGCCATTCTCCTGCCTCAGCCTCCCGAGTAGCTGGGACTACAGGCGCCCGCCACCACGCCCGGCTAGCTTTTTTTTTTGTATTTTTAGTGGAGATGGGGTTTCACCGTGTTAGCCAGGATGGTGTCAATCTCCTGATCTCGTGATCTGCCCGGTTCGGCCTCCCAAAGTGCCGGGATTACAGGTGTGAGCCACCACTCCTGGCCAAGCATTTTCAATTAGAAGGGGAATTGCCAAAGATTCTTCCCTAAGTTTAAATGATCTATACGCCAAAAGGCTTTGGCCTCTCAAAGGAAAGAAAATGTTTATGCTTAGAAGTAATCTGCCTTGGAATGCGAGAGCTGTTTGTTTGTATATTTCCTACTATGTACATAATGTTGCATTCATTCCTTAATAAATATATAGTAGTGAGTGAATACAGAAAGTTATAGTTCCTGTCTCTTTGCAGCTTATATTCAGTCAGGGAATATACATTAAATATCTAATTACAAAATTTATTATTTTCCTTATAGTTGTAGAAAGTACAGGAAGGTAAGAGAATATGATGAGGCAAGATCAATCCTCTGCAGGTCAGGAAGGCTTTGCTGTAGAAATGACTCCCGTGGGGCTCACAAAGAGAAGAGCATCCTATTGAGGAAGAATATAATAGTTGAGGTCTTTCGGTGGAAAGAGGAGTTAGACTAACTTAAAGAAAGCTGGTCTGGCTTAAAAAAAAAAAAAAAGAGGAAAAAAAGATGCGTGTATGTAAAGAAATGGGATAATAAAAGATGTGTAAATTCTCAGATAAGTTGGCTTCCAAATCTGGCATGAACGGGAATTATAAAATAGTTTAACTCTTGATAGTATAATTTCTTTGAGAGTATCACTGAATCCTAAATTACACTTTAAAATATGGCCATATAATAATTCCAAGTCTTTTCAAAACTAAGAATAAAGATAGGCTAAGTACTAACCGGGTCAAATGGCTGACTGACTACTATATTTTATGACAGTACAGGGCAGTGTTTCCATTTGGTGGTAAATCCAGTTTTCATTTTCAAAATAGTAACCTTGAATTAGCTTAACCAACTGACAAGTTTGGTTTTGATTTCAATGGCTTTGCAGGTACTATAACCATTGTATGCAGCTGAGGTGTTAACTAACCCCTGAAACATACTTGATGAGAATGGCAGGAAAATATTTTGGATAAACAACAATAAAAAAAAAAAAAGAGAGAAAAAATATCTACTTGATTTGGGGGTGGCTGGCTGCTTACTCTGGACTGATGTACAGGGAGTTTATTCATTCCCTGCTGCTTTCAAAAGGTTGTCGTTTTAGAATAAAAAAGCAGAGAAGGAGGGATAGCATTAGGAGATATACCTAACGCTAAATGACGAGTTAATGGGTACAGCACACCAGCATGGCACATGTATACATATGTAACTAACCTGCACATGGTGGACATGTACCCTAAAACTTAAAGTATAATAATAATAATAATAATAATAATAATAATAATAATAATAAAAAGCAGAGAAGGACAATTGGGTTTTCCTCCTGATGACAAAAGAGGAAGTTTCAATCAAAAGTATTTGATGCTCAAAATAGGGGAAAAAATAAGGTCCAACGATTATTCCTTTCCTTTCTAAATCTGGCAATACACTGAAAGTGAAGAGTTTGCGCTGGGCAACATTGTCATCTCCGTGGGGTCTGTAGTGAATTTGCACATTTTACTCCAACTAAACTACTGTATATCTAATCAGAAAAAGATGTCCCTCTTCCCCTGATCTAGCGCCAAGCAGTAAAAGGTGATTCCTTATGTTAACAATTTCAGCAGAATGGCTTATTAAAACCAGATTTTAGGGTATTATAAAATGCTTAGAAGCCCTTTAAAATGTCAACTACGATCCCCAGAGACTACGTAAAATGTCAACCCAGCTCAAGCGCCTGTTTTAAGCAGAATGAATTAGCGGCATGCTGTCGGAGGCTGTTATCCAAAACAATCAGCAAAGAGGAAAACATCAAGCTTTCTTTGTACTTTTGTATGAAATGGGTCATTTAGAATGATCTTGTGGATATTTGAAGATCACTTATTTATTTAAAGCTGTGACTAAATATTGAGCCCAAAATACCTCAATGTTTTATTTGTTCCTAAATATAAATGTTATATCTTTAAAGAATACATTTTCATCAGAAAGACTGAAATTAGGCAGTATTCTCTTTCATGTTGTCTATTATAATATAATCATATGGTCATTCTAATATTCTTTCCCTCAAATCAGAAGGGAATTCTCATAGCCAGTCATCTCTTTTCCATAGATACTTTTGCTACATTTCCTAAAATATCATTTCTTATCATCAAAACTGATATTTCTCTTATAGTTAAGATAGTTTTAATTAATGATTATCACCTTTTTGGTATTCAGACACAAGAATTGAATAATATAAAGACAGTTTTGAAATCTTAGTATTTAACTTGGTTTTTATTCTGACAATTTTGGATTTCTAATTTGGGAATAACTGATATATTAAAACATGAAATATGCTTACATAAAGTATTCTTTTCTAGAGTTTTCCCAAATGAAACTGGTATGTTGTTTTTTAAAGATAGGAAATTTCACATGGAAGGTAGAATATAGTCACAAAAAATATAGTCACAAAAGGGAAAAATAGATCAGAGCTGGTAGAGATGTAAAAAAATGTGTATTTCCTCTTGATCAGTTCAAGTTTTTGATTATGCATGATATATATTTTTACACACAGATTTTCATATTTTCTATGTATACTACTGAAAGCTTTGCATGTTCATGTCTTTTTAGATAACATTTAGGTGAAAAATGAGACACAATTTTAAGTGGCTAATGGTTTGTTTTGATCCCATTACAAATGCACCTTGTGGACTAGGTGGCATCTATTATCTTTGTTGAGAATATGGGATCATAAAAACATACGGCCGGGCGTGGTGGCTCATGCCTGTAATCCCAGCACTTTGGGAGGCCAAGGTGGGCGGATCACCTGAGGTCAGAACTTCGAGGCCAGCCTGGCCAAAATGGTGAAACCCTCTCTCTGCGAAAATACAAAAGTTAGTTGGGCATGGTGTCCCGCGCCTGTCATCCGAGCTACTCAGGAGGCTGAGGCAGAAGAATTGCTTGAACCCGGGAGGCGGAGGTTGCAGTGAGCCGAGATCACACCACTGCACTCCAGCCTGGGCGGTAAAGCGAGACTCCATCTGCAAAACAAAACCTCATGCATATGTTTGCCATTTATAGATGATCTGTAATGAATCAAAAGTGATACTATTTTTATAAACTCCGTGTAATTCCAAGTGCCTTACGAATTCTAATAAAACTTTAATAATTTTGACAAATTTTGTTACTTATTTGTTAAAACCAACATTTTCTGATAAAATGTTTCTATTCTATTTTTGTCACTTAACTCTTAGAAGTCACAGAGTGAATCATCAAAATTTTCTTAGGTTGTCTAGTATCTGGCCATCAGACAGTGATGAATGACAATGACAGTGATAATGATGTCAGATAAGGCACAAAAGCAATGGAATCTTCTTTTTTTCTTTTTCCCCCTGGGACCTGAACTGGTCTATAATAGGTATCTTTATAATCAGCACCCTTTCTCCCCAACCATTTTTCCTGTGTGCTACAGTCTCTGTGTGGGTAGAGTAAATGCGTACTTTGTTTTCTGTTCAATTGAATGTTGCAATGGCAGAAAAGTATTTAGTATGACTAAAAGTACCTTTAGTACTTAAGGTTACTAAAAGTATAAATGTAAAAATGTACACTCTACATCTTCTTGTGTTCTGAAAATCTAAAACTGATTTTCAATTATAGCACTGGAACAAACATCTTCCCCACCTCCACCCTCACCCCCACAACAAGATGAATTCCGCAAATAAAACTCCTTATCCTTCTGTTACAGAGGATGATGAGAGAGGAAGGAGGCCTTAAGATTAACAGTAAGTTGTCTATAGTATGCAAGGAAATGAATACAAATGATCAGTAGCAATATCTAGTGGCTCATGTGAAAGCAACTTTTTTCTCAGCTTTAGTAAAAATATTTCTAGATTTTTGAAGAAGATAAAGCATTAAAATAATTAGTATGAAGACAAACAGCTACATGAGCTATAGAAATATGGCATATTTCTCAATGGACATAGAATGCTTCATCACCAGAAGAAGCCTCAATGATGATGTTTATTTTCTGGATAAGCAAATAACACGACCTGTATGGCCTCCAAATCCAGGATCCTTCCACAACTGCAGAAAACAGAACAGTACCTTTATTCCATACGTCACTTAGTTCTTAATGGTTTTCTTACCCAATATCTTGCTGATGTTGGAGTTGTGCATGTCAGGAAAGGCTTGAAGGATCTTTCTCCGTTCATCTTTAGCCCACACCATGAAGGCATTCATTGGACGCTTTATGTGGGGTTCATTGCTACCACGCCCTCGGGATTCCCTATAAATTCTTGACTCTGAGACTCCAGCACTTCCTGAAAACAGGAAACATCACTTCGTGTTAGCGTTAAAACTTTTGTCAGCTCTTTTCCTTGCATTCCTATTTTTCAGTCTATTAAGATATCTGAAAAGAAAAAGTACTTCTGATAATGGTACTTCCAGTTCTTAAGACAGATGCTTGTTTATGAAGTTTTTCTGATAAGCCTTGTGGTGGCAAATGTTATATTTGTATTTTTAACCAATTTCTAATCTGTTTTCTCTTTCTTTCAATGGACTGTTTCACCATTTACTTTCAACAGCTCAAAATAAACTCCGATATGTGATTTTTGATGCAATTCGGAAAGAGGATAGTCAGATTAAATCAACAGGCATACCAGTAGTGTAGAAACATTAAATAGGTAAAGAAGCACAAATCAATTTGGCAGAATGGATGATTATAGGGGAGGATATATCTTTGCTACTTAAAGACTGTCTGAACATATAGTACCTTATGTTCTCTTTCTCTCTCCGAGGTTACAAAAATAAAAACACTGACCAAATTTTGAGGTTAAAAACAATATAGGTATTTCCCTGTAATATAATTGGCTTTTCTTTGAAATTATATGCTGACAAATGCATGACATATGCTGATACAGCAATGACAGGTCTGCCCCCCAAAATATATGTAAAACTGGTATGGAAAAGAACAAATGAACAGTTACATTCCTCTAGTTTCTTAAGGAGTCTACAGTCACATGTTTAAGATGAGAAAAATAATAATTTCCTTTGAATTTTCCCCCTAATATTTAAAGTTATCCAAAGAGTCCCATGGACAGTCACATTTCAATCAGTAAGATTCACAGATGATAAAACACAATTCAAGAGTTAACAACGATAGCTTTGGAAGCTGCATTCACTCCTCCAGCCTTATGTGACCCCTTAGAATGGCTTCAGCAGATTAAATTGCTTCCAAGATACTTGAGTTTAGGCAAAGAGAAAATAAGGAGAACCAGTAGAACTCTGACAGTAGGTTTTCACTGGGTATTATCACAAAATAAGTAGATGTATTTTGATAGTATCCAAAACTTTAAAAATACTTTGGGGACTTGTAGAGACTGTATTATCAACAAAAGCACTGCTTTTCTTTTCTTGCTTTGTATTCATTCCTCATCTTTTCTTTATTTTTAAATTTGGAGACACAGGAATCAAACAAAATTGCCCAAACTTGAAGACCTCTATAGCAGCACATTCAAAACATAGCATACCTGTTGGTGAAGTTTCTCAATATTTTTCATTAATAACATGCTCTTTGATTTAATGAAAAGTAGAAAATATTTCACATACAAGCATGATTGAATTTAGGTAATGACAGCAACAAAAACTTTGATGTGTTAATGCTGATTACTGTGGGTATATTTTATCATGCTAATACAACTTAAAATTTATGAAATGTGTTATTACCCGTAATTGTCTTTTATTGACAAAATAAGTGCAAATATATGGCAACATCTTCCTAAAATGGGTTTGTAACTAGCAAGTGATCATTTGCACATCTGCCTTTTCTTGTTCTTACACCTTACAGCAACATAAGCAATAAAATGAACATTATGTGTCTTCATCAAATCTAAACAAGCTCTTTAAATGTACATAGGCTAGGTTTATCTTAGCTAAGTGGAGCTGAAAATAGAAGAAAATGTTTGCAACATTAGACCCAGAAAAATGCAAATTGAATCCAATTGAGTAAAATTCAGTTTTGATAGAATTACGTGTTTCAACGTTCAGGTTTGTTTAGTCCCTTGATTAGTATAGACCTGGTCTTAAAAGTAGAATTGGCCCAAGGCACAGAGTAAACAGTTGTGTATATTGGAGGATTCAAGGGGACCCCCTCTCAAAGTATGCATCTCACTGGTTTGCCTTTGTGCACTCTTCTCTATATGCAGGGAACTTCCCTGTAGTAGTAACAAAGTTGAGGGCGGTACTGCCAAAGGAATGCTTAAAATGCATGGATGCCACCTGACAGTAGAGAGATGTTCCCGGTCAGGGTATTGTATAAGAAGAACAGCACTTCCTTCTTTTTCCCTCTTTGCTACGCTATTAAAAATCAGAGTATCAATTTAATTTCTTCTCACTGTGGATGTTTAGAATGTTCAGAGATGATACAGAAAACAGAAGTCTGAAGGCCTATGAGAAGGGAGCATAAAGCTGTGCAGCTGGTTTCTAGTTAGGTTATAGAGAGTGGGCCCGACACTTGACTATGTAGTACATAGCACTAGGGAGAAGGGTTCCAAAATGTAAGAAACTATCGTGGAAATGTCCTCTGAGCCATGTATTCTGGTGAGGGCTTGACAAATAGAAACTTAAAAAATGAGCCAATAGAAACAAATTTCTGAAAAAGTTCATTTTGGGTACAAGAAATAGGGAAGTGAGGCCGCATGCAGTAACTCACGCCTATAAAACTAGCACTTTGGGAGGCTGAGGTGGGAGGATCACTTGAGCCCAGGAGTTTGAGACCAGCCTGGACACCATAGTAAGTAAGTCCTCATCTCAAAAAAAAAAAACAAAATTGCTGGGCATGTTGGCATGCACCTATAATCCCAGCTACTTGGGAGGCTAAAGTGGGAGGATCACTTGAGCCTGGGAAGCTAAGCATTTTGAGCATTTGCTTTAGAATCATGCCATCTCGAATTTAATTCTTGCCTCTGACACTTAGAGCCCTGTGACCTGGGGAAAATGCTTCAAAACTCCTGAGGCTCAGGCTCTTTCTCTGCAATGGGACTTATCCTAGGTTGACTAGGAATTAAATGAGACGATTTCTGCAAAGCACTCAGCAGAGTGCTTGGCACATGGGGACTGCTCAGTATATGTGACCTCTTATTGTAATGATGAGGTATGAGGTGGCTGTCTAGTCTATTTTTTAGCAGTTTTAATTGGCACTACCTAGACACTTTCTTGCATTATTAGAATATGTATGAACAATTTTCACAAACCATCAGAATCTCCACTCAGATTGAAATCCATCATTGCATGGCTAAATTTTCCTTCTTCATTCTGTTTAACTGCCAGTTGCTGAGTCAGACTCTCCAGTGTTGTTTTTTCCTTTAAAAAAATTATAATGAGAGATCAGTCTAGGAATTAAAATTATTTGAAGACTTTCTTTTTTTGGGCCACATATATAATACATTAACTCCTGGAAAGGATGCAATGTTGATATATTCACCTTTTTACGTTCAGCACATTAACCTGAAGTCATTAAGGGGATGATCAGCACGATTTTTGAAGGAACTCTGATTCTCATAGACCCCTATAAAGTCTTGGCGTTTGGGTTTGGTATGCCTAAGGGATATATGCCGGGATCCTTGGAGACAACCTTCCCAAATTACAAAATGTGCACAGAAATTTCATGGAAGCAACCTGTTTTACATTTGGAATGTCTGCTTTATTTTTGGCCAGACAGTAGAAGTATAGGAGTGGCGTGAAGCCCAGAGAAAGTCTTCCAATAGTCAGGTGACCAAATAATAGAAACATAATTCACAGTAGTGCCCTCTGGTTGCCATCTTCCCAAATGCCATCTGCATTCCTCATGCAAGGGTAATGAAGACGTTTAAATATTCATTGCTAATTGCTTGTCAAGTCTCTGTACATCCAATGTGAGTGCCTGCTACTTGGACCACAATTTGATTTGGATTGCTAAGCCAAAATATTGAGTTGGCGAATTATTTGAGATACAAATATACCAAAATTAGATCTACAGAGACATCAAGTTGTTTAAGCATGCAGTGCACGATTCACATTCATGGAGAACATAGCATTTCAAAATAAATTATTTTTAAGAAAAATATAATGCTTAATCTAAACCATATGAGACATTACTGTCAAATTAAGAAACTGGGTGACTTTAGGAACAGAAAAAGCATATAATGAAACTTGATAACTTTCTCGTGAACTCTCCAGCACTGCTCTGAGGATGATGTAGTACCAAACAGCACCAAAACAGTTTTAAGAAATGCATCCATTGGATCTCATAACATTATCTCAAGTTTCTTTATAATTATTCACCTCATTTTCTGAGGAACATAGTCATGAATCATACTAGTGAACGACATACACTGCAGAACTGCTATTGACACAATAAAATGTTCACAGAAAGTAATCAATGATGTAAGATAATTGTATTACAGGTAAAGGGCCCAACTAATGTTCCCACCAAGAACTAATGAGATATTGAAATTCTTAACACAGTACATGCTTTATCTCAATGAAGTCTCTGACAATGTGACAACTGTACATACTAAATTAAAAAATCTCTTAAGTCAGTGGCCTTGGAACTCCTGTACTCTATTCATCAAATTATGTACATTATTTAATAGAAAACTATTTTTAAATTGTCAATCAGTATAAAATACAGTAGAGAAACTGGAGACAAAATAGTTTATATTAACTTTAGTTCTATAGAATTAAATAGTATTAAAGTTGAAATAAGTTACGCATTTAAAACTGTAGAATCTGACTCGATTTGTTTTGTGTGTGAAGTTGTTGTTTTCAGCTGCTTCATATGTTTTGGATGTCTTTTGCTGAGAGAGTCGGCTGTATATATTCAGCTGAGCTCAGGAGCATCAAGGACACCAGCTTAACAGACTTTCTTTACAGTAAATGTAGCTGTTAAAACAAAAGACAGTTACATTTGAAAACACACGCACACATACACACATTCCATCAACATGATCTGATAGTCCTCGGGTCAATGAAGACTTTACTGTACTCTCTTTGAGGAATGTACGGGGCTTGGATCACCTCTTAGCTTTTGATTTAACAGTATAGGGCAATAATACTACACATTTTCTAGAGAGTTTTCCATTCTGAAGCAAAGTCTTTCAAGAAGAAAAAGCAAAATTAATCAAAGTAGAAAAAGAACGACACGTTAAGTGACTTCCAAGGTTCTGAGTTCAGCTCTACAGATGCTGTGCTGTCTTACCAAGAGACTAAAATTAACAAATATGAGCAGGAAAGTCACACTCAGTTTTTACAATAAGTAACCTATAATTATCCACCACTAATGCACCCAATATTAATAAAATGATTCAGTTAGCTACCCAAAAGTAAAACTTACTATGCTTCTCAAGAGGACGTCAGTGGGACATAGTGGAAGTCAACACAGTAAGCTGTACTTTCTCGTAACCCTTTGTATAGTAATTTAAGCTAACAGACATGAGAACAGGCAAAAGGAAAGGTGATTGCAGGAAATGGAGAATGTGAGGTATGCCTTTAATTAAAACAGATTATAACAGCATGCAAATCAAAAGGATAACGTTGCCACATTTTTTTTAAAAAAAGTGTGGACAATAAATTCAGAAGAAAAAGAAACTGATGTGAGGAGACAATAACTTAAGTAAAAAATAATTGTCCTATAATTCCATATGACAACTGATCCTATAAAGCTGACACATAGTACTTATGTATAAAAGTAGATATAAATTTATATGTGGTTAGGTGTCTAGGTAATATATTGAACCACCAAAAGAATGAATGGGATTTAAGAATAGTTCTCAAAAGTTTAAATTCAATTGAATGGCATATAGGAGGGGAAAGACTCAGCCAAATGTTATAAAGCAGAAGTGCTGACACACTAGAAAAATCTCTCCTACTCTATCCTTTTAATCCCACCTGTCTCCAGCCATCCCCTCTCTGAAAGAGTTCACCTATGCACTATCATGTATAAAGCTCAACCATTTGAGGTTCTGTTCTGTGGGTTAAATATTTCCTTTTCTAAAAGTGTTTTTTCATAAGAGCAAATACTACTGGAAAAGGTAATATTTTGATTCTCAAATTTCTTATAAATAAATTACTCTTTTCTAAATAGAGGCAGATGGAACAAAACAAGGACAGTAGATTTCAGGTAAGCAGAGGGTTAAGTGGGAAGATGTTGAAAATGGGAAACACCAAAGAAACTGATTTTGGGAAAACAAATAAATGTTGATGGGCACAAGTGACAATTTTTTACCGATCTTATAATCTGATAAAAATCATGTTGGTGATATAGATCTTATAATCTGATAAAAATCACGGCTCTGATAAAAATCATGTTACTCAAGAGTTTCTGCAGAAAAATAGCATCCCATTCCCCCATTTAAAGGTCACCATTCTGGAACACAAATCCAGCACAGCACTTAGGAATGCTGATATGAAAATGACAAGATTGATTGGTCTTCTCTCCTTTACCTTCTTTTTACATTTTTATACATTTAAAGGAATACTCGCCAGAATTCTAAATGCGCTGAATGATGTCAGAATAGAGGGCAAAAAGAGATTAATTACAACAAAGTAGTCAACATGTAAAAGTCCTGGGGTATGGGCCAAACAAGATGACCTGTATGCTTTCTCTCTTGAATAAAAACTAGCAATGGGATAACAACTAGATTCCTTTGCAAAGATGAGTCTTATCTGCCTAATCACATCTTTACAACTCTGCAGGTTTGCTGAGATCAAGGAGAAACATTAGGTTAAGTCTGTTTAAAAACAGACTTGAAAAAATCTTCTGATTTTATGTTGACTTGAAACAAGATCGAAGTGAATTGTATCTCATCGACAGAAGACAGTTGTAGACCACATGGTTTCCTGGGTGCAAATGAGTAACTCCAAAATCTGACATACAGAAAACTATTATTAACGTATTAGTATTCACTTGGGGAACTTGGTAGCTGGTCTTGTGCTCTGTGACTTATCCAGAGACTTGCATAATGCAAAACAGCATGTGTACTGTTTGCACATAATCCCAGGCTATGGTGGGAATCTAAAAGGGGAGCCAAGAAATAGCTAAAGAGATATGGACACTTTGTTGATTGGAGGTGGTCAGTATCAATTCATACTTCTAAGCCAAAAACCATTCTGAATGGCGAAAGGCCACAGGGATTCATGGGAAGAGGACACTTTTGAGGTTAGAAAATAATGAGTTTTGGCATCAGGAATATCATATTTTAATCAAACTCTCTGCCGTATATATTAGCCATACTGCTTTAGACAAATATGTTATCCTCCTCGAGTCCCAGAATCCTAATTTGTAAAATGATAGTTAAACATGTGTTAGATTCTCATTAGTTTGAAAATTTTAAGATAGATATACTTTTAATATTATTTTTAAAATGTCAGTGGGGAAAATTGAAAAGACAGGGAATCTAACATGTGAGAATTACAGAAATAGTTAAATTTCAGTATTAAGTAGCCTGTTATGATTATAAACTCTATTCTGTATAACCAAATATGCACTAAAAAAGGGAATTTTAGTAACAACTCTAAATATTCTCAGAAATTTCCCCTCTTTGTCTATCATTTACAATATATTCAATCATTGTTTTTTATTTCAATTTCATACTCAGGCATGATGAGTTACAGTTCCAGACTGTAAGTCTAGTACATATTTAAACTGAAAAATTTTCCCTGCTCCATTATTTTGACTTAAAAAAAATAAAAAACAACTGAAAATTCACTATTTTTGCAAAGGTTCTAATAGGCATCCTATGTTGATATTTTACAGAGCAGTCAAAACAAAAGAACACACAAACTGTACTTTAGAGGTAGATATTTCCTTAGTTACCTAATCCTAAATTAAACAGTGCGTGAGTAGATAAGTCATCTATTACTCCCTGAAACTGGGATTCAGCTAAGTGATGAGCTTCGCTCTCCACCAGACACACATACACAAAGAGATAGGCTATGGATCAGCTATCATAATGGACATCCCTGAAATAAAGCTCACAAAGCTATAAAAGTCATAAAAAGCACATGCATGAAATGACAGAATAGAGTGTGACTGTCAAATGTTGACTCAGTAACAGTTAAACCTCTTCTGGCTGCACTTCTTTATGGTCTTCTACTATATTAACGACACGGGAAGAAAGAAACAAAAAACCCTCCAATTATGTGAACCTCACAGACCACCAAAGAAGATGAAAGATTACTTATAATGTCATAACGATTTATCAGTTGGAGATTTTTTTCATCAGCTTAAGTGTAAAGAAATAAGGCGCATGTCCACTCTTTAACCTCTCGTTTCACTCTTGCTTATTAATATCTCAATTTTTTTAGAAAATAATCATCTACCCACATAATATAACACCGAAAATGGGAGAAAAGGGTTTCTTGTAAGTTATGTATAAATGATATATAAACTATATGTGTGTGCACACACATACACACTCACACAAATACACACTTTCCTCTAACTCTAACAAAAGTACATGTTGAAGAGATCTGTCACTAATTTTACCTCCATCAAGTATGAATTTATCCGTGAGAATAGCCATAGACCCTTTGGTATTCTGGAATTTAATAATCCTTGAAGAAAATTTTTCTATTCATTTTCTCCATTGAGAATTATAGTGAGATATGAACTCAGGGGATGGAAAGGTCCATATACATCCTCTGGTCTAGGTATCCACAAAATCTGCCTTATCTAATACTGATTTTTTTTTTTCCCTTTCTGAATTCCCTCATGAATTGAAACCCATAATTTTGTTCCAGAATCTAATTTCCTTTTGTAAAATTTGGTAGCTTGCTTCATGAAAAGTTGCTTGTATAATTCTGACTCAACTTCTTAGTAGGTTAGTTTCATCAGGCAATCTGATCAAGTGAAATGTATTAACAGATCAAGTTTTCTTAAGAAGTACTACAAAGTCGAAGATGGTTCAGAAACACACAGTGTAGAAATTTGAGAGTTTTGGTCCAGGTGAATAACTTTTCAATATATGAAAATGACTTGATAATACTGATGAATCCTTATTAATGATTTTCAAAGAAGTGATTTTAAAATGGGAGGGATATTTCAAAACTGATGACAAATATCTAATTTTGATTTTTATGAAGAGAGAAATTTGAGGAAATATGACTTTAGCACTTAATGTATACTCCAGAAAAGATGGGGCTACCTATAAAGATTAGTTCAGAGCACTTGGTAGAGGTTGTGGTAATGACAGGAAGCTGGTATGGATTCACTAAACTAATGTTATAATGGCCTCATTTTCTTTTTTAATAGGTGTTGGAATGCAGACCGGGGAAACTCAATGATAATAATTGCTTGGACTTAACTTAGTTTAACTCAGTTTTTGAGCATCCTCCTATCCATTAAACCTTGTTGTCATAATGAAGAAATTACACAGGATCCTGAAAAAAAAAGGTTTGAGTAGAGTAGGAAGAAAAAATCAACAATCATTGTCTTTACATAAAATATCTTAAGAACCTCCATGTTTAAAAAGAATAAACAGCTGTTATTTGTGAAACAGAGATAGAGTTTGGCCATATGTAGTCAGGAGATAGAACACTGATCAAAGATTGTAAGTTATCAGGTGAAAGATAATGAACCAGTGAAGGAAGAGTGATCTAATAGTCAGAGCTGCCTATCCATTGAATGGGCTGTCTCAGGATGGAAGAAGTTTCCACCTTCCTAGAGATTTTCAAGTGGTGGACATACGACTACCTGCCTAGCATATTACAGATACTGAAGAAGCAATTCAAGGTTGAATGATAGGCCCTTTTCATTTTCTTTCAAACCTTCAATTCTATGATTTTATGTCCTACTTGACTGAACTCAATATAACAAAACTATTTTGACACATATCTCACAGAAAACAGGCTTTGATTCTTTTTAAACCTGGAGATGTGCAAGATATTTAAAGACAACTATCGCTGATATTTTCTTTCCACTCCACTGAAGTCTCTTTTTCAGGTTCTTGTGTAATTTGTCATATTTTTATACTTTCTCTATTCATAAAAGATAATTTTCTCAAAAATCATTAATAAGTTTCAACACTTAAAGCTATGGTTTTGTAATCAATAATTCCATAATTCTTTTCTTAAATTCAAGGAAGACATTTCAAATTATGAAAAAAACAAAAATCTGATTGCTTTTCAGACATATTTTGTGAAGAGACTGTCCAACAGTAATTACACTTACAAATTCAGGTACTTTGTTAAAGACACACTTACACGTCCCCATTCAACATTATGAATTTAGTCCTTAAAATAGAAAACCGCTGCCACAGGGAGGAAAAAAATCCCTATGGCCCGGATGTGTAATGTACAGAAAAGCTACTCAAAAGAATGTATAGAAAACAAACAATTCACCAAGAACTTTACACAGGAATACTATCACAGTAAAATATGGGCCCTTGCTTCTTTGTTATCATGGTGCTTATGGTGTGTACATGTGGAAGAAGGGAGGCAGGAGGGGAAAAAAACAAAACCTGGGATTTTAAATGTCTTTATATATGGTCAGGCTTCAGCCAATATCTAAAGAAAAGGTTGTGTTTCTTCCAAACCGTGGCAGACAGACATGTTATACATACTGAGTCAAATCAGAAGGGTTAATGTGAGAAAATCAGGAGGCCAACTAAGAAAAATAATACAATTTGCAACCTACACAGGATGTCCAGTTGGTGGGAGGGCTACACAAATGTAAACACAAAAGTGGAATGTTGTCTGATGATAATTATTCTATAAACAATGGGTAACTCAGTTACTGAGCTACAGAAACATATAGGATTACTTTCTTCAAATTTTCCTGTTCATGGAATAAAAGCTATAAAACTGGCAGGATTCTTACAAATGTAGCCTCAGTAGCCAGTAGTTACTTCAGTTAAATAAATATAATCTGACCATTTTAAAGAGTCATGGCTTGGTTCAGAAATGCTGGGTCTGACAATAGAAACAGGCACATCAGGGTTATAGTTCTCTTTTCAACTATCCATGGTAGTTTTAAATACAGAGAGAGAAAAATATATATTAGAATAGATATTTTAAATCTCCTTATAATGAATAGCTGAAACTTCGTCACTTGTTTTATCAGAGCTGCTAGGAGAAACAAAGTAACTAGGATTGAGTATATTGTTTTTGCTTTCTTGGTTCTTTCTCCAGTGATGGGGTTTGGTGCGCAGTGAAGACAGGAAGAACGAAGGAAGGAGCAAATACAGGAAAAATAAAGAATTGGAAAACAGATGTACAGATTGTGGAGATGGTGATTGCTTAAACAAAATTTTTTTGATCAAGTCTCAAAAATGTGCCAAGGGCTACACATGACCAATGCTGGGGCACAGGCGAATTGAACAGGAACTGCGTTACTTTCTGGAATTCCCTCTCCATATTCCGTTAGAAAAGAGACTGGGCTTTGAGCTGTAAGACTTCAATTTAAAGACTGATCTGCCACTTGAATTCCTCTATTCTTCTCAAATCTCAAGTTAAAAAATTGTTTTAAACAAAGAATACTGTTCTATTTACATTACAGAGTGAGAACAAAATATGAAGGGAAAGCCATGAGAAAATGTTAAGGTACAAAATAAATATCAATAGCTGTTATACTCCTATGACATAGGCATAAGCAAGTCTTTTTTATTGGTAAAAGAGGAGAAGAGATGTGATTGGAAAGATTCAATGAGACCCTTTAAATAAATGCGACATTCCTCCTATTTTCCTAATAATAGTTTTAAATCCATATTGGTAAAATAGCTTGCAATAAACATAATAAAGAATCTATCTACTAAATATAGAGAGTAACTGCAAAACAAACTTCTCCTTTATTATTTCAGTGTCTTCATTGTAAGTAAGTGTCTTGAGGGCAGCTGTTTGATCTTGAGGAGAAGAAGGAAAGAATCAAGGGGGAAAAGAAAGACCACTCTTTGATAGGCTAGGCTTTTATAAAGAGCAGTTCTGGCCCAACAACAAAAGTGAGTCTTACTTTACTTATTGAAAATTAGAAAATTCAGAAATGTGGAAATACATTTGAAAATTTACAACCCCATAACCTTGGCATAACTAAACTATTGTTGCCATTTTGTTGTATATTCTTTTAGTCTTTTATCTATGCATTATGGAAATAATATACTTAAAAAAATCAACATCATTCTATACATGGTGTTTTCAAACTTATCTTTTCAGAAGTACTATTGTGAGCATATCCTCGAATCCCTAAACAAATAGACAGTTTCAATCATCAGAGAGGCCTGTGGGTGTCTCTCTGAAAGCCCAATTTGGCATGCCCTATGAGTCTCATTTTATTGGACCATCCTACACTAACCCCTCTACCAGAATGATGTAAAGAACACAAGACTCTCTGTTTGAAAACATGCACAGCTTTTCTAGGCTAGAAAATTAAACCATAAAAAGTTTACTGGAAAAAAAAAAAACCTTTAAAAAGCTCCTTAAAAACTCACACCATAATTGCTCCCCACCAAGCGTGGGCACTTGCTAGCTGCAAGTAGTGGCACTGTGACAAATGTAGCAAAACTGAAAGCAGGCTATACTAAGAGAAAGAAAAAGTCTTCCACTGGCCATCTGTGAAAATAAGGCATGTGGCCATTAAATGCAGAGGCTGTAAATATACACAAACTCCATGAAGCAAATGGCAAAAAAGGACTAAACTTCAAGCTCAAACAAATCAAAATGTTTAATGCATAGTTACCACTGCTGGACGAAAACAGCTCTGATCTTTGCAGTCTGCAGACTCGGCATGTATTTCAATTAAATACCCCCAAAAAGAAAAGAAATAAAGAGAAAGAAATGAAAAGACACAGAAGAAAACCATCTAGAACAAAAGGCTATAGACAGCCTATACTCAATTTCTAAAAACAAACAGCCCCTTTAACTTGCATCAGCCTGTCGAGAATGTCGATTGGAATTATTGAAAGGCTGACATACAGAGTGATGGATGGTGATGACATAATACCTATTTGCCTTTTTGTCATGGTCTTTGAAAACTGGCTGCTCTGTGCTGATAATATTCACTAAGGGGTTTTCCTCTCCCCTCCTGTCCCATAAGAAGTGTTCCCTAGCTAAGATACTCAGAATTAAGAAGGTTTTATGAATGAAAAAACAAAAGAAAAGAAAACCTAAGGATCAAATGCCAACTTGCACATAAAAAGCTGGTCTAGATTTTCTAATAATCAGTTGCCTAGAAAGCCGTTTCCCTTTCATTTTATATAAATTTGCAGGGTAGAGAGACTCTGATAATAAGAAGGCAAATATTCAACTTCAGGTTTTGTGTATCTTTTAATTAAAGTCACCAAATAAATAATTACATGTAAATGTAGAGATTAAAAAATAATATACGCTCACTTTAAAACGAGAAAATATTAATCACTTGTGTTATTTTAATTTGTTCTTAGGCAAATTCTAACCAGAGGATTTAAAACATTGGGAACATTTTTTAAAAACACACACACCCCTAGTAAAATCTGCTTTACCACACTGTTGCAAAGGTCTATCTTATTTTCCTCCAGAAGGATTTACCTAACATGCCTACTTCCTTTATACAATTTTTCTCTAGCTATTGAAATATCTATTTCTAATTTGACTTTTATAATTCACTTTAGCTAAAGGCAACATTTATAAAACCCATCCGTAAATCATTAATGGAAGCAACTTCCACCGACTGGAGAGGCATGAGTTCCTTCATATTCACTTTTTTAAAGCAAAACCTGTAATTCACAATTCCTCACAGCCCTTCTCCTTATCTAAGGGAAGGAGCATGTGTTAGATAATGCTGAACTACATACACTGTGTCAGTTTCCGAAGAGTTAACACTGCTGGCCCCATCCATCAGATGGCCAGCGAAGCATCAGGAAAGAATGATGGATGTAAAATTATTACAGGGCTGCCATCCGATACACTTACTGCCATTTGTAACTAATGCTGGGAATGACACACTTTTTTTTATTATTAAACATCCACATTAAGTCAACATTGGTCACTGTCATTTCATGTTTGGCACTCTGTTAAAGGGAAAGAAAAGGGTTGGACAATGGCAGGAAAGAGGTGGTTGTAATGGACGAGTTTCCAAGTGCCAGACAAACAAAACTAACCTTTACTTACAATCAGCCTATATAGTCTGTGGTAAGGCTTCTTATGAATATGACTCAGAAAGGGTCAAAAATGAAACTACTGTCATTATTGAGTAAATTCTTAATTAAAATATACATGTTATTTACCAAATTTCCATCTTATTTGACAGAAAATTACAAAGAATTTTCACTAAAGCTCAGCAGAAAAAGGAAGACATTTTTCCAGCTATGATTTATAATGACAGATGAATTCATAGCATGCATTATATGTTTATATTCCAGGTACACTGTAGGCAATTAATGTTCAGTGAATAAATTCTCTGCCTTAAGAGATATATGCACACATATGCATGCTTATTTTTGTGAGTGACATCTGTTTTACATAAGAAAAGAAATACAGAAGTTGGTCTTAACATGTATACGGTGTGTATGTGAATATACGTTTATAGATTTAACCTGTTATCAAGCAACGTCTTCTTGTGCACATGCTTCTGTGTCATTCAATTCTTTGTGAACCCCAGACAAGGTATAAGAACCTGGACATGGGCCAGGCACATTGGCTCATGCCTGTCATCCCAGCGCTTTGGGAGGCCAAGGCGGGCGGATCATGAGGTCAGGAGATTGAGACCATCCTGGCGACCATGGTGAAACCTTGCCTCTACTGAAAATACAAAAAAATTAGCCAGGCGTTGTGGCACACGCCTGTAGTCCCAGCTACTAGCGAGGGTGAGGCAGAGGAATCGCTTGAACCCTGGAGGCGGAGCTTGCAGTGAGCCAGGATCGCGCCATTGCACTCCAGCCTGGGTGACAGAGCGAGACTCCGCCTCAAAAAAAAAAAAAAAAGACCCTGGACATGTAAGAGTGGAAGGGCAAAAGATAGATAGATGGTAACAATTATAAGACAAACAAAACAAACCAGTTTCATGAAGGAAATATTTGAGAGCTTTGATGTCATTTTTGTAATATGCCTGTGGCTGACAATCGCCTGTTCCTACCCAGTAGCCATTGCCCTTCTTTCCTTCCCAGCTAACATTACCTTTGATCTGAAGATATCCCCTGATCTCAGAGAAGACAGGATTAGCTCTCTAATTTAGTGGTAAAAAATAATTCATGATCAATTTAAAGTAGTCTCTTTTCCTTTGGCCAGTAATGGTCTTAAAGATGTTCATATAACCCAGTTCTAGCCAATGAGATGTTTGTGGAAGTCAGCTTGAGAAGAGGAATGAAATACCCCCGTATGAATGAAGACTGAAGTTAGCAAAGAGAAAATGACTTCTCCTTCCTGAATCTGCCTGCCTTCGTGGGGATGGGATAGCTGTAGGTGCAGCAACCATTTTGTGACCCAAAGGGAAAAGACAAGAGAATCACAGATTTCAACTCTGATATCAAGTTGATGAACTCATGCCACCAACCTCCTAGTCCTGAGCTTCAATTATGTGATAAAAATGAATCACTACTTTTTTATTTTTTTGAGACGGAGTTCCGCTTTTGTCGCCCAGGCTGGAGTGCAATGGCGTGATCCTGGCTCACCGCAACCTCTGCCTCCCAGGTTCAAGTGATTCTCCTGCCTCAGCCTCTTGAGTAGCTGGGATTACAGGCTTGCGCCACCACACCTGGCTAATTTTGTATTTTTTAGTAGAGACGGGGTTTCTCCGTATTGGTCAGGCTGGTCTCAAACTCCTGACCTCAGGTGATCCGCCTGCCTCAGCCTCCCAAAGTGCTGGGATGAGAGGTGTGAGCCACCGTGCCCGGCCATGAATCACTATCTAAGCTACTACATTCAGGTTTCCTGATACATGTAGCGAAACTCGTTCCTAACAGCTATGACAGTAAAGGCACAGTCTTCCCAGGTTAAGTATATATGGAGTGAGTGACACAAACGGAAAAGCTTCTGGTCTGTTTCTCATTTCGGCTGAGTGCACTGGGCCTCTATTGTATTAAGACTGTCTGGTGGGATCAGGACAACAAAAACTGAGCTTTTTATAATCTCTTATTAATATGGATACTTTCAAACACAAGCTCAAGAATCTGTACTTGACTCTATGAACAAAGTTGTGCCATCTGGGTGGTAATGAAGCAAAGTGTGTTTTTTACAAAACAAAATATGAGAGGCTTCTTTCTGTTCCTTCATACCTGAGAAGCTCACTTTTTCACCCACAACACTAATCTGTGACAAAGCTGTGTGGCAAAAGATAACATTATTTGAATATACAATCAGTCTACAATTAACCAGAGATGACAATTATAAATAACACTGTGTCCCAGAGTTTCCAAGAAACCTGACACATACAGTTCTTGGGTATGATGAAACACTTCCAGGAAAAGTAAAGAAGTTAAAAAAAAATCTCTTAGAAGTCTTCCATTAAAATGTGTTTCGGTAAAAATGACTTTCATGATGTGTTTTGGTACATATCACTGAGAAATCATCAGTCCCTATCTTCACACCTCTAATTGTTTTCACTGTCCAATTACAGCTTTTCAGAATTAAGACCTTCTAGCTGGGATAACCACGTGGCTGGCTATTTGAGATATGAAGAAAAGTTAATGTGTATAAGGCTGTGTACCCAAGAAAACAGATCTCCACCACAAGATTTCAATCATCTGGAGCTCAGGTCATGATATCTTTTATGTTGATGTAAAGCACCCGGCTGAACTTCTTTTCTTTTTTTCCTTTCTCCCAGTTCCTTTCCCTCTTTCTTTCTGCTTTATCTCTCTCACTCCTTACCTTACACATATTTTCTGGGTTTGGGGAGTTAGGAGTGTTATTATTATTATTATTTGAGATGGAGTCTTGCCCTGTCGCCCAGGCTGGAGTACAATGGCGTGATCTCGGCTCACTGCAACCTCCGCCTCCAGGTTCAAGCTATTCTCCTGCCTCAGCCTCCTGAGTAGCTGGGATTACAGGCGTGCACCACCACACCCGGGTAATTTTTTGTATCTTTAGTAGAGACAAGGTTTCACCACGTTGGCCAGGCTGGTCTCGAGCTCCTGACCTCGTGATCCCCCCGCCTCGGCCTCCCAAAGTGCTGGGATTACAGGCGTTTGAGTCACCGTGCCTGGCCGGGAGTATTACTTTAGACAGAAAAAAATGCCCTTCTTTTGGGATTCAAGTGATATAAGATAATAGTGCAAAATGTAAGAGGAATTTATCATATATTTTTTATGTCTTTCACTAAACTCTATGGCAAAATTTCAAACCAATTACTAATCCACATATTTATTGGCCATAGATAATATTGAGTGATTATAAAACTCTAATAAAAAGATAAGTATTAGAAAAATAACACTATATGCATAGATATGTGGTTTATATGAGAGAAAACATATCTACCTTTGTCAACTCAAGGATGTAACTGATTTGACATGCTAAGCAATATGGAGTCTTTATTCAATTCCTATAGGTGGGCTCACACACATAAATATGTAATGAGTAGCAGTCAGATAATAATTTGATCCAAACTGTAAGTTCTATAAAGGCAGAGCTCATATTTTCTGGTTTAATACAATACCTCCAGTACCTACCACCGTCTCTAATACATAGCATGTGCTAATGTTGAATAATTACTAATTAAAAGATGTAAGTGTGACATTATTATCTCATTTTCATGATGTACACAGACATAGATTGATCATTAATATTCTAGAAATGACACCCAAGTTATTTCAACAGGAAAAGTCAACCACAAACTAGAGTAATACCTGCTTCAAAGAGTTTCAATAATCTCAATTTCATTTTCAGGTGTCAGAGTAACATAAGGGATGAGATAATTCAGATCCGTTGATTGAGGTTTCCTTTTATATTACAAGAGTTTGCCATACTACTACAATGATGAAACTACTTCATTTTCATAATTTAAGTTTTTCACTTAAAAACTCCTAAATTATAAGACCATAGTTCAAGATGTAACTCAACTGCATTGAAAGTACATGATGAAGAGATTCAGGAATGATGATCATCTTGAGAACAGAGACATCTTAACTGTCCAACAGGTTTTGGAAGGTATTATTTCAAAAATGGATTTTTTTAAAGTTGTTATAACTGTACAAAAGAGAAAGGAAAATTGAAGCAGTAGCTATCAACGGAGGCAACTCTCACTCCTGCAACCCAAGTAGGAGGTGCTAATCAGAGAAATAAAGTATGACTGTGGAGATGGAACGAGAAGTGGCAATAAGGTCCCCTAACAATGGACAAGTATGGAATAAAGTGAATGCAGATGGTTCCACTCCTGTTACTTAATCAAAAGGCTGTGCAGAGTCACTGAAGCCAGCATAAAGTCATGTGTTAGAACAACAGCTGATCTGTATTAGAGAAGATTAACTCACAGTGCCATGGTGGAAGGCCTAGGATTATTTTATGTACTTCCATTGCCTTACAAGCCGTCAGCGCAATTATTGCCCTCCGATGTGAATGACTGATCTGTAACCACAGCTAAACAGCACGCTGCTTAGGGGCCTAGGAGCTTCATGAAGATGAATTTCCATACCATCAAAGTACTTTTAATGGGCTCCCTGATCCAACCACAAGGCCTGCTTTGCAAGTATATAGAACTCAGGATGAAGGCTTCCTGTCCAAAAGGATTTGGTCGGTTGTCACTTGACAATTCCCAGCCAGCACTGGGGAAGAGAAGGGGGAGATAGGTAGAGTTGTCTCTGCTTTGGAGGATTAAAAAAAAAAAAAAAAAGGGTACAGATGCTTGCTGAATGCAACCAACTGCTGTATCCACAGCTGAATTCAATGCGCTTAACAAATAACGGCAATTTAGCTATGCTTGCGAGGAATAGCTTGAGTCACTTTGCATTAGCATCTGGCTGAGTGTTAAACTCATTTCTACGTGGGGAGCAGAGAAAAGGAATTTCTGTTCAAGCATCCTTTCAAGAATGTTTAAATATTTGAATATAAATTCCTTTATGCTTGCTATCATTCCTTCTTAGAACTGTCACTTTGCTTTCCCCCTTCCTTTTGGTGCTTAGCTATAAAAATGTGCCCTTCTCAGGACACCAATGTCATACGTCTTATGTTGTAACACTGCAAGGGATGTATACTGAGCTATCCTTTGCTCTCTCCCCTGGACACACGATAGAATTGAAATCGTTTCTCCATCCTTAATTTTTATCATATTAGGACCAGGGAAAGAGCAGTTGTGGCAGGATCACCCATACATTTCACCTTCCCTATGCAGATTGCCAGCTTCTTAGTGATTATACATCAAACTCCACATAAAACCTTGGAAACTAGAAAGCTATCCAAATTAGCAATCTGCTCATTCTGGACAAGTCTGTTTGACTCATAAGCTTCCCATTATGATTAACTTTCCAGTTATTGCTAAGTAGCTGATCATTTTTTCTCTTATCTACTGGATCAATTTATCTAGAGGATTCTGTAAAGCGCACTGGGTAACATTTTAAAATTTCAGTTCAAAACATATCAACTATTCCAACAGTACATAATTCTGAGGATTTTACAACTTATAATATTTTTCTAAATAAAACACCATGTAGGCTTAGACAAAAGGGCTTGAAATCATTGTCTCTCAGACAAATTCAGAAGTTTCACTGGCCTTAGTTATAATACAAATAACGTCAAAGTTTTTAATAAGTACATTTTGTTTTATGATAAAGTAAAAATTTCCAGTTGTGAACTCATCTAACACTTGACAGTGTTTTGCACTGGAAACATATTATGACAAGCTCAGGATCCTAAATACTTAGAATATGAGCATGGATATCATCCAAGCTTATGCTGATTAAAGAAGATTCAGCATTTCAAATCCAGCTCATCCCCAAATACAAGTTAAGCATCTCTGAAAAGCAAAACTTTTAGTCAGACTCAGATATTTCAAATGCCATTTTGTTTTAATACAAGCTGGTGGCGTAAAAGGGGATATTCATTGTCAATAAGGTTTGGAGATGGATCAAGAGAATTATAACTCTTTCTATTTCCAGATGGTTTTGATTAGGATGGCGATGAGGCCTTCTATATTAATGGAGGGAGAAAAGGGACAGAGAATCATTTTGAGGATGATAAGAAGATGGAAATATATTTTTTTTAAAAAAGCATTAGGCAATTTAATTAAGTATTTCTAGAAAGTAAGTTATTTTATGAACTGACCTTTTCTGTTCGGCAGTTATTGAGACCCAGACTATTCACAACAGCCACCTTCCCATCAAGCACCTGTTGTTCCCGTCGGAGTTGCTCCTTCATTTGCCGAGCTTCTTGGATTGCCTTGGTGACAGCATCATGGTCATTTAAGTAACCTGAACATGAGACAGATCAAAGGATATCTTTTGTATAAAAGCATGTCTAGGCTAGCGTTTAACCATAAAAATCACTTTTCTTGGTAATAGGTAGTGTCTGGCCTATAATGATTTCTCCATGGAATTTATCTAAAATGAATGAATGAATAATTGACAATGACTGATCCATATAGTCATACATAAACATGTTTCCAATATGTTCAAATATCTGTAATAAAAATATAATACCTAAGTGACATATGGTTGTTTCCAACTATTTTGAAAGAAGTTGAAAACCTAATTTTTAAGTAAATGCTTTAGTTATTATTCGAATATTATTTTGTAGTGCAAATATAAAACCCATTTTTAATTTTTTTTCCTGCAAGGAACATTTGAATTTTAGCACAGAATTTAGGTATTCATAATTATGACTATGATTATTGAGTCTCTCCTAGTATTAGAAAGGCCACATAAGAGGGTCTGTATAGCACTATTAAGTTTGTTATATACAGAAGAAATAAATCATTATTTGACGGAAGAGTATTTTCTTCCTAAAAATCCATTTATGGTGAAATAAACCACAGGTGGCAGTGGTTTGCTATTGATGCAAACTTGTAATAGTTAGGCTAAATTTCAAGCACAGAATGTAACCAAGCACCTGTAATTGTTTGATAAGAAATTGTGGCTACTCTTGACTATAGTCACACTTAATTCACACTCTTAATAAGATGGCCAAATGATCAGCTTATGTATGCAACTCCACAGTCCATGGTTAGTAATACACACTACCAAAATATTGCTGTTACAAAATAACAGGTGTAACAACCAAAACTAATTTTTACTTAATTTTATTTTTAACACTGGTCATTTATTTATTTGATGCATATTAGTACGATGATCTGCATGACATTAGACGTACGTTAGTACTGAGGGAAAAAGATTGTTTTGCAAATATTTAAAGAAAAGCTAATATCTCATCTTTCTCTCTCCCTATCTTTTAACTAGGGCATAAAATGGCATAAAATGAATCTGTAATACGAAACTGCCCAGAAAAGGGACTTGTTTGTGACACGAGGCTAAATCTAACCAGATCCATTGGTGAATTGTGACAGATGGAGGGACTGTGAGACAGAAGGCAGGCACTAATCACACATAAAATGACCGGCTTGCCTCAACATGTTCCATGGATTCCAGCAAACTTTACACCCTAATCCATTTTTAGAACAAAAAACATCTGGGCCATAAATCCTCTAATCTGCCAAAACACGCTATTAAATCCCATGATTTGTTGAAAAACACTAAGATTAAAGAAAGGAAATATAAAATGGCTAACTGCCGTGTTAGGAAAGTGTTATTAATACTCTTTGTCTCAATTATGAATGTTCTGGTACTAAGAGCCTTGTCTAATCATGTCAGATTACACATCCTTGTTGTATTGCTAGACTCTTCTATCTGATCTGCTGATTGCCAAAAAACATAGAATATGTTCTTGCTGCTTAAACGTTTCTATTGAAGAAACCGATGTCAGAAACTGATGTAGTACTTCAGTGCTGGCAGGTTTCTAAATGATCCATGCCTCTTCCCCTGTTAGTATGCGCAGAGTAGACCTGGTCCTCTGATCTCCTTGAGGCAGAAAGAAAAGTTCCAGTGTAGGCGATAGAAAAGGGAAGCTTGAGAGTGATTATATATTTTGCCTTTCAGAGCTAAATTCATTGGAACTTATTCAAAGAACAAAACATCTCTGCTCATTATAAACACAATAGTGAATTGAAAACAACTCTAAACCTAGAACAGATCTTCAGAGTTAATATTTACTGTAAAAGATGGTTGTATTTTATTATCCTCAACATCCTAATTTGGATCTCCTGTACATCATTCTTAATGTATAATTCTTGAACTTGTTCATGAACAATATTACTCTAGATAGAAATACAACTCTTACATGACCGTGATGGTCTTGGTATATGTTCATTTAGTAATATCTTAAGAGGATCAGTCTGATTTTCTTATGCTCTAACCCCTGTTTATACACAACCTGGCATCATACATTTTTGTAGTCTATTTAGCTTCTATGTAGTCTAATTAGCTTCTCCAGAACACAAATATATTTGAAATGGCTTGGCACATGGCACTGAATAAAAGCATGAATTCTTTATGCTTTTTAGGGACTGCCAAGATAACATTGTGTAGGAAAAATGATTAATATAGATGCAAGAGGAATGTAAATTATTATGAGGGGGAGTAACTGACAGACCTATGTTCTGTAATGGTTATTTCCAATTTGAGATGTGTGTTTCTGTGCAGGTAGAAATAACTGTTCACTTTAAAATAAACATTCTTGCTTTTAGAGACTCTTGAGTTTTAGTTATAATGCTGTATGAAATGTTAACATTTGTATCTGCTATGTTAAATCATAAAGCCATGTATATATGACAACATTCAATCTTAATATGATTGTTTGCTGGTTCTTTACAGTTTGTTCTCCTCATAGTCACCAAATCCTTAACCCTGCTGACTCCGTCTCCCTCAGCAAATGGCTTTGCCTCTGATTTTGCAAAGAGCAGCAAGGCTGAACTCTCACCTTCCTGACCCTACCCTCACTCTTACCTTCTGCTGGCTTAATTTATTTCCATTTATGCCTATTTTGCTCCTCCTGTTTCAATAAAAATGGTTCCTTGCTTTCAATCAAGGCAAATCTCCTAATAAGAGTTCTAGATTTCTATACGTCTTCATTGATAATTCTATTTCTCATTTATATCATCTATCTAATTGTCTCCACCATCTCTACCACCTCAACTTGTAGATACTTAAGGTTCTCTTTTCTCCGAAAACAAGCAAATAAAGTGTCTTCTTTAACCTTGTTTTGCCCTCTCTTTCCAACACTGTTTCTCTTTTTATCTTTGAAGTCAAGCTTCTCAAAGATACATTATCTCATAATCTCCCATTCCCTCCTTACTCTCCAGTTCTCAGTGCAATCTTGTTTCTGTTGCAATTGGTCTCTAGTTGTCGAATAAATCCAAAGGACATTTTCCATTTCTTGAGAGGGAATGACAGCATTGACCATCCTCTCTTTATTGAATCTCATTTTAGCATTGTTCCTTTTTCCTCACTGCCTCCTCTGTGTTGGTATCCCTGCCTGGGATCCTTCCTTCACCTAATCCTTAGATTTTGATTCAAGATGCCAATTATTAAAAAAGGATGTGTTTTGGAGCTGGGCAAGCCCGAATTAAAATCCTAGCTTTGACACTTACTAGGTATATAAATTACACAAGTTGTTTTACTGTTCTAAGTTGCAATTGTCTCTTCGGTTAAATAGGGATAACACTCACTAGATAACAGAAATGTCAAGATTAAGTGAGTAAATATCATCTTTTATCATAATAAATGGTCAATGAAAGCTATTCAGTAACTGTCACTTTATAAAATGGCATAGTAAAATAAGCAGAATTTGGAAATTGGATTCAACTGCATCTGGGATTTCCAGTTCTTGGTAAGTGTGATATTTGACAAATTTTAATGCTCAATCTAAGTTTTCACTTCCCTTAACTACAAAATGAAGGTAAAGCTGATGGAAGAATTAGATGAAATAACACATGTGAAGGAAGAGATAGCACTTGGTATCTGCAGAGGCAGGAAAAGATGTTAGACTCCTTTCTTTACTCTTTACACTTTCATTTTCCCTATATGTTCACTCTTAGCACTCTTATTAACATGGCTTTGACTATCATGATGAAATCTGTGAGGGGATGTCATTCCTTGGCGGGCACAGAGGTTCAGTTAAATGGGCGTCAGACCATAAAGGCCAAAGAGACATATAATGGTTATCTGATAGATACATTTTATTCTGCCTTCATTATAGATTCAAGCAACAATTGCATCTAAAGTCAGGATCAGATGGGAGGGCATGTGTATAGGAGAGGTTTGGTGAACCTCAGTCTTAAGAGGAAAATGAGATGGCAAAGGTCAATATAACTTCCAGTTAACATCTCAAATGAGATTTGGAAAATGTGGGTTAGAAATCATTAATGTAAGAAATTTGTGAGATTCTGTAACTTTGTTAAATTCACTATAATTTGATTTGATTTTTTTTTTTTTTTTTTTTTTGAAACAAGGTCTCACCCAGGCTGGAGTGCAGTGGCATGATCATAGCTCACTGCAACCTTGAACTTCTGGGCTCAAGCAATCATTCTGCCTCAGCCTCCTGAGTAGCTGGGACTATGGGCACTACTACCCCCAGTTACTTTTTAAGTTTTTGTAGAGATGGAGTCTTGCTATGTTGCCCAGGCTGGTCTAGAACTCCTGGATTCACACAATTCTCCTGCCTTGGCCTCCCAAAGTGCTAGGATTACAGGCATGAGCCACCATGCCTGGCCTGCAATTTGATGTTTTATGCTTCAGTGTTTCTTCTTAACCATTACCAAAAATATTCTCAAAATTTCTGTTTTTCTTAACTAAAAAGTCTCCTTATATATTTTTTTCAGAGGCAGAAAAGAAGGGACAAACTAGAAAGTCTAATTTTGGAGGAGATAAACTCTAAAAGGAAAGTAGTAATGGCTGCTATACAAGGAAAGAAAATAAAATACAAAACCACTTGTAATGGGTTGAATTGTGTCTGCCCAAAAGATATATCCAAGTCCTAAACTTAATTATCTGTGACTCTGGCCTCTTTTGAAAACAAGGTCTTTGAAGATGTAATTAAGGATCTCAAGGTGAGATCACCCTGAAATTAGGCTGGGCCATAAATCCAATAACCGGTTGCCTTATAAGAGGAGAGAGATTTGACCCATAGAAATAGGGGAGAAAGCCAAGTGAATATGCAGGCAGAGATTGGAGTTATGCATCTATGAGCCAGGACTGTCAGCAGTATTGAGGCATGGAACAGGTTCTCATTCAGAGCTTCCAGAAGGAACCCACCCTGCTGACACCTTGACTTCAGATTTCTAGGCCCTGAATAGCAAGAGAATAAATTTCTGTTTCAACCCACCCAGTTTACAGTAATTTGTAATGGCAGCTCTAGGAAACCAATATGCCACCCTTGGTCTTTACCATGTCTCTAAGAATTGAGAAATGATCCCAAGAACTGTAAAATAACTACTGCTTGCCTCAAACCCTTCCAGATTGCCAGATACATGTATCTGTTTATTGACTAAGCTTCTCTACTTGAATGTCCCATGAGTACCTGATATGCAGCATGTCTGGCACAGAATTCATCATCTTTCCATGGCCTCAGTCCCCTCTTTCTATATTCCATAGACCTTGTCAGTTGCCCTTCCGATTCTTGGGAGTAATTTAAGGTCTCTCCTTTACCCTCTAAAGATACAAGGCAGGCAAACCCTGACAGTTTCACTTCTTCCTCGCTCTCAAATTTGCTTCTCCATCCTCTGCTTTCATGAAAGCCACCTGATATCTCACTATGCCTTGGCCTCCTAACTGGTTTTCCTATCTTTAGGCTTACACTCTTTGAATTCATGTCTATTCTCTTTCCAGATAAAGCATTTAAGAATATCTCAAAAAAAAAAAAAAATGCCGGGCATGGTGGCACATGCCTCTAATCCCAGCACTTTGGGAGGCTGAGGCGAGTAGATCACTTGACCTTAGGAGTTCAAAATCAGCCTGGGCAACATGGTGAAATCCCATCTCTACAAAAAAACACAAAAAATTAGTGGAGCATGGTGGTGCTTGCCTGTAGTCCCAGCTACTTGGGGGGCTGAGGCAGAGAACTGCTTGAGCCTGGGAGGTAGAGGCTTCAATGAGCCATGTTCACCTGCCACTGCACTTCAGCTTGGGTGACAAAGCAAGACTCTGTCTAAAGACAAAAATAAAAATATCTATTTATCTCTCTATCTATGTATATTTAAAAAAATTGATGTCAACATCCCTGATTACAAACCCTCCTCTGGTACCGTAGTGCTTCAAGAAACATTTCAAAAATAATGACCTGTAATAGCCCATGAAAAAATAATTCCATGTATAAGTGTAAGAAATACAAAATTAAAGTTAAAAAGGTTTAATTGCATGAGTTTTTAAAATCCTGAATATGTTAATGTGCATTGTGAGTCTTCAAGAGATCACAGTATGCAGCTTTTACTGGAACTTTTGAAACTCTTTAATGTTCCTGGAAAATCATCATTCTGAGATAAGTCCCAAACTCTTTCACAAGGCCTAAGAGTCTCCTCATGATGTCAACTCTGCTTATCTTTCCTGTGTCCCCTCTTGCCAGTCTCTCATGTGTCCTGCGTTTAAGCTGTACACAACATTCCCCCTTTTCCAAGGACAGGCCTTCATCCTTTCACTCCACACTCCTGTATCCCAAGTTTTTCTCTTTCGCTGAAAGGCTCTTTCTTTCTGGTGTGTTGGTGAATTTATTCAAACATCACCCCTTCTGTGAGAACTTCTCTTACATACCCTACACATGTTCTTTGACAAGATGAGTACTTCCCACACATGTGTTCCTTCAAAACCTTGTGAATGTTTTTAGTGTCCTATTGTCTTGCATTTGTCTTTCATAGTGGTCTATGGACTACTTAGCATTTTTTAGTACAATCTATTATTCCTTTGGCCCAGGGCAGGATCTGTTGAAGAAATAAATGCACATTCTAAGTTGAAAGTATCTGCCTTGATAATTCCAAATCTATTGATAATTTCTGTCTTCTTATCAATAGAAGCCTGGACCATATGGTACAGGTTTATTAAAATTCATGAATTTAACAGATGATATTAGTGCCACACAAATCTTATTTACTACGTATTTATTTTATATAGGAGTTGTAAGTAAAAGTAATGGCATATTTGTTTCCAGTGATTTTCAACAAATATATTTTTTTCTATTTTTGTGGTCATTGATCAGCATTACATTTTTGACACCCTGATAGGTAGACAATTTTTTTATCTGTGAAAGCTCACCGGAATTAGATAATACATGTGAAAGCAGTTTGCAAACTGTAAAGTGTTATGCAAATGTTAATTGTCAGATGTCTTTGAATGATATCTACAACTTCCTGATAATCCAATGGCTTTCCATGCATCACAATATTCTTGTTCATTCCTTCAATCACCTTCCTGCAAACAAGGTTTTTCTCATTAAAACCCTTGTATAAATTTTGCTTATTAAAAACCTGGGCATGGTGACTCATACCTGTAATCCCAGCACTTTGGGGGGCTGACGTGGGCGAATCCCTTGAGTCCAGGAGTATGAGGCCAGACTGGACAACATGAGAAAACCCATCTCTAAAAAAATACAAAAATTGGTCGGGTGTGGTGGCTCACACCTGTAATCCCAGCACTTTGGGAGGCCCAGGCAGGCGGATCACGAGGTCAGGAGATCGAGACCATCCTGGATAACATGGTGAAGCCCTGTCCCTAATAAAAATTCAAAAAAATTAGCCGGGCGTGGTGGCAGGTGCCTATAGTCCCAGCTACTCTGGAGGCTGAGACAGGGGAATGGCGTGAACCCAGGAGGCGGAGCTTGCAGTGAGCCAAGATTGCGCCACTGCACTCCAGCCTGGGCTACAGAGCAAGACTCCAACTCAAAAAAAAAAAAAAAAAAAAATATATATATATATATATATATATATATATATATATATATATATATATATATATTTTCATATTTTTGTATTTTTGGTGGTACATGCCTGTAGTCCTAGCTACTTGGGAGGCTCAGGTGGGAGGATCATTTGAGTCCAGGAGGTGGAGGTTGCAGTGAGCCAACCACTACACTCCAGCCACCACACTCCAGCCGGGACAACAGAAAGAGTAAGTTCCTGTCTCAAATAATAATAATAATAATAAATAAATAAAATAAAAATGTAAACTAACAAACTTTCAAAATAATATCCTCCTTTAAGTCATCGTGTCTTAACCTGGCATGTTGTACAACTCAAGTAGCCAATTAATGGACTTGGAAATATTGCCCTTTGTTTTACTGGGTCAATTTGCATTTACTACATTTGCTCAGGTATAGTTTTAGTTTTCATGCGTTAATGCCTCTGAGGAATGAAGGCTAAGAACAGTACATTCCAATATGTCCCAAAGATATGCTAGGAAAAAGACTGTAGGCACCTAAAGTCTCAGTCAAAGGCTGTTGTCTGCTTATCCTCCAGACTAAGCAAAACGTATGGCAAAGGAAGAGTATTTAAATCTCATTTATTGTATGGATGAGTAAAATGATAAATGGCCGAGAAGAGCATCTAATGCAGAGTGGCTACCAAAAGGCAACAACTAAAAAGAATGAACACCAACCAATAGATCATGGTTATAAGGCTCCAAAATCCATTGGCTCTAAGTCTGGATAAGTTACTAGATTTTTATGTACATTTATTTCCTTAAAATTAAAGCTGAGGTAATAAATATAGAATCATAGAACTGTCTACGCTCTGACAAAAAATTACTTCAAATCCCTAGGTAGACACACAGGCTCTTTAGGTCTGTGTTCCCTATCTGCTAAATAACAAGCTTTGACTAGATTATATGGATATCTACTCCATCTAGTTAAGGGTCTATAATTGTAGAACAGCTGCAGTGAGAAAATAGATGAAAAAACTGCTTTGAAAAAAAAGTTAAAAGTGCTATACATATGTTCGATATAGGTGGAAAAAGCCAATAAGGGAAAGATAACATCTGGTCAAAAGATTCTAAAATTATCCATCATTCTTCTGAACTATTCATACCTTTTAAGGATCTCCTTCCTTTGGAGCTGCCTATCATTTGCGTACCATATCAAAAGCATTCTTATAGAATACACTGTAATATTGGTCACCAACCTCAAAAAGTCACTTTCTATATTTGTAGCTAATAGATATATAGCAAAGAGCCCCATGTGATTAACGATAACTTAAGTCATCTTTCAGTCCACAGTCTTCTGTGGTTTAATAATGGCATCACACATTAATTCTTCTTTCAGGAGTGACCTTTACAACACCATTAATCCTCACAGCTTTTATCCAACTACATTATTACTCATTAAAGTTTCAGCTTTCAACATCTGCATTTGTTGAAAAGAGAAAAGTAAATTGTAGTAGACTTAAATCCTTGGAAATTATGAGGGATGTGTATGTGGTGAAAGGACTTTTCAGAAAAAAAAAAAAGAGATGTTTTAGTAGTGGGGAAAGTCATGATAAATGACGTTAAGTATGTTCTTGCCTTTCTAAAATACTTTCCCATGCTTAATCTTTGGGAATGCTAAAGAAAAAATATTCATACATGATACAAATAAAAACATATTAGTTATTCTACTAGTCACATATTCCAGTTCTAACAACATCACAAAAGTTGCTCATGTACTAACACTATGACATTTATAAGCCTACATGTATATTATGATAGTGAATGATTCTTGCCAAATAAAATATTTTTTCTTTTACATAGTACATGAAAGTAAATCTAATCTTGGAGCTCATTTAGGATGCTGAGCAGAGTAACTGGAGTTAGACTATAAGATGAAAAAGCACACATGTGTCTGAAACCTTTTTCAAACTTCTCAAAGCTTCAGTTTTCACTGTTCCTCTTTTCACTGTGGCCCCACTGCCCAGACTGAATTCCTCTTAACAAATAATCTGGAATTCTTCTTTGTGGAGATTAAAGCATTTGATACACACTCCTTCAGACTTCATTCTGATCATTCCAAAATTTCTCTGAAATGTTACCATTTATCTCTTCCTTTCCTTCAGTCTCAGGAAGAAGAAAAGTTTTTCTCCTTTACAAGGGTTAATCCCTTCCCATCACTTTTCATATCTATACATGTCTTTTGCACTTTTTCATATCTATACATGTCTCTAACTCTTCTTCCTCTCCCCCCTTGAAGAGTAATATACATATTCCTATTTTAAAACCTGTCTCTACTTAGCCTTCTCAAACTATTATCACTTCCCAACACCAAACTTAGAAAAAGATGAGTTTATATCACCAAATTAACTTTATTTCTTCATATTCTTCCGCTCTGTATAACTGGAAATCTATTCAAACCATTCATTAAAACTTCTCTGTCAGTCTACCTGTCCATGAACTCCAAATCCTAAGGCTCTTATTCTTCATGTTCTTTAATTGTCCTGCAGAAGGTGCACTATTAAATAATCCCTCTTTTTTGAAACTTCGTTTTCCTAGGCTAGTATGACATTACCCTGTCTTCACTCTTATTCTAAAATACCCACTTGCTCTTCATTCTTATTCTAAGACACTCAACTTACTCTTCATCAGTTTTGCATCTAAAAAAAGTGTAGTTGTTCTAAAATATGTTCAAAGATACTTTTATACTCTCTACTTCAGTTGGAGCCTAATTCTCCTTGCCTTGAGTTGGGCTGGACTTAATGATTCTCTTATAAGAAACAGAATAAAGCAGAATTGCCTCTGGATGAACTTGGAGAACAGGTTATTTCGTGATATAAACTGTGCCTTTTTCTTTGTTCTTCCCTTGGATCACTCATTCAGGAAGGTTCACTGTCATGCTACAAGCAGCCCTAGGGACAGGCCTATGTGGCAAAGAACCGAGACCACCAGAAAACAGATAATAATAAATGTTAAACAATAAATAATAATAAATGAGACAGTAAATATTGGTTGTTTTCTACTTCTAAGTTTTAGGTTAATTTGTTACACAGCAATAAATAATATATTAGTTATCTATATTATAATATTAATATCAGTTATCTATCTATTAGTATCTAATGCAATACCAGCTGCTAAGTTTTAGGTTAATCTGTTACACAGCAATAAATAATACATTAGTTATCTATATTATAGTATTAATATTAGTTATTTATCTATTAGTATCTAATGCAATACCTATGATTCTTCACTCCACTTCTTTTCTTACCACACACAGCCTTTTTTGGTGGACTTATTTGCTCTCCTGAGTTCAACCACCTCATCATGGAATAATTTCCATATCTAAAATTCTAGCACATCTTTTACCGATGAGGCTCGTATTTCCAGCTTCTTCCTGAACACCTCTACCTAGATAGTTCCTTGTGCTGCAAATTCAACACATATTACATTTTTATTTCTTCTCCCAAACCTGCTCCAATTCTGGGCTCCCCTTTCATTGTTAATAGAGGCATAATAATCCTTGTTATTTCATAAATTCAAAATTCTAGTTTCCTGTCTACAACTTGACCTTTACCAGATACATTCTATTGTGACTGAATTATGTCAATTCTTCCTTGATTAATCTTTTTAATCCATTCTCTCCTTTATCATTGTTTATTTGTATCTCATGTAACTTATTCTTGTCCTACATGTAAACAATGGTTTCCTGAATTCCAACATCATTCTGCCATCTGATCCTTTCAGTTTTAGCTCTGATCACTTTCCACCACACATTTTTTTCTACAATCTAGACAAATCAGTGCATTTCTCAAAAATATGCTATTTCACTTTGTGATTTTTTTCTTACTGCCTAGAATGCCTAGGAATCTATCTCTTCTTCAAGGCTCAGTTTGAATTAGGATATATCTAACTCATACTTTTCTGTAGTCCTTCCCAGACAGAATCCAACACTCTCCTCTCTTTGTAGAACTTTATCTGTGCTCTGCAACAGCGCTTATTATAGCTGACTTATACCATAGAATGAATGACTCTCCCTTAACTAAACCATGAGCTCCTTGAGGGCTGGCCTCCTTAAAAATTGAATAAAAATAATACAAATATCAATAAACCTGTGTTGAAATCAGTATCTGCAGTCTGATTTATGTATGCTGAAATTAAAATCATTGACTTTTTCAAAGTCAGCTTATAGAAGTGTTTTCTACTATTTTGTTTATGCTACTGAATTTACAATTATATAGAATTGAAGCTATCCACTCTTTATAATACTTTGGTGTTTGCAAGTAATCCTCAAACAGAACGAAACTGAACAAACTTCACATCCTTATGGTTGATTGATGATAGAGGCAAAATGCATTTCATCATAATGTATACTTTGTGCAATTCACAAAAAAAATGGAAATTTCAGTGATGCAAAAAGTAAGTCACCTAACAATAACATTCTGGAACCATCATTGCTCACTGCGATTAGTCACTTAGTCCTCTTTTTATATTGTATGGACATAGTTAGAAATATAGATATAACCTACACAATTAGATTTTCAGGAGGGCATTATAACTTAGACTTTAGTGAGAAATTTCATTTACATGTTTAAAACGGACCTAGGTGGTTCCTCAAATTGAAGCTGTCCTATAGAATTCAAGCCGTGTATAGAGTGGGTGTGATGTGCCATTTAAAGATGATTCCATTCAATAGCCATAAACAGAAAATCAGCAAGAACAAAAGAAACAGAACTTACCTATTGTGCTAACTCTGGCTGAAGGACTAGCTAACGCTGCTGGGACAGAGGCTTTGAGGGGGCCTGCCCCACTGTTTATTCTCAGAGCTGGCATATGGGGAGAGGTGGGTGATGTGGGTGATTTGCCATCAGAGGTCTTGGGTTTAGCTGATAGGTTCAGTGGCTGTGCCACTTCATCCTGCAATGATCATTAGAACATGAGCTGTGATAAGGAAAGGCTGATAAAAAATGCCTAGAAAAACACAGGTATGCAGCCTGTCATTTCCCATCAAATTACTCTACCAATCAGTGATCTTAACATTCATTCTGAACATTACAGCATTTGCTTAGCTGTCAACATAATGCCTCCTTCAACTATACATTCAAAATACCTTTTGTATAAGAGAAAGTACATGTGTACTCAACTACCCACAGAAAGCAGATAATTTTTGTAACCTGTAAGAAATATTCTTAAAAAGCTACTCTTTGTGCTATATTCATTTGTATTGAGAGATATTACACATTAAATCTGAAATATGATGTAGGTAGGTTTTTTTTTTAATCTCCAAAGAAAAGGGGTTGGATCTGATGCATCTTTGTACCCTGGTACCTAGGCAGAGCACCTGGAACACCCATGATGGAGGACCACAGATAGTTGTGTGCCTCTGATCAGAACTGCTCTCCAAATTCAACACGCACACACAAGAAAATTTCTAGCTTTCTTAGAAAATAATCCTTTCTCCCTAGGTTTCACAGAAACACCTTTGAATTTGATCTAAAAATGAAAATAAACATAATTAACATCACCCTACTATGTGCAACTTATTTATATGTCATACTGTTCTAAACACTAAACAAACACCATGTTTTCAAAATCCAGATGTGTTTTCTAGGTTTCTCTTTCAGTACCTGGTTTCTCTTATACTATATGTGTCACGAAGATCATGTGATCAGTTCAGCATGGTTGATGATTTCCAGCTGTTCTATGGTTTGACAGGTCAAAACACAGTTTATACTCAATTTTAAATCGTTCTCTTAGGTAATTTCATACATGAGACTTATAGATACAGTATCATTAAAATTTATATTACATCATATAAGAATATAAGAATGAGATAATATTAACATTATATCACTTTTTAAATTGGAAATTGAAAAAGTTATTTTGTTCCTTTCGTGTGCTCTAAAATTGGAATATCTTACCACTTGTTTATTTATCAACGTTTACAATATATCTAATTTTACATTAATATTATTGTAGAATAAAAATTTAGTTTCCACGTAGCTATTTCACGAGTTAAGAACATAAAATATTTACCAATAACAGGATTTGTTGAAAGTAGAAAAATTTTTAATCAAATGGGGTAGTCAGGTGACATTAAAGTATATGTTAATTACTGTATACAAAAATTTAATGCACAGTCCTACCAAAAGAACCACTGAAATAAATCATTTTATGAAATGGTTAAATGGTAAAATATGACATCGATATCAAGTTTATATATATATATACACACACACACACACACACACACACATATATATATATATATTTTTTTTTTTTTTTTTTTTTGAGATGGAGTCTTGCTCTGTTGCCCAGGCTGGAGTGCAGTGGTGCAATCTCGGCTCATCGTGATCTCCGCCTGCCACTTCAAGTGATTCTCCTGCCTCAGCCTCCTGAGTAGCTGGGACACTACTACGTGGTGCACACCACCACGTCCGGCTAATTTTTGTATTTTTAGTAGAGACAGGGTTTCACCATGTTGGCCAGCTAGTCTTGAACTCCTGACCTCAAGTGATCTGCCTGCGTTGGCCTCCCAAAGTGCTGGGATTACAGGCATGAGCCATGGCGCCTGGCCTCAAGTCTATATTTTTAAGTGGCTTAATATTATTAGATTATTATTTGATTCTGTGGTTATGTGCACTTAAGAATCCCATGAACAGACTAGGAAAAAGTTACCTTTGTAATAGATCTTATTTCAGTTTATATTGTCTGTTTCAGAAAAAAAAAATTGAAAATTCATGAGACAATTCAAATTAGCAATCTTCTATGATGTCAGATAAGTAAGAAATTAAAGACTATTATACCAAATCTATATTGATTCATAAGATCTTGACAGGAAGTGAAATAATTCCATCACTGATGCAACATTTAATTTGGAGAAGTTTACTTTAGCATTTTAAAAACTATAGGGGCAATGGCTGGGTGCAGTGGCTCACACCTGTAATCCCAGCACTTTGGGAGGCCAAGTCAGGCAGATCATGAGGTCAGGAGATTGAGACTATCCTGGCCAACACGGTGAAACTTTGTTTCTACTAAAAATACAAAAAATTAGCTGAGCATGGTGGCATGCACCTGTAGTCTCAGCTACTCAGGAGGCTAAGGCAGGAGAATCACCTGAACCCGGGAGGCGGAGGCTGCAGTGAGTTAGATCGTGCCACTGCACTCCAGCCTGCGCAACAGAGTGAGACTGTGTCAAAAAAAAAAAAAAAAAAAAAAAAAAAAAAAAACTATAGGGGCAATATTATCCCTAATTGTTCAATCTGAAACATGACCTGTTCAACCATAATCTATATATATGATGTCATAATTGGCAGCAATATGGAAGTATTGTGTCCTCACATTTTAATCTAGTATGAATGAATACTTCTCAACATGTGGCTCACAGACTAGCACCATAAGCACACCTGGGAACTTGTTAGAAAGGCAAATTCTCTATCATAGAAACTATGGGGATGGGTCCCAGCAACCTGTGTTTAACAAGCCTTCATTCCCAGGTGATTCTGATGCACACTCAAGTGTAAGAGCCACTGCCTCGTATATTAAAATAAAGGGGGACTATTGAAAAAGTTTTATTAGACTTCCAAAAGCCTTTAAAAAGCTTCTTCTGTATAAGAAGATAACATTTAAAAATATGTAATATTACCTCAGTGTTTAAAATATAATTGGGACATATCACATGCTAATAATGGAAACACTCATATGCATAATAAATTGAATGTTACTGAGATTCCATGAGAAAATAAAGATTAGAATCCAGATCTACTCTTGGTCAATTAAGCCTAAATGTCCTGACTGTCAGGGACTTTACTATTTACTACCCAGCTGTAAATATTCCAGGCACTGTTTTCCCCTAGCAATATACTACCTGTTTACTACCTTCTGTGTGAAACTGACTTCTGTCATGATGCCTTTAGAACTTCTTTTTGACATCATCATAACTCTTGCAAAAGTTTTGGGAGATGCTTGGATCAAAGATGGCTGTTTTACTTGAATGTGAAGAGAAGAAAAAGAAACAAAACAAAGCAAAGCAAAGCAAAGCAAAGAAAAAGAAAGCAAAGAGAAAAGACTGTATTCCCAGAGTTGGAACAGGGAAGATATTTATGAGCACAGAGGAAACACAGTGTGAGTGTATAGTGAGGGGGGAATGGCGGTATTGATGAAGATGATGTGGATGTGGGTGCTCATGGGATGAAGTGTCATATGTCTTAGCTTTAAGCACTAATAACTATTACATGCCCATGCTGAAAGATAACTATTCAAAGCATTTATTAGAGCAAGAGACCCACTGAAACTCTTAGTATTCACCTACATTCAAGGCAGCACAGATGTCTGAAAGCCAAAAAGTGCAAGGCCCCAAGGACATAACAGAGGTTGACAGTTCCAAAGTTGATATAAATGTCATTCAAAATTGCCCTTTCCTTCTCTTCCATTGTGTGACCAGGCTAATGGTATATTAATAAGAACTCACATTCTTGATCTTTATACTGGTAACTGTATAAATAATTTTGACCCATTATATGATATTATTTCGCAATTTTGTTCTTTTAATAATTTACTACTGAGCTGCTATACCAAATGCCTATTATTTATGAAGAATACAAAAATTACACTAGTTTCCCATTTTCTATTAATTATTTTTCATTTGACTAGATGAAAATTTAAAAATCTTAACTATAAAATGGACATGGACAATTTATTTCTGGCATGCATTCTTATAATATGAATATGTGCAATAAAAGCTGAAGGTAAGACTTCTCTTACTTTGTTTTTTACTTGTAATTTTATGTAGGAGAAATTCAAAAGCTTAACATGATTAACTCCTATTGTTACAAATAAAACACACATTTAAACATGTTAAATAAATTACTTACAAATAAAAGGATATGAGTAATTTTCAAGGTCAAAAATAATTGAAAAAGATACTATTTCTATCAACTACACCATCAAGCAGTGAGCAAAGCAATTTCCTGTTAATTACTTGCCTAATTGTTAAATGAGGTTGCCAATTGGAACTTTTGAAAATAACATATTTCATAATTATTTCATTTATACACAAAGTAAGAGTTAAGAATTTAGTTATCTGCCTAGTAGCTCCAAACTTGTATATCATAAATATAAAATAAGCATTTATGTTTAAGTAAATGTGTAAGCTAAACAAATTTTAACTAGTAGAAGGCTATAATTTACATTTATAGGGTTCATTATAAGTATTCCAAAGAGTTTATTTAATCTTCACGACTATGAAGTAATTACAAATCTTGTGGTGGAAAGTAAGGCTTAGAAAGTTCTAATGAAACCCAGGTTTTTGGACTCAACATACAATACTCTTTTAATTTCTGTGACAAATTTAATCTTAAATTTAAAAAGGCACTGATGGAATATAACTTCTGAAATTCAGTCCTAACTATATAATTCTGTTACACAATAACCACATGAAAGATAATATATGTGCAATAAAATGATGTAATACAAACATTTGCTATTCTATACATTAAAAAGTTAAGGCGCAAATTCACTTATCTTGGTGACTTTTTTTGTGCTTCTCTGACCTCTATGCTATATAGCATTGAAAATTTCCTTTAATGCTAAAGAGTGGTTTGGACTATTCTTTTAGAAAAATCCCAAGAGTTCATGTACACATGGTACAAGAAAATAATATTTTATATAATCAAATACAAGTCTTAGAAGCTCACTCATGATATAACTTCTTCTAATCAATTACTGGGCTAATTGTAGTTTTCTGGGATAGAATGCAAAGTAAGTAAAATCCAAATAAACATATAGGTCTGGGATGTTCCATTTACATAATTATAGCTACGATAACTTGTCTGAAAGCTAACATCTCAATACCAGTTTGTGGTCACAGTAGTAGAAACACTATAGAGGCCTTAATCAGTTAATCCCAGCCAATGAAAATTTGCAACAGATTAAAAAACCATTGCATAAAGAATGTGAAACAAATATGTAGCCTTAGACGCACTGAGGGAATACCAATTGTCACCATAAACTTATTCCACATAAACTTTACAAACACTATAAAATAAATATATAAAGTTACAATATATTTCATTTAGTTGGTTTTCAAATAACAATTTATCCTAGAAGAAAATATGTTACTGTAACATAATTGTATAATAGTCATAATTTTATAATGTACAAATACCAAATGATTTAGAGAAATCAAACATAATTTAACAAACAAAAAGCATTCTTAGCAATCCTGGGGTGTTATTTCTCTCTCCCCACTCCTTAGCTTTTCAAGTCTTTGTTAAGGAGTTTTAATAGAGAACTAGATAACAGAGATCCAATCATCCTGGAGAATTCTATTTGTTTCTGTTTCTCTATTCTTATCCTCACAACATGGAAATATACCCACATGTAGGTTGCTAGACCACAAAATGCACTACCAAGGACGTGCAAATGATTAAACCCTTCAGAATATAAATTTCATCTTTATTTACATCTTTATTCACATCTTTATTCATTCTCATTTTATCTAATTGATGATTTGGTTCATTCCATATCACAGGTATCTCAAAATTGCACTTCCTCAAATATTTACCTAAATTAATGATTGAAAATCAAAATTTATTTGGCAGTTAACATATTTATACCAGTCTAAAGGCAACAGATAAGAACAGATGCATTTATCCAATCATCCATACATTCATCCATATCTTATTTATCTAATGGTATTTCAGCTATTTATTAATGGCTATTATATGCCAGGCATTAGAAAAACATAAACCAAAGGACATTTAGGCATGTAGCTTTGAGGCTTTGGTTTTATGTGATCAGTAATAAAGAAAAGAAGTCCATTTACTTTTTATTTAAAACCTAGGTATAGATTTAAGTGGAAGTGTGTGTGTGTTTTTAAACTCCTTTGAGAACAGTTTGTCTTTATACTCAATATAATGTTTCATTTATAAAAACACTTTGATTCTTCAACAGCCACACAATGATTGAAAAAATATATATATATATATGTATAAATAAAATTTCAGGCTTCTTCCTCTGCATGATTTGAAAACTGTGATTGTCCCCATGTTTATCATAAATACTCATGTGAAATAAGTAGCAGTAATACCATATGGGGATGAGTAAAGGCATTCATGAAACATGTTGCAAAATTAATCATGCTGCTGCTATTATCCTCTCTGATGAAATGATCGTATTAACCTAAGTAGGGAAGTTACATGACAGCCTGAATTGCATAATGTGCACTGTTGCCGCACCTCTTCCCTAGCTTGTGTGCAGCACTCATCCTTTCTCTTTCGTCTTCTACCTCTATGGACTGTGGGAGCCCTCTTTCACCTCTCCTACCCAAATAAGGCATTTCTTCACTACAGCTCCATAGAGGTTTACTAGAAGAAACAAAACAAACAAGTATCATGAGGATCTATAAAGAGATGGAAGTGTACCTGCTGAGCAGAACTTAAAGGAGAAAAGGTTTATATTTACGTGCAAGAGTCAAAGTAACCTAAGATAAAAATAATTGCAACAATCTTAAAATTATTTTCTTAGTCTTCAAGGAATTAATAATCCTACTCGCGTAGCCATCCCAACTCCTTATTAGTAGGTTCCTAAAAATCAAGTCTATCATCTTACATAGCACATAGTCTTGAAACCCCTTTTCATGATCAGTTGCTTACTTTTAGACTTACAAATTGCAAAATGCCTTGTTAATCAGGCAGAAAGAGCTCCAGGAATTCTTTGATAGGTATGCTTTTGCTGTGTTAATGCTACCATTAGACTTGATGGCCATTTAAATGTAAGTCTTATTTAGCTGAGGGTAATATGTTCTAGCATCTCATTTGGCTTCCTTATTTGCCATTTTACACTTTTGCTTAATGTATACCTGCTTCTTTTAAAAGTAGATGCTAGTAGTGTGGTTGGGGACATGTTCTTCAATGTGGTAATTACATGTTTCTTTACATTTAATTTGCTGGCCCTTAATTAATTTAAAGGTATTCAAAGAGTACCCATCATTTTATTTGCTGTTTAAAATGCCCCCTGCTCATTTTCCCTTAGTATCTTAATATTTTCCTTGTTTTCCGACTTTGTTGAATTAATGCCTCGATGCTGTAAATTATACACGCAAGCACACACATATATTTGAAAACAAATAAAGAATAGTTTGGCTTCTGAAATATCAACTATACTTCACATTCACTTTTTAATTTCAAAAATTGCCTTGAATTAATCCAAATAGTGCCACACCATTCCTTTTTACATTTTCCTTCCTTCTCTTTTAATCTTTATTCTCCTTTCCCTTTAAGATCTCTAATTTAGCTTTTGAATTTTTCATTTTAGATTAACTCTCTATCTAATCTTACTTTTTATTTCCAAAATGTCCTATAAATATACTGTATAAATACAGTTTCCATATATTTACCAAGAAGAATGTCATATTGGAAGACCTTTAACCCACAATATCACATGAAAACCCACTCATAGAAATTCCACAGAGTAAGCTTTTCTAACTATTCTTGAAAAGAGGAAGAATGCGAGGAATACTCGTGTCAACAATAATGTGTGATGAGAACAGTTATAACATGAGCCAGTAGGAAATGTATGGTGTTTCCAATTCAACTTTGTTTAACCT
Organism: Homo sapiens; assembly: GCF_000001405.40. Taxonomy (NCBI): domain Eukaryota; kingdom Metazoa; phylum Chordata; class Mammalia; order Primates; family Hominidae; genus Homo; species Homo sapiens. The sequence continues at coordinate 23,583,529 of NC_000012.12, forward strand.
CTGGTCCCCAGACAACTTCAAATTCCTAATAATAATGGTTATTTTGTCCTATAGTGTTCATTACGGCTGGATGATTGCTGTTATCTTTTAAAATGATTAACAGTTCTTCTACCAAGAGGCTAAAAGGAAGCATAGAGCAGTAAGAATTGATGTTAATAATCACACCAGTTCCTCTTTTTAACCTCTAAATGTAAATCTCCAAAAGCTTTTAAAAATGCTTTAGAGAAATTAAAGAGTTGATCACTCCTTGAACAAGAAAATGTAATGTGTTTTTGACACCACCTGATAAGTCCTTAAATTTATAATTACAAAGCATTTGTCATTGTTGCTTTCCTGTTAGTTCCACTGGAAGATTTGTATACAAACATAAGCCAAGAACTACACAACTGTTTAATGATGGAATAGATTAACAAAAAAAGTAAAACAGGAGCTCACAGAGCAATACGACTTTATAAAACAAAGAAATAGAAGTCATGCTGATCAAATTCTACTATCATCTCTATGTTGGAAATGGTACTTCCACCTGAACCTAAATGTACAAAATGAGCACATCAGCATCTCTACTGGAATCTACAAAAGGAATTACTATCAAAAGGAAAGCACAACAACACATCATCATCAAAGCAAATCAGTGGTAGAAGGTTTGATCCACTGGAGTCATATAAAAGAGAAGTAAAAATACCACATGAAGGCACGGATAGCCCATTGACGGGGGGAAAAAACCACTGATGAAAATATTAATGAAACACTGATGAACCTGAAACAAAACAAAATGAAATACTTTGAAGGACTCCCAGAGGGCTCCAAAATTCCTTTTTAAAAATATATCTATGGCTCTCTGAGAGATTTATGTTTTCTCAGATCTTTGAAAAGTTTGGTCTGGTTATACGCAGATAGGCCATCTTTAGATAACAACCTGGCAGAGTGGGAGAAATCATAGAAAGCATCATTATGCATAAGTCATTTATTACGAGCTCCAATTAATTACATCAAAGAGTCATTCCCAGTGCTCACATACATGCATGCACAGCTCCTATGGCACAAATCTCCAACAGTCTGGTGAACCCACTATAACTGACTGTTTAATGAGTAATGACAGTTACGACAGTTAACTGATATAAACCATGCATTGGTTTATATTTGGGAGATGAGTGAAGGCCAAATTGTCTAAGGCACAGAACCTTGGAGAAGGACAGGTGTGAGTGTGTGTGTGTGTGTGTATGTGTGTGTGTTTAATGGATTAAACATTAGAATGAGACACTAAGCAAGAAAAGGCTAGGGAAGCCTAAGGCAGCACCCTAGTGTTACTGAGTGTAGCATTCATATCACTGTATTTCATTTTATTGTGTTGTTTTCTTGAACATCTCGTGGCTAAATAATCAAATTTCAAACAGTTTAAGACAATTTTCATTTTTAAAGTGATCTGAGTACTCTCTTTACACCCACATATACCTTGAATAGAAAAAAATTTACTAGATACTATTAACTACTAAATGTTAATGGATAGTGGAGATTAATCAATAACTAACTCGATAAATTCTAAGTTTTTCCTATTGTTTTTAATATAGCATTTCAAAGGTTATTTACGTTTACGTACAATGCACATACACATCGAGCAAATGTGATTTTGACTTGTGAATAACAGAATAGGAACATATGCACTACCAAAATGTATCCCTCCATATTTAAATCTCTTGTAATGAATTCTCCTCACCACTTGAATTTCAGTTCTTCTCAGTCTTCAGAACTTTGCTCCCTTGCTTTCCTCTTAAGAGTTGAAAGTTTGATGTCCCTGGGACTCACTGCTTTCTACTCAGAGATGTCTGCTAACAAAGCCATTGTCAGGAACTATTTAGCCACAGGCTTCCTCCTATTAACGTAACTTGAGACTTGACTAGGTCAGTACATCCAAACTACAACTTTTTTCATTCCATTCATTACAGATAGAGGAAAGGGGGCAGTCATTGAAGACAAAGGTAAAAAGTCCAAAAATAAGTAAAAATAAAATTTAAATGCAAAACTCACTTCTCGTACTCCACTTGCTTTAACCTAGACTGAGTTCCACTGTTCAGGTTAAGAGCAGTACAGTAATAGTGATATAGGAGTTAGTAAGAAATTATTTAGGCAGTTAGTGAGGTTAAAGGAGTTCTCAGTGGAATTTTTCTTTAATAAAAAGCAGCCCCTAAAACATTTCTAACAAAAAGCACCCTGAGAAATCAAGCTGCAAACATAGATAAGCAAGCTAGAAGTTTGCATAGGTAAATGCCGGCAGCTATGTCAGAAGCCAGGTACATTCAACATGGAGGATATCTCCTCTCTTCTCTTTGTCGCCCCCGTGTGTGGGTGTCATGGCAACGGCCAGGTAAACCCCATTTGCATAATAAAAGATTCACGGGCTATGTAAATGGCACACCTGACACCTGGTCAATCCAATCTCCTGGGCCCTATGTGAATCAAATACGGCCTCCTTAAGCCCCTCTATAAAATGGACCACATCTCTCCCCAAACCCAGAAATCCGCTTGAACATCCCCTTCCTCTGCATGAGGAAGCGCGCTCTCTCTCTCCCTCCTTTCTTTTGCCTATTAAACTTTACGCTCTTAAACCCACTCCGTGTGTATGTGTCTGCATTTTTGTTCCCCTTAGCACAAGATCACGAACCTCGAGTAAGACAACAAGGCCACTTAATTAGCAATTTTCCTTTATGAACACAAAATTAGAACAGTTGTGCCATCTACCCCTGTCTCTTGTTTTTCCCCCAAGTGGTAGGTTAATTCTTTAATTTGTTCCACAAACACTATTCCCAAGAGAGTGGTAGGTCATGAGACAGAAGAAATCTATACACTAGAAGAGAAAACATTTTAAGGCAATGTAAGTGACTAGGAAACTTCGATAGTGAAATAAATATCATTATGATTAATCTAAAACAATGTCATGAAGGAAGAGTTTTACGGGGAAAAAAAAATTCTTGCATTTCATTTCGTTCGGATTATTTAGATTGAATTATTTGTCACTAAAGTGATTGATTCTTGGATTTGAATTCTGGATATTAGGTGTTTAAATTTTATAACTTTTCATAAAGTTATCATTTCCTTATTCTGTGAATCCTTAGACCACTTTTTTTTTTTTCTTGAAGAGTCTGAAAACTTACAAAAATATATCAAGGGCATGAGTTGTTGGAAGATTAAGTCTCAAAAATTTGCTTTTTTGATTAGATGAATTTTTACTAGAAATGACCTAAAGATTATTTCCCCTCCTCAACATATTCATCAAAGCAATTATTTGTCACTTATGATTGACTTAAAGTGTTTTTTCCTTTTTTCTTCTCTCATAATTAACCTCTTAGTGAATAAATAAAAGGCACAGTATAGGTCTATTTAAATACAGATATTATATATTATATATTTTTTATATATTTTTACCTGAGAACTTCTCCCTACACCAAAAGAAATGCTGATTTTATAATGTAATTTTGTCATGGAGAGAGCTAGTTTTTAAGGAAGAAATAAATACTTAAAGCCCAATATACTATTTGTTACACAAACATTTTGAAGAATAAGTTAAACATTACAAAACTATGAAAGTATGTTTAGTGGGTTTCATAACCTAAAAACTTCTAACTTTTAAAAATAACTTAAATTATTATATAGCTCTTCACTTTTCAGGGCTGATTTTCTAATACTATTTACTCCTTGACATCTAAATTTTACAAGTAACAAAACATCTCCATATATTTTATTTTATTCGTACAGAAAGATTACGAGATATCATCAACCCCACTTCACAGATAAAGAGAAGGAGGTTGAAGATACTCAAAAATTTGCTAACAGTCATACCTTAAAGAAGCCTCAGACTTGAACCCAAGTCATAAAGGTGTAAGCTTAGGCAACTTTTCAAAGCTGCTTCTCTATTATTTAAATGCCAATAGGAAAAATAATCATTAAAAAATAATTTCTTTGAAAAATTAGACTGCAATCATGTAATTTCTTTTTAATTCTGAAGAATTTTTTCTATCCCATAGATAGGCACCTTGTAATGTTCAATTTGAGTAATACTGGTCGAGACCCTCACAAAATTTTTATGACACTAAATCATAAAGTATTTTAACAAAGTAGCTACGATAAATTCAAAATGTATTCATAATCCTAAAATTTATATCAAAAGAATACATATTTCGAATAAACACCATAAACATCCTTAACACTATTATTTATATAGACCTATTTGCCTTCAACTTAATACACATGTCAATTTATATACATCCAATTCCTTTCCAGTCACTTGGAGAGGAACTAATATTGAAAGAAGTGAAGGAGAGGATGGAAAAGACCTTTAGCCCACTTACTGGCTCGGCCAAAGGCTATGAATCCATCCCAGGTTTATTTCAAATGAGTTGTGTCAAAGGTTACCCACCGGCCATTTTATAGTGATTTATAGCTGATGTCTGCAAATCTCCTTTATTTTAATGATAACCTCAATAGAGTCATTAAGGCATTCTTTGTCTTCATGGCAGTGACCAGGAGAGAACTGATGTCTTTAAAGAATTCCAAGGGGTGATGACTATTTATACAGAATGTCAGTTAAGGCCAGTTTTTATGTTATGCTCTGGAGACAAAATATTTTTTCTCAACATATTAAAGATGCTTAGCTTGATGATATATTCTGCCTATTGATACTATAATATTAAATTCAAGGTATGGGTGAAAGAAAATTCAAATAAAGATGAGAAAAGGCTTAGAACTGAGCATCAGGTAAGAGTTTGATCTTAATTATAACGATTTTGGATTTGTATCAAAGCTCTCACAGAATAATGATTCTTAAGTGTCTATACTGTGTCAAGCATGTCATAAAGCATGAGGAATTGCAAGATTGATTTATCAGATATTCATTTAAGAAATAGTCCATTAAAATAATTAATGTGTAGTGAAACTCAGCTGTAATGCTCGTTTAATTTTTCCCAGCCCATAACATTAAAAGAATAATAAATTTACAGTCTGAATTCCATAAAAGACTTTATATAGCAACTCTAATGACATCATTACCCAAGAGTTTTGATCATACTTTTTAGAAAGAATTAAAGAGACAAAATGAGTATATTTGCCTTAGAGCTTATCTTATTTTGAATGTTGCTTTGGTCCATCACATTGCCAGATAAAATTGATCTGTATTCTTGATTATTGTAGTATGGGATAGTGCACACACACACACACACACACACACACACATATGTACACATATAAATATATGGTCATGTACTGTATAGGAACACCAACATTTTGGTGAACCATGGACTGCCTATATGACAGTGGTCCCATAAGATTATAATACTATATTTTTACTATACCTTTTCTATGTTTAGATACACAAATACCATTTTGTTACACCTGCCTACACTATTCAGTAGAGTAACATACTGTACAGGTTTGCAGCCTAGAAGTAATAGGCTGTATCATGTAACCTAAGTGTGTAGTAGCCTATACTATCTAGGTTTGTATAAGTACATGCTATGATGCTTATGCAACAATGAAATCACCAATGATAGGACATATCCCCATCATTAAGTGATGTGTGACTATGCATACATATAAATATATCCATACATATAACATAAACGACTATGTCTTTGTATGGGTGGGAAGTTTCTCTGCCATTTTTGAGATAATTTTTTTTTTGCATAAAAGAGAAGCAGAGAAAAATAACCTTACAAAATGAAATACAATTTTTTCCATCCTAAAACTTTATTTGAACTATCAATTAAACAATATAACAAAACTGGACAATATTTGTACAGGCTGTGCCTTTCATTTCAGGATCAACTCGACTCTTCAGCAGCTTATGTAAGGGAGGTCCACTCACTTAAAGATGTATTCACAGTAAACAAACTCATGGAGGTAATGCATAAAACAGACTGCCAATTAATTCATTTATACCTGACCTAAATATTGCTGAGTTTTCTACAGTACACCTTTCCTAATTTCAAGATATCTAAAAAACCCAATTTCACAATCAGAACCAGGGCAAAAAGAGGTAAATGGCGAATACTTTATTTAAAGCACAGTAAGGGCTGGGAAGTAAGGCATAGTTCACTATAGATAATATCTCTCCAGTGGTCAAAGGCTCATATTTCCTAAATTCAGTATATTTCACCTAGACTGACAGGTTAAATAAGAACAAATCTTACTTTTAAATTTCAGAGTCGTTTTGTATAAATAACATTGTTTCATTTTTCTTAGGTACAATCTTATTCTACTCATACTGCCTTATCTTCCAATGATCCAAACCATTGACCTTTGATCATGTATTTATTCTTCTAAAAGAAGTAGAGCATTAATTACAAGCCAAGTATTGTGCTTGGTGCTAAGGATGATTAAGCTATAATCCCTACCCTCATGGGACTGAGGATCATACAAAGGAAGACAAGTACAATGAAGTATTATAAGTGTGCTTTGATACTATTCAAGGAGTATGTGTTTGTGCAGTGGGGTGACATACAATGTAACAGCAAATTCTATTTAGAATTCTATATAGAAATGACGGTTTAGATGGATATTATATTGCTAGTGGTGCTAAAAAAGAGAGAAAAGTGAAATGAACAGGGCAGAAGCAACCCAGAGAGGTCCAGTGTCACAAACATAGGCAAAAATAATTGAAATAGCATGATACCTGAGAAAGTGATTTCATCTGAAGTATACATTTCTGGAACTGGGAGAAAGGCAGAAGTATTAATTAGGCTAGGGAGGTAGGTGGGGCTAGATTGCAGAATGCCATGCTAAGGAAGTTAGACTTCATTTTTTACACACTTGTATCTTTATATTTTCATTCTTCTTAAATTCACTCACAAAGTTCTACAGATGTATTACACTCAACCTTGTTTCTTTCTCCAAAATTCAGATAAAATCCAACCTTTTATTCATTCATACCTATGTGTCCTTGCACAGACTGTTTCCATTTTCCTTCAAAAACCTTCTAAATGTCACACCTTCTGGAACCCTTTTCCTTATTCTCCTATTTCTCCCCAGGTTATGTTACAAAGTTTCTTCCTTACCTCCATATTATTCTTTGAATAGCACTTAGCCTACAGTATTTTAATTGTTGGCTTACTTGTTTGTTTTCCCCATTATATTGTACTGTGTGTTAATTGCTGTTCTTTTTTTATTCTACCAAAGTGTCCAGCATATTAGAGGTGCTCAAAAGGTTTACTGAAGAATCCTCTATAGAAGTTGTTTTGACATCTTCTAAAAGTAATTCTAGAAGGCTCATCTGTGAATAACAGTCATTACATGATTTTTAAAAATTTATATAAACAACGTATTGCTTTGTTTCAAGCAAAATGTAATGTCTCTTGCTTGGAACAGATAAACAACGTGTCTCTTTCCCAAGGAAAACATTCTCATCTCTCCTTACCCAGTAGAAGATAACTCATTTATGACAAGTTATATTTTATTAACTATCTATTCTAAGTGGATCTTGTTTTTTAAAGCAGGACTCAAACATATTTTGAAAAAATATTTTTTAAAAAATCTTATTTCTTTTTGTCTTATTAAATTCTCAATGTCTTATTTTATGTGCTCAATTCTAAAAAAATATATAGTTATACAAATGTTCAAAAGTTCACCTTAACAATAGCTAGAAAGCATATTACTGCAGTTAAAAAAATCCTTATACAGACACATTCTCTTAGATTGTGTTGTATTAGTAAGCATAATTTTGCAAAGATTGAAACAGTGAAAATGATATTACAAACTATGATAACTAGGGTTCAATTAATATTAAGATTTAGTTATTATAATGCAAACATTAATCAGGTGTACATTTGTTAAGAGCCTATTAGGGGCCAGCTACTTAAAATTCAATAAGATAGAAGATGTTTCTAATGTGGTCCATCCTATAGAATTGATATCTTCTTCACTTATTTTGTTGTAACTCCATAAATTATAGTCCTGGATAGAACAGATCAGAATTCTAGTTCAGTGTAACTTAATGAATGCTAATAGAAAAAGATAAGCAAAATCAAAACAAACACAAATTACCTAGAGGTTCTCTTAAAATGGGACCAGAATCATCATTTTTTAGAGAAACGACAGTGCTATTTGCATGAAAACTGGCACTAAAAATTCCATCATTTGACCCAAAATTCTTGCCTTGCCCTGTATTCATGTAGGGTTGACCTGAATATTGAGCTCCCACTGGCTTAAAGTGAAACTTTGATCCTCAGAAGAGTTGCATAGAGAAGTATAGAAAACACAAATCTGTACCTATTTAAAGACATTCCTGTTGCTGTCACAATGCTTCTTAAAACATACTTCACAACAGTATTTTTTTTCTTATGTTATTTGAAGTGCTACTGGAAATACCACAAGAGAAGAATTTTTGTAGTATTTCATCCTTTCTATTTCTGGTCTCAATTTATTTTTCTCCTATTTATGAAATATCTACACTGCCAAAGTCATCAAAATTGTAAAGCAAATCATAACAGTTCAAATTATATAATAAAGTAAAAAAAAATAAGATTCCTTGGTTCTTTAAAGGTCCAATTTAAATGAAAGTCTCCCACAGAATACCAATGCTGGCAACTGGCCTTGCAAAGCACTACAACAGAGCTTTAAGAAAATATAATTTGCGGTTTCGTGAAAATGTGAGGTTATTAGACTTTCTTGGTATTGGTAAAAAATTTGAAAGAAAATACATTTTTATCTATTTGAGTATACATTTTTTCTTTCATATTATTCTGATAAGACCCGAAAAAGGAAAATTCTTTTAATTTTCTATAAATTTAGATGTCTGATCCTCATCTTTTTAAAAACCAAAATGATAAAACATATTTCTTAAACTGTTGGGTTCTGAAAAAGTCACCCAATGGAATCAGCTAGTTCACATTTGAAAATGCAACTGCTAAAAGCTGTGGGATATTGCAATTTAAGTCCTGCAGCTCACAAGGCAAAGTGTGTAATTCTAAGAAGCATCAAAAGATACTATCTACAAGGAGATTCAGGACTAGAAAAGGAGCATGTTCTTCCCATTACAACCTGGTATATGACTTGGGTTTCGACAAATTCCTACCTATTCTTGATATTTAGAAACTTTTATTTTTCAAGCAGCAGTCTGATAATCAGTTTCTTAGCAATATTCAATAATTCTGAACCATTGAGAGTGCATGTTTCAAATTTAATATTGATAAGCTGAAGATTTCAATGAGCAAAATTCTTATTTCAGTATAGACAAAATTTCAAATATATATTCAATTTAAATAAGAGATATAAAATTACTCTGGGCTGGGCGCGGTGGCTCATGCCTGTAATCCCAGCACTTTGGGAAGCTGAGGCGTGTGGATCACCTGAGGTCAGGAGTTGGAGACCAGCCTGACCAACATGGTGAAACCCCATCTCTACTAAAAATACAAAAATTAGCTGGGTGTGGCAGCAGGCACCTGTAGTCCCAGCTACTCAGGAGGCTGAGACAGGAGAATTGCTTGAACCTGGGAGGCAAAGGTTGCAGTGAGCCAAGATCGCGCCCCTGCACTCCAGCCTGGGCAATGGAGTTAGACCCTGTCTCAAAAATAAATAAATAAATAAATAAATTACTGTTTCCTTAAAAAAAATAGTTTTTCTAAATTTCAAATAGGTAGTTCATGTTTCCTATATTCTCCAACTTTACAATACATAAGACAAGGAATATGTGCCTACGAATTCCCCTGATCATATTACACAGACTCTAAACAATTCAGGTAATGTAAATTATACCACTGCATCTGTTGAAGACCTTTTCTCCCACATTTAATACTAATCAAGTCATACAATTTCTGGTCTTTGTTTTAAAAACCATAATTAAGAATGACTGGGTTCTTCAGCTGAGTGTTAGCAGTAATGAGAAACCATATGAATAATGATGGAGAACCTCATTTTCTTATAATATTTTGGATAGGCTCTGGATTAAAATAATCTCTATTGCTCCTTACACTAGCTTTGTGCAGTTAATGCCACTACCATATTGTATGTACATTAGTGAATGTGAAAACAGGTAAAACTGAAAAGAATCTCATTTTATGAAATATAATGCAATAAAACTGATGTATTAGATCTTTGTATATAAACTCATCAATCTCACTAATATAAATTGAATATTAAGTGCTTTAAGAAAGTACATGTTTAAATAAATGATATAATTTTTTTTACCAAGAAAATAACATTATTTAAATAAATTTTATAAAAGTTTTACAGAAGTTTTTGGTGTTTTTCTTTGTTAAGCAGGTGGCGTTGCATGTTTATATGACAGGAGGTGTGACCTTTAAAAAGCATATACTAACTGGAAAGAGGTAGAGAAGAAGGAAGAGAAAAAAGGAGAGAGAGAGAGAGGGAAGTGGGATTTAAACATATATGAAAGCAAAAACCACACTAATCAGAAATTTGGGTGTTTTTTCTTATGTGACTTGTTTATCTACTTAAAAGGCATTAAGTAAAACAAGAGCTCCAAAACTCTTATGAGCACTAGTATGTAGCAATTATAGTTTTTTAAGCTGACTATTTTAAAATGAATACTCATGTAATAGTGTTAGTGTCAAAATATCATCTAAAAAGTTGACTTTGTAACTTGCTTCACATAGGTGGTGACAGGTACTATCAACTGTATGTGTTTTCCTATATTGCCAGCGAAAACCTGCTGATGAAATGAATCTGGAAAAAAAAAAACAAAACAGGAAGTATTCTGCGTTGAATCTACACTCCTGGTCCGTACTTGCTGCCCTTCTTCAACTATATCTATTGTCTCTATCTACATTCTTCTTCATATCCCTCACTTTATACACTGTGCTACGTGAGCACACATATCTATCTACACTGTTGACCACTATCCTCAGGTCCTAGGACTCCAACACATCACAGGCAATTAACAAATATTTGTGGAATTACGTCTCTCCAACAGCAACATCCAGGATATGTCACTGGGGCTCAAATTCCAGTATGTTTCTAAGGGAGTGCTGTAGAAGCCCTTAAAATATTAATTAATTAATTAATTGGCACAGGAGATAAAAAAATTCCTTTGCTACAAAGACATAATACCTAAGAGAGGAAGACAATGAGTACATAATAACAATAGCTAGATAAGTAGTGTGACAGATAGAAAATATATCATTTATCTTTAAAAATGAATATATTTAGAATATAATTCAAAGTCCTGAACATGAAAAAATCCTATAGGATCTGGTCTTTCTCATTTCCCAACCTGACTCTTTATCATTCTCCTTCATGTTCACTGCACTTTAGCTACCCCAGCCTTTTCTCTGAACCTTGAATTCACTAATCTCATTCACATATTAGAGTCTTTGCAATTACTTTCCCTCCTGTTTAGAATAACCTTTCCTTAGACCTTTACAGGTGTCCTCCTTTTCACGATTTCAGAGAGGGCTTCCCTTAAAGCTCTCTCCCAAGAAGATTCCCTTTCTTGTCCCCAGCACACTATCTTTGACCATGTTTTATTTTCTTCATATCACTTAGCATGCACAAAATTACCCATTTGTTTAATTGCCCATAGTTCGCTTCTCCCCATTACACTGTGAAATTGTAAGAGTACTACTGTTTTGTTTACAGCTGTAGTTCTACTGGCTTGAATTAAATTTGATATATGATAGAAATAATATTTGTTGAATCAGTGAATGGTAGATGTAAACATAGGGTGCTATAGAACACTAAAAAGGGACCATCCTTTTAAGAATGAAAAAAGAGCAGAGCTAGGAAATACAAATCAACTCTGTAAGATATTGTTTGGGATCCTGATTAAACCACACATGAAATCTGAAGAACTTCTTAAAAAAAAATTGTGGGCCGGACACGGTGGCTCACGCCTGTAATCCCAGCACTTTGGGAGGCCGAGGCCGGCGGATCATGAGGTCAGAAGATTGAGACCATCCTGGCTAACACGGTGAAACCCCGTCTCTACTAAAAATACAAAAAAATCAGCTGGGCGTGGTGGCACCTGTTGTCCCAGCTACTTGAGAGGCTGAGGCAGGAGAATGGTGTGAACCCGGGAGGCGGAGCTTGCAGTGAGCCCAGATTGTGCCACTGCACTCCAGCCTGGGCCACAGAGTGAGACTCTGCCTCAAAAAAAAAAAAAAAAAAAAAAAAAAAATGTGACCGAATGTACTTCCATTTTCTATCACTTGCAACTGAAAGAGAACTGAATAATGTAATTGTTATTCAGTGAAACCACAAGAAAAAGTCCTGGAAAGATGCTTTCAGTTCTCTTTAAATAAGAACATTGTGATATTAAGGCTTATTCTGAAATACTACCTGTTGGGTACAATGCAAGCTATTCCAGTTATGAGCACACTAAAAGCCTAGGCCTCACCACTAAGCAATATATCCTTGTAACACAACTGTACTTGTACTCCTAAATCCATAACAATGAAGAAAATAACAAAAAAGACTTATTCTGAATAAGACAATGCTGTCTCATTAACTGGTGGACTCCTTGATATTGCGAGACTCTAGGCAGAAGCAAAGTTACCTTGAGACTGGGTTATTGTGTCTTGGACTGAATACCTTCTGGGCTTCCAACTTAAGCTTACATACCTCTATAAATAAAATGTCTTATACATTTTATCAAACAAATACAACTTTTGAGTACTTCGGGTTTTTAAGTACTCTTCAGTTTAGAATATTACATGTCTATTTTCCAACCCTCATGTCTACCTCTGTGTAGTCAGTATATCGTTCTCTTTCTGCTCTCCATTTCGTAATGTTTAAAAATACTATTAGTATTCTTTATTTTCTCTAGTGGAAAATCTAGATAAAATCTATTGAATAATTTTGCATATATACTATTTTCCATCAACCTAAATAAGACATCAGTAATTGTTGTCATTTTACAAACAAATTTATACTTTGAGGCATCTCTGTAAGAGAGACCGCTAAAATTCTTCTTTTATGAATAAGTAAGAATGTGTAAGCAACATATATTTAATACAGAGAGGGAACCAACTCTGACATTAAGAATAGTCCTCCTTAGTTTCACGTATCAAGTCTCAAACCAAACAGTTCCAGTACAGGTGACGGCTAAAGTGATAAAAAGGAGTTGATTATTGACAGCTCCAAAGGAGGCAATGATCAATAGTTTAGCATAAAAAATAAAAGATTTCAACTGTTTTAAAGTATGCTTTAGGAAGTCAAAATTATAAATGATTCCCCCCAAAAAAGAGTAACTACAGAAACGTACTTTTGCTTTCTCAGTCTCTGACACAATAATGACTTAGCATTTTTAGCTATGATGTTCATTGAGGTTTTATCAGATAACAATAGCTAGATAAGTAGTGTGACAGGTAGAAAATATATCATTTATCTTTAAAAATGAATATATTTAGAATATAATTCAAAGTCCTGAACTATACCCAGACATCCTTTCTTATTGTCCTGTTTTTATTTCCCTAAACGACTTAGGTTTTAACTACCTGCTGTTTTTGATTACAATGTTTCAAACACACAGATTTTTAGATGGTGAAATCTACTTTGGGTTGCACCTACTTTACAGTCCAAGTTTCCCTTAAAAAATCTGATTCTGTGGATCTTCCTGAGTCTGCACATGCTCCACATCCTCTTCTTTCCCCATGGTTTGCATTATTAAAAAGCTTTGACATGGCTCACCATGCTGTGTGCATGAGACATGTTTCTGTCAAAACAAAATCAGTATACTGGGATACACAGCCCAGGCTGGTAAAATTCAAAGGACATTACCTAAATCATTCTGCATATTTTGCTTTTTTCATTTAACGCTGAGATTACAACTAGCCTCTTTTATAATTTTTATTGTTTTTATGGTAAAAATGTGACCAACCCTCAACTTTCTGCATCATAAGAATATTTCACCTAATGATCTATTTGGACATTTAATACCACAGAGCCCAGAAAAGCCTCTGTTTAAGTACCTAGCTGTTTGAGATTTCCATCAACTGAATAAAGATGAAAAGGAGAGGAGGAGGCTCATCACAGGGGTTCTGTTGATAACATTTCATTTAACTTATTTCCATGTAGCAACACAGAACCACAAAAAGAAAACTATTTTATTTAAAATGACAGGGCAACTATGTTATATCCACTGTAAATATGTCCCACCCAGGAAGTGATGATAATGATAATGGGCTGCATTTGCAGTTTAACTCTATGGGGTGATTCTTCTTAGATGAATTCACCTCTTGAGTATATGACACATCCATATTACATCTCAAAGGCTAACAAAATAGTTATTTCACAGATACTGAAATAAAGGAGAGAAAGAGGTTTTCAATAGCTATTTAACAAAGAATACAGAATAATTTATTAAGGAGATTCTAGCATTTAAGTGATATGCCAGATACTGTTAAGATTAGAAAATGGTCAATTTAAATGCGGTTATAATTAGCTGAGGCTAATACCCCTTTCTGTCCTGAACTTGTGGGAGAAATGGAATCTACAAAAGTACCAGGCCCAACAGTTTCAGGATGGATCAGTGATTTGATGCTGATATGTAGAGATAAATGGCGGCTCCTCTTTTATTAATACTATTTCAGCACTGTGAATTACTTAGAAATACTACATTCACAGACCAGTTTTAGCCCTGTGTAGTAAGCCATGATTTGAGATTTTGACCTGAAAAGCTCTCAGAGTAAGTCAAATAGTAGTATTCTAAAACTTTAACATATTGGAAATAACACCTCTAGAAACTACCACTCAAAATTTCACATGGTCAGATGAAATGTGAAAACTATTAAATGAGGTTATGGTTATATTGAGCAGTGCTTTTTGAACTTTTCACCATGGAAATATTGCTGTGGAGGCCTTAGCATTTCCTAGTCCATTTCAAACTCATGAAGTCTCTTTGTTGTCTTGTGCTTTATCTTTTTTTTTTTTTTTTTTTTTTTTTTTTTGACATGGAGTCTCCCTCTGTTGCCCAGGCTGGAGTGCAGTGGCGCGATCTCGGCTCACTGCAAGCTCCGCCTCCTGGGTTCATGCTATTCTCCTGCCTCAGCCTCCCGAGTAGCTGGGACTACAGGCGCCTGCCACCACGCCCGGCTAATTTTTTGTATTTTTTAGTAGAGATGGGGTTTCACCATGTTATCCAGGAAGGTCTCGATCTCCTGACCTCATGATCCATCCACCTCGGCCTCCCAAAGTGCTGGGATTACAGGTGTGAGCCAACGCACCCGGCCACTCTTGTGCTATATCTTTAACAGATGTTTTTTGTCACAATATTAAAAATAAAGTTTTATACTTTGTGTTAGTGGTAGGTAGACTTGGTTGTGATTATGCTGTATGTGCGGTTTGTATTCTGCCTTTTTCCCCACTTGGCATTATAAAACATTGTCTCAAATTACCAAAAATGCTTTCATTTCCCAAATCTCCTGTGAGAACTAATTCTCAATCAAGATGAATTTTGATTATCCTCTGATTTCTCGTACTGCTAGCATATTGCTAAGTAATCTGGTGTGTATGTGTACCACAAATTGTGACTCATAGTATTAAACTACAAAATTCTACCCTGCAGATTAGTGTGTATTGATATAACGTTTACTTGATAGCGTGAAACTATGTGATTGGTACCATTTCAGCAAAAAAATAGGTTCCCTAATAGGAGTCATCGGCACTGCTGATATTACTAACAGAAACACATGGTACCACATCGGGCAAAATCTTTACTATGCCTTTGAAAGAGGCTCAGATAACAATAAAGTTCCAGTTTTTGCTTCTGAATTTGAAGCAACATTATAAGGATAGTGCAGCTCAAAGAATCTGATTGTGTCTGGTCAGCTGGTTAGGGCCATTTCTGGCTTGTCGGAGAAATATTTCTTTTCCTTGTCATACTCCCAGGTGCTACTGCTGAGCAAATGGGAACATCACTGTCAGAAGTATTCGAAAAGAACAAAAAATTGATTCGGACAATCTGTGTGCTCTTGCCATTGATAGAAACACAACTGTGACTTGGGGTATGACCAGGGTCACGGCAAGGTTAAAAGAAAAGCACCCAGGAATTCTCTCTTGTCATCAGCTTTTTAAACTGACTGTTCTTGGCTGCTGCAGGCAATATGTAAGTTTCCGTCAAACACCAAGGTAGGTTTAATAGTATTTACAAGTTGCTCTTAGGATTTTCCCAAGAGGTAGCTACTTTTACAATGGCAGAACACTTACAATGTGAAGTTTGGATGTTTAGCACACCTATAACATTTGAGGACTTCTTGATAACACAGAACTATAAGCCTATTCATAACTAACAATTATACGAGCTGTGTGTGAAACTGAGTCTAAATACTCTTCCTCCTAAAATAACTCTTTTAAGCCTGATACTGATTCCATTAAATTTAAAAGAAATAATTTATTCTTAGAAAACAAATGTATCGAAAGATCAATTACTATAACAAAGCAAAGGTCATCTAGTCTCTTAAAAGACTACATGAAAGTATGTGGAAATTCATTTGAATAAATATGTGGTGCAAAAATGAAAGTTGCTGAATACATTGCATATTGGTTCATTCTGTGGCAGAAAGTTAAACTACAAGCAAATAATTAAAACATTTGTTAAGGCCATAAGCAGACTCAAAGCAACATTATTGTATATGTGATTCAAACGTCAATACTGCTTAACAATACCTCAATTAAATAATTTTCTTTAATGTGAGAAGGTAGAATTATTTTTATAATTTTCATTAAACAGGATCTCCTGTCATAAAAGTTCAAGGTTTTATACTTTCACTCAGACTTATTTGCCAACATTTAGCCATAAACATAGCTGTTAGGACACACAAGAGCTAGAATAATATCTGCGAAGAGCTAAACATATTCGCTTTTGTGGGTCAATGAAAAAAATAGTCCTGGAGTAAGATCCAAAAGGGAACAAATTAAATAATTGCTGAAGAGACAAGCGTATGAGTATTTAGAAAAATTTTATTGTAACAGCTGAGAAATTTTTAAAATCTGTCAATGCTCTTAATTCTGTATCATCCAGTCTTTGGCAAGATAGACCATGGCGGGGGGGGTGCATATATATATATATATATATATATATATATACACATACTTGGCTTGGGACTAAAAAAACCAAGGCATTGAGAAAAGAAAAAGTAACTCATGACAATATGTCAGGCATTAGTGCAAACAGTTCACAAACAGTAAGTTCAAGGACCTGTAACTCAACAAGCAACAATATGCATGTTCTTGAATGCAGATTTTGAACAGACCAGATTTCTTTTTGTGTTTTCACATTTACAGAACACAACTCCAGTGTGCCGTTTTCAGAGGTTCACTGTGAGTCCTCTAAAGGTTTCTTTATCATTTAATATTATAAATAATTATGCTCCTGGGCTGCAGTTCAAAGCTCAGTACAGCACTCGTATAACACCACAGGCAGGTCAGGTGACCTTTCTCCAATTCTCCTCTCTCTGGTGCTGAGGACAGACAAAGTGATATGTCTGTCATACGCCATTACCATTAGAACAGAATCTTGTTCTTTTATTACAACTGAACTCCGCCAGATTTCTCAGCAGGAATGCTAAGTGAAATCAATGTCTTGGATTTCCAGGCTGAGCTTGGAGGTCACAGCCACTCTATCATTTCTCAGCATTATCCTTTCTCTCTCGCGCACACACTCCCCAAGCCACCAACTGGCACACAGCAGATTGAAAACAGCATGCATCAGAGGACTCATGCTGTACAATTTTACAGTCTTTTGGAGCCCCCTCCTTTCGATTTCCCCCTTCCATTTTTTGCAAATTGCAAATAAGTTTTGTTTGTGTCCCTCTCTAGAGTTCTGAGTCAAAGGCAAAAGCATACCCAGGAAGAAAGGCAGGCAATACAACTCAGAGAACATGGTTAATTTTCCACAGCTATCAATAAGATCATTAATCTCACATCATCACCTGGTTGTGACTTATGATTTCATTGTTCCAAACAGCAAATGTACTTTTAACTTAAACCATCAATTTGGTTTATGCCAGGTAGGTATGTAGACAACACAAAACCCTTTAATAAAATAACTCTATTTTATGGTAACATAGACATGAACATTTGCCAATAAAACACACAGAAAATACCCCCAAGACATTCATAATCGATTGCTTAAAAACATAAATATGATAATAAATGATGGCTATTATACATGAATAAAATAGCTTTGTGAAGTCAAAATGTTTATTATGCTATGTATAAACGTCAATTCCAGGCTACAAGAAAGTAAATTCATGTATTGTAATGGGTCCTCTTTATTTATTATAGGTTGTATTTTTTTGGCCATGTTCTTCATTAAAATGACAACAGTATTACTTATTGGTGTGGCTATTTTTAACCCACTACATTTTACTGCTGAGCTAAAACACAAACACACTGAAGAAATCTTTTCTGACAATAAGAGTGGTTGTGGACAGTATGCTAGAGGGCACTGAGCAAAGAAAGGGCATATTTTTATTAAATCGTTGTTACTTGAAAAGAGGCACTTTATTCTTAGTTAAACCTTTGTGTATTTTACAATAATTGTGGATGGAAAGAAGTACAACACCCACTATAAACCACATAAAGTTTTCTTAAACTTTATATGATAGAAAATTCATAAAGGCTCACTTTCAAAAAGTCATTGAATTTCAAAGAAGAACTATATTTTTAAATAATGTATAATCATGGCTATAGAAACACAATCTACTTTTTCACTTGTATTAAATAAACAGAGGTATATAACACCACAGGATGTGGCAGATTTCTGACACTACTGAAATACTCATTCTCTTTTGCACAAAGTCTATGAGGTTCTATGAATGTATAGAACTATATAGTTCATAAAGCAATTTCTTAATCTTAGCAAAGCAAACCTTCAGTTACTTTAGCATTTTCCATGGTTACCTAAATAAAATCATTGTAGCGACTGCTCAATAAACATTTGAATGGATAAATGAGTGAATGGACAAATTAGTAGATGCATAAATGGATGAGGCTGACTGACATCAAAAGCTTCATGATGATTTGTATAAGTAATCTGGTGAGAAGGTATCAATGATAAAAAGTGAATGTAGGTGTAAGAAAAAAATCCGTCAGCCATTTAAAAGTGAGCTACATATCCTAAAATCATAAAGCAAAATGTCCTGACGTAAAGCCTCATTACGAAACATGATGTGAAATCACATCAATAAATCAAGGGAAAAAACAGAGAATAATACCTCACAGACACACATTGTCTGTGTGTGACAATGACTATGCTGCTACAGCTATTTATTTTATCCAAAGTACATTTTTCTTTACAGGTAATACATGAAAACTGCTGGTCCACAGAAACACTAAAATTATCACTACTTTAAAATTAAATGTATTTAAGAAATGTTAAAATTATTACCAGTTTTAAAAACTTACATGCTGTTGTGATTATAAAGAAAAGCAGACCAGGCCTTAGATATACATTAAGCACAGAAGATGCACAGTCCATTAAACAACTGAAATAGATCTTCAAAGTGGCATATGTATACTCCTACTGTCAATGTAGTGTGTACAATAATTTTCATTAAATATTTCTACATATTGCTGAAAAAGCATGGTCTAAGGTCCTTGTCCAGGTTAAGTTATATTCCCCAAAATATTTGTCTTTTAATAATATGGAAAAGGACTGGGGAATTCTAGGAAGATGGAGGTTAGAGTGCCCTTTTCCAAATGATTGATTGATCCCTTCTCCTTACTGATTTACTCTCTGGAGTATACAATAACTCTGAAAGACATCCTGACAGAGCCACCAGGGTACTAGAGAAAGATTTTTTGAGGATTCTTGGATTTTTCTCTTTTAATATTTTCTAATCCTTTTCTCTGTGTATTTCAATGATTGTGACTATTCTTACACTGTTTTGTTTTAGACATGTCAACATGGCATTCATGGGATGGAGAACAGAAGCAATTTTCTACATAATTCAGCAAAATAAATATATATATAAAATATATATATATATATATATATTTTGCTGGTAAACTAACTGCGTCAGCTTTCTACTTAACATTTCCTAATAGAATCAAATTATTTGTGGTTGTTTCCCTGAGTAATCTCAAGGAATACTGCTTTACGATCACTCTTCTTACTTCTTGCATGGAAAGCTTAATATATTTATACAATATCATTTAAGCAAGATCTTAATACAAATACAAATTTAAAATCAATTTTTCTCTCCTTCTAGGCCAAGAAACATACATTATTTGACTTTTCCCTGATCCTTTTCCATGTGTTCTAATGTTTTCTTAGCTTAAAAACCAAAACCACTTCTAAATTGCCTTACTTCTAACACTACTATTACCTTCATTTCCTTACATGATAATCTCATTGGGCGGGTGATTTATCTAAAATTATACCTACACTGTACCACATTATAACAGTCACTGATATTTTTAAAACACCTTCTGTAGGTCCTAATTCTACTTGTATTTTAAGGTCTATTTCAGTTTTCCCTTCTCTGGCAAACTCCTGATGGGATCTCTCCCTGAAGATGATCTCTGCCTCCCAATATAACTTCCAATGTACTTTATCTGTAACTTTTTACAAAATTTATTTTGTATCATAGAGTATGGCTATTTGGCTATTTTTATAAATATCTACATAATCAGACTGTAAGCTCCTTGGGTACAAGATACCCATCTGATAATCTTTTTTATCTCTCACATTTTCTACTATAGTTATCGATACACGCATATTGAATAAATGAATAAATGAATGATTCAATGTATGCAGATAAGTTGACATGCACACCTGTTGCCCTTACTTGATTCTTACCTCCTTGTACACCCAGAGTTTAAGCTAGCTGCTGGCATACAATAGACATTTAATAAATACCATTGAATGAAAAATAAAGCTAAGTGGCAAGACAGTGGCTTCTTCAAAAGGGTACCTTGCTTTTGGGTGGTGGGCTGTTTGTGCTCTTGTCTGTGTGAATGCTGGTAGGAGATACAGCAGCACCAAGGTTGCCTTGGGGTATGCCTGGCAGCTTCCCTCCTGGAGATACCTGCATTGCAGCTAGCTGGGCAGCATATAACTGCTACAGAAGAAAAAGAGAGAGAGGGAGAAAGAATACTGTGAATAATAAAATAAACGTACCATTCAGAAAGTACATATATTCAGATATGGTATTTTTCCTATGAGCATTTTGTTTAGTGCACTGGAATATTTAAAGAAAGAAGCTGTCACCTCAGATTTCATTACTTTTTAGGGGAGAAATGACAGATACTACATATAAGTGATCTCACCTTCAGTATGTCCAAGGACTCAAAGCAAATAAGAGCCATCCAAATTTACTTTATTCCAATGTCTATAGAAGGCAAGTATAACATATTATCTAGTTAAGAGCTCTTTATATTCTACTTTAAATTTACACAGTGTGTTACAAAAGGATGCTTCATATACACAGTAATTTTCTACTATCCATATTGGTTCAAGCCCTGTATGCCTCTTTCTTTGATTTCTTGAAATGGGCACCCGAAACAATTTTTCTGAGTGTTAGGTGGGTAGAAGTACAGAAAAGGCACTGAAAGGCAACGGGAAAAAAGTACTTGAAGAAGATTATCTGGTCAGTCTACCTACATTGATAAAAATTAACTGGATGCTTGCCAGAAGTTCACTTTACTTCATGATATGTAAACACAGACAAATCTCAAATTATCTTGACGACTAAGGTTTTAAAGAATACTGCCTAAAACACATATTCTTCCACTAAGCCATTACTTATTCTTATTAAATAAGCAATAAAATTGTCCAAGTAATTAATAAAAGAAAAATTTTACTTTGATAATGATAGCCGTATGATGTATTATCCTAAAACAAGGAAGTTGCTTTAAATTCAAATATTACATCAAATATTTAATTATTACTCTTTTCATTTTCCTTTCACAACTTTGTTAAAATTTTAAATAACTATGTAAGAAAATAATTATTAAATAAATATATCATATATTTAAATTACTAAATATTTAATTATATATTTAATATTAAATAAATTTTACACACACACACACACATCCCAGTTTCTTATTTCTCATTTGTCTTGAGATTCCATGGATAGCGTTTACAATGCAAGCTAGAATTTCTACAATGAAGCAAGAAAAAATGCTCTCAAGGAGAAGTACTGTGAAATAGTTATCTGGATTATCTTGATTTTTTTTCTGAAAGAGAAATTCCAAACAACAAAATTGCTCATGATAAGCCACAGATCCTGATTAGCAGTGTCTCTCTCTAAATAAAATAATGAAAACTGAAGACAGCACACATTTATGTGAAAATACACATACATAAGTCTCCAGATACTATAACCTAAATAAAAATACATTAAAGTTATCGATAAAAATTATGGCTTAATTTTATGCAAATTAATGTAAAATATATCCCAGAGAAAACTAAAAGACCAGAAAAATATTTTTATATTAATAATTGTCTCATAAGGGTTTTATGTGTTGGAATAATTACATCTTTTCTTACCCCAGCCAACTGGAAAGAATAAAAATGATTGTCTTCAATTACATAAACATTAAAAGGATAATTCACTTCAAAAAGGAAGACTTGAGAGTTTACTATTTAAAGAAAAATGATCAGAATTGATCCATTTCTCCCATCTGTCTTAAAAATCTATGCATTATATACTGCAATTTAAAAAGCACTTCTTTCTGGCATCATTCTAAACTACTTATAAAGTCTTTAAGAAAATAACCAGTTATCCTAGGATATCACTTTACAGATTAAAACTCTGACCAGTAGAATGCATGTACTAATATTGAATTTAAAAACTATATGTATATTCACAAGTTAACTAGATAACTATATTACATTTTATGAATTTCATATTGTATTGTATATTGTATTCTTGTCTTTAAAAATGATTTCACTGGGTATTATTACTAGAGGATAAAAGTTCCTATTACTGATTCGTTATACACTAAAAATGAAATTATTTTATAATTACTAATGACATGGAACATACAATATCTGTGATAAAGAAAATGTGAACAAAACAGTTATTCAAAATTTAATTTTGATTCTTCATATTACTGACAAAATTATTGGTTATTTGTGTTATTTAGATATTTAAATCGCTTAACCAAGTAGCCATTAAATGTGATTCAATATTTAAATATTAGGCACCAGAGACAGTCATAATTTCCAAAGAAATATAAGAACTATTATTAAAAATACAAGTATAAAAACTCTAAAATAGTTTATTGAATTAAAGGATTTAAAGGATGGAGAAGACACATATTTGGAAATAAAAGTTATACATATACTTTCATCGTTCAAATAAATATATTTACCCTTTTAAATATGGAATTAAGGTGTATCTGAGTTAAATTGTCCTAAAAGAAATGCTTTTGAGTTGAAAGGGAAGAAACATTTGTAAAAGAGATAGACCCAGTTGAATATGCAATATTTCTATAATAACAGTATAATATCATTTGCCTTGCTGGTATTTCTACAGAATACAGAGACGGAATGTAATTTATGATGAGAATTTCATAAACCTGCTATTCAGT
Organism: Homo sapiens; assembly: GCF_000001405.40. Taxonomy (NCBI): domain Eukaryota; kingdom Metazoa; phylum Chordata; class Mammalia; order Primates; family Hominidae; genus Homo; species Homo sapiens. Next base: position 23,607,013 of record NC_000012.12, read on the forward strand.
TCGAGGATGGCTAACATTAGGTTGCTCTTCTCTCCCCCAAATTGCCCATAAACCCTTTCTCATATTTGGCTTCTGTGCAAGAGGACAAATTTTAGAATTACTCTTCTCCAACTGTGATCAGTTTTCCACTATTCCCACATCACTGCATTTTCCACCAAGCATATCAGATTTTCCTGGTTCACCAAGGTATTGAAGTAAGGCCAGGAAATATCTATTTCAACACATTTTGTGTCATAGATATGTTTTCCTAAAAGTTATATTCTAACACAAAAGCAAAAATGAACCCCGTCTTAGAGAATTTAACATACTTTGAGTCTGCTCAGATAAGATCAATCAGGAATTTTAATACTCTTGCATTCTAACTTGGCCATTTACAAGTTAATAGGAAATTTCAGTAAAATTAAAGAAGCTGACAATAATTCTTCTATCTGGCTACATATGTAAGAGTGGATAATTTTTTTAAAATGCTGCTCTGACTTATTTTAATTCACACTTTTAAAAAATTATGCTCCTTTTTCTCTCCATTAAAATATGTGTAGTGAATGATTTTAAAACAAATAAGCCAAGAAATGATGAGCAGTTTCCTTCTTTTATTAAACGTTCTTAAAGCAAAATCAAGCCTAATAACAGGTGTCTGCCCTAATAACAGGTGATGTCTACAGTCACAGAACCATTGGTTGACCTTGTAGATGGGAAAGGGGCATGAAATCTAGTGACCACTGGAAGGCCACCTGAAATAACAAGCACCTGGAGAACTATACAATCCACTTATGTTTGTACGTATGTATGCCTGTATGTCTTAAAGTGAAAATCTGGTTAACATCTTTCTTTAAATAATAACAGATAAAACCCAAAGTTAAACATAAGGTATATTATGATGAATGTATTTTTATGATAGTGAAGTTGTCTAAAACATCGGAAACAAACAGGTGACACTAAACAAACTGATGACACTAAACATAAAAGGCTGAGCTGAGCCAGGTGTGGTGGCTCACACCTGTAACCTCAGCACTTTGGGAGGCAGAGACAGGAGGACTGCTTGAGCCTGGGAGTTTGAGACCAGCCTGGGCAACATAGTGAGACGTTGTCTCAAAAGAAAAAAGAAAAAAAAAAAAAAAAAAAAAAAAAAGGCTGAGCTGAAAGAGAACACTCATTTCATTAGTTTAACCAGACTCACAGTATCTTAGCCTCGCAGAATAACAGAATAACTTGACTCTTACCTTGAAACTAATGTGTTAGGGATTGGATGTGATCTCTAAAACTTCACAACTCCTCAGAGCTTTCCAGTCTTTCTATTGCTTAAAACATTGCATTCTCATTCTCTTTCACTACCCTCATACCTGTACCTCCTTTAGACAATGAGTTTTTAAGGAAACAATTACAAATGATTAGGTTAGAATTTATTATTGATTACTTCGTGTCTTCCTGGTACTCAAAGTTCATAAATATGTTTTTACATACATGTATATAAATATAAGCAACTCCTATTTTTGTCTCAAATTGCTCCATAACCTAGATTTTTGTCTCTTCAACATTTTAAGCTCCTTGAAAGATCATGCTTTCTACTTCTAGTGGAAAACTTAAAAAGCAAGAGCTTTGGACAAGGCAGAACTGAATTCTAATTGCAACTCTAAGCCATGTGACCTTGGGCAACTTCTCTGAGCCACAGTTCCTTAATATGTAAATTCAGGGATAAATGAAATTGACCTTATAAAGGTACTGTGAGAAATGAATCACATGATGTGTACAAAACACTCAGGAAAGCACATGGTAAAGAATGCCTGATCAATAAAAAATAGTTATAATTATTAATGGATTAAATACACAAAGTAAGAAACTAGGCAACATATATGTGCTGACTCTGGACTATTATTGATATAGCAGAGGAGAGAGAAAGTGTACAAACATAGTTTCTGCCTTAAGTCAAGACTGATAAACAGAAAACAATGAGACTATAAGTATACTGTAACTGTATGTCACTGTCGAAGGTGTTAAGAGAGAAGAAATGCATCAGTGTGTTCAGGTATGTTTTCATAGAAGAAATGGAGTTAAGGTGGACATAGAAAAAGGAGATGGCATTCTAGGAAGGCAGTACAATTAAAAGAAAGGCATGAGAGCAGGAATGAGCTAGTTGCTGCAAGGGAAATATAGAGATTGGTGTGGAACAGTGAGTGGTAGAAAGGGCAATGCATACATAGCCATGTTAGAGGAAAATAACATTAGTTTTGTAGGCTACACTCACCTTATGGAAGCTTTTGAAACATAAGCAAAAGAGTTTTAATTGAATATGTAGTAAGAGAAAGCCACTGACTGTTTGAGAGCAATATATATGATGTTTTTTAGCCAGAATATTGATAAGACAGAAATATCAGCTATGAAATTATCAACATTTAACAGTGATAATGCTGATCATAGGAACTTGAATTGCAGTAACAGTTGTGAAATGAAGACGGAAAAAATAATTTCAAGTTCATAGCATACTGGGCACATAAAAATTGCCAATTAACTGGGGAAAAGAAAAGACAAACAGAGGAACAGGATGATAATACAATGTATATGAAGTCTTCATAAGTATGTAAGTAATCTCACCCATCATCTATTCTCATTTGTGTATATTCATCATTTATCCTTTTAAGAAAGCCAAAACACATATACTATATTTTTCTTTTATTTCTTTCTTTCCTTCTTGACAAAGGAAGTATTAATTCACACAGAGAGGATTTCCCTGAATGACTAGATCCATTCAATCATGAACTTCCCCTAAAGTGTGGCTCAATAAAACACTTTTAAAAAATTATGAAAAGTGTGATCAGTTCTCCACCACCACCAACATAAGCTTGAATTGTATCTAACTTACTCAAGTCTAATCAGTAGTTTTTCTTATAATTTATTATTATGTGCACCAAATCACTGCTGGGCAGTGGGCTGGCAGTTCATTAACAGGCATTCTTTCTGCTCATCTCTAATGGCCCACTATGGGGCTAGAAAAGGTCTGGCAGGATAACAGATATTTTAACTTGTACTAATTAATTGTTGCTATTTTGGGAAAAAAAATAGTATAATTGTATTTGGATGACATAGCTTTTATGCTATGGTTAGAATCAATAGTATTAAATCAATCATGCTTTTATGAAGATACCCATAAAAATACCTTAAGCAAGTACTTTTCAGTGTGAGGAGTAGAGAAATTCTACAATCAGCTTATTTAAATTCTAAGCTAGTCTATTTCATTAATACCTAGAGGTGGTAAATTCTTGCCACTTTTCAATAATAGGTTACTTTCCCCAAATTGCTAAAAACACAACTTCTCTGATTGACTACTAGTCCACTGTCTAACCGCCATCTGGAGTATTTGGATTCAGTGCATTAGGCACTGACAAAAATATCTATCAAGATTTATTGCCCCAAACCATTTACTGACCAGTAAACTCCTTGAAGGCAGAGATTATGTCCCTGCTAATCAATGCTTTATCAGAAAATTTTAAAAACAAGGAACAGTAAAATTGAACAAATGCAGAAAATGACTATGTAAAATATTATTAATATAGATCTCTTGTACATATTTAATATATTTCATAATAGTGACTATACATAAAACAAATTTTTAAAATCCAAAATGAATTTGGCATGCTTGTACAATCCAAAGAATTAGAAAGAAAGGCTCATTAGTAATATAGATAAAATTCACATTCATTCACTCATTTCATTTGCTTGAGAGGAAAAAAATATGAATTTAAATCTTATCAGCATAAGAACAAAGTAAATTAATAACCTCATTGTAGTCATAATCATAACAGTAACTGAATGTCTATTTGCAAAATAAATACCAAAAATGGGTGAAGATTATTTGAAAAAAGTTAAAAGTATCTTTTCAAAAGGCAACAGAACCAAGAGTTGAAGCATATGGATATTCTGCAGTATTTTGGAAAAGACAGATGACAAATGCCTTCTTTTTGATAAATAAATATACACAATTTACTTGCCGAATCTTAAATATTTGTTATTTAGAAAGTAAAAGATATTTAGTAGGAGTTACGGTTGCTGGTAGGTATAAGCTGTTTCTTTGGGATCCTTTTAGTTTGCTTAAAGTTTAATTTTCTATTTTATAAAATTATTATTTGACCAATGTCTCCTCTTTCCCCCTTGCCTTCTACCCTGGTAATCACTATTCTACTCTCTCCTTCCATGAGTTTGACTGTTTTAGATTCCACAGGTAAATGAGATCACATGGTATTTGTCTTTCTGTGCCTTGCTTATTTCACTTAACAGAATATGCTTCAGGTTTATCCATGTTTTCACAAATAACAGGATTTTTTTTTCAAGGCTGAAAAGTATTCCATCGTGTGTGTGTGTGTGCGTGTGTGTGTGTGTGTGTGTGTGTGTATTTATACATATATCTCACATTTTCTGTATCCATTTATCTACTGATGGACAATAAGGTTGATTCCATGTCTTGGTTATCGTAAATAATGCTGCAATCAACACTGGAGTACAGATATCTCTTCAACATGCTGATTTCATTTCCTTTGGATACATGCCCAGAAGCGGGATTGCTGGATCTTTAATTTTTATTTTAACTGGGATCTTGCTACAGGTCTCCCTTTTGTGTGCCCAGGCAATCTGGATAAAGGCACAGGAGACAGAGATGATGCCATATACAGTCACTTACCCAGGAGCCAGCAGCATATGACAGTGTATGGTTTGATCCAACTATTTTCCTTTACTTCAGGCATGGATTAGGAGATGGAGATATTTCTACCTTATTGTGAAGACAGTGCAAAGTATGTTATGTCCACCATCCTCTCTCTACCCTTACTCTCCCCCTTTTCATCCTCCCTACATTTCTTCTCCCCCAAATCACCAACTTCATTAAACTTCATAGGAGAGCTGGGCACAAAAGGCATTTTAAATTAAAAAAAAAAAAACACATTAAGATTACAACTGAAATATGTCTTTCTTAAGTACTGTATGATAAAACATACTGATTCCTAAAGATAATTTGTGAACTTTTTACACTGTTATTATCTGAATGGAGAGTGATAAGAGCATGCATACCATTTAATACTATTTTTGTGAAATTGTTTAAAATTATTTTTATACGTATTATCCTTTTCTCCCAGTGTAATCTCATATCAAACACCAGTATATAAAACAGAGAAAGGAGAGGTATGCCATAAATGAATATCAATAAAATATATTAAAAATATGTAAAATTTATTGATATACATTAGATGTACATATTTTGAGGGTACATGTGATAATTTGATACATTCATATAATCCAAGTCAGGTCATTGAGATTTTTAAGTATTTTATTAAAATGTGACCAATGAGATTGTTTAGTTCACCCCAAGAGTTTAAGTAGGCATAAGGAAAAAGTTGTAATCCTTTTTCATCCTCAGTGATAAAGTCCTCACTCAAAAATAAATAGCTGTCACTTCTAAAATTGCACATAAACAAATATATAGACTTACATCTTCTAAAAGAACATTATAGAGCTAAAATCTTGATGATTAATAGCACCTCCCAGGTCAAATATACTTATAAAAATGGAAGATTTCTTTTGAGTCCAGGGTTTGAAATGTGGCAAGAACAATTAACATATATGCAATGTGTTAAATATTTGGAATAGAGATTTTAAAATATATGTCATCTATTATGATTTAAAAAAATTGTTGAATATGACCTGTTAAAGTTTAAATAAAACCTAAAAAGATATGTACTATATATATTTGACGGAAAAGTATTTGTTTATTTCTTCTTTCTCTTCCTGTTTTTAAGAGGAGGAACAGGGAATATCATTTGTGAGCAAAAATTCAGAAAGCAATTTCAAGGCTCCATAAGTGTTATCTTTATAGCTTAATTTCAGCTTCCTAATGTAACTTAAATGTGGAGTTTAAAGAGAAACTAATGTACTGGAGAAAATCTTTCAAAACACAGCAGCATGTTTCAGTATGAATAAATTTGCTTTGCCCATTATTTTTCATAATGTTTTTTCACATTATCATAGAAAATTATCATAGCAACTTGAGTTTAAACATGGACTTTCCCTAACACTGTCAGCATTTCTTTTGCATGTTCTTCAAGTGTAATGCATGAAAACCACGATAGGCCTTCACTGTGCTGAATACCAGGACAGAAGTACAGATAGGAACTCACATGTCGAAGGTATAAAAATTTATAATTCATAAGTCAATGAACTGCCTAATTAAACATGTTTCATTCTCCCGTCTTGACAAACCTATTTTCAAAATGACCTGGATGCAAATCAAAAGCAGAAGAGATACTGCTTCACACCCATTAGGACGACTCCTATCAAAAGAGAAAAAAAAAAAAGCACCAGAAAGTAACAAATGCTGGCAAGGATGTGGAGGAATTGGAAACTTGTATATCGCTGATGGGACTGTGCAATGCTCCTGTCACTGTGAAAAATAATATGGTGGTTCCTCAAAAAATTAATGATAGAATTACTATATAACCTGGTAATTTTACTTTTGGTCATACACAAAAAAGAATTGAAAGCAGGATCTCAAAAAGATATCTGTACACCCATGTTCACAGCAGAATTATTCACAACAGCCCAAAGGTAGAAATAATTCAAATGTCCACTGATGGATGAATGGATAAACAAACTGTGCTATATACACACAATGAATTATTATTCAGCCTTAGAAAGAAATGAAATTCTGGCACATGGTACAACATGGATAAACCTTAAAGGTATTATGCTATGCTAAGCAAATAAGCCACTCACCAAATAACAAATATAGTATGATTCCATTTATATGAATTACCTAGAGAAATTAAATTCATAGAGACAGAAAGCAGAATGGTGGTTTTCAGGGGCTCAGGGGAGGGAGGAATTAGGAAGTTAGTGTTTAATGACTACGGACCTTCAGTTTGGAAATCTGGAGGACAGGTTTGAATTTAGAATTCTTGGTCTCCTTGCAGCTCCATGTCAAAACCTGGTGGCCCAAGGACAGCAGGTTTGGGCCTGCGCCTGTGTCCCTCCTCTTCCCACCCCTAGCTCCATTCAAGAGACAAGGAATCGCTTCTGTCCTAAATAGGCTCATCATCTTGACTTCGACTGACTTGTAAAGAGCTTCTGAAGTGGGGGCCAGGATCTGACATGGCTGCAGTCCTGCTACATATGTCCTCAAGGAAGTGCAGGATGAAGTTAAAATGCAAGAATATTCCAGGCAGAAGGAACATCACGTGCAAAGCCATAAAGTTAACCTTCAAATCAACCAACAAAATATGTTTATTAGCATTTAAGACTTTTCTGTACACAGCAGAAGACCCTCCTCCCCCTTTTTGAAATAACACATTCCTTTTACTTCTCTTTGGCCAGATGTGAGGTAAAGCTATTTTGTTGTCCCCACTACTGGGGCAATGCTGGAAGAGACTGTAGAAAAAGAGATCTGGTTTCTTTCACTTAGCGTAACATTTTTGAACTCTCTCCAAGGTGCAGCATGTATCAGTAGCCTGTTATTGTACTGTTGAAAAGTATTTATTTGCATGGGTGTATAATATTTGTTTATCCATTTATCTAGCTGATGGATAGTTGGATGATGTTTTCCAATTTTCCAGTGAATAATCCTGCTATGAACATTCCGGTACAAGTTTTTGTGTGTTTTCATTTCTTCTGCTTATCCATGTCCTAGGATTGGATTTGTTGAGTAATGTGGTATCTTCATGTTTACCTTCTAAGGAAATTGTCAGACTTTTCTGAAGTGGCTGAACCATCTTTCATTTCCATAGCAACGTATGAAGATTCCAGTTTCTCTATATTTTCTTTCTTTTTTTTGGAAACAGAGTCTCACTCTGATGCCCAGGCTGGAGTGCAATGGCACAATCTTGGCTCACTGCAACCTCCGCCTCCCAGGTTAAAGCAATTCTACTGTCTCAGCCTCCTGAGTAGCTGGGATTACAGGCGTGTGCCACCGCGCCCAGCTAATTTTTTTGTATTTTTAGTGCAGACGGGGTTTTACCATGTTGGTCAGGATGTTCTCGAACTCCTGACCTCGTGATCCACCTGCTTCGGCCTCCCAAAGTGCTGGGATTACAGGCGTGAGCCACCGTACCCGGCCTTATATTTTCATCAATACTTGGTATTGTCTTTTTAATTATAACTATTTTGGCAGGTGTGAAGTGGTATCTCGTAGTTTTAATTTGCATTTCTCTAATGATGTTGAGCATCTTTTCATGTACTTATTAGCCATTCCTGTCTTTTTTGGTAAAATATGCATTCAGATCTTTTGCTTTTTTTAAAAAAAATTAAGCTGTCTTATTATTGAGTTGTAAGAATTACTTATATATTTGAGTTTTGTTTTATTTTAAATTTTTTAATTTTAGGTCCAGGGGTACATGTGCAGGCTTGTTATACAGGTAAACTTGTGTCAGGGGAATTGTTGTGTAGATTATTTTGTCACCCAGATATTAAGCCTAGTACCCAATTGTTATTTTTTTCTGTTCTTCTCCCTTTTCCCATTCTCTACCTTCAAATAGGCCCCAGTGACTCTTGTTCCCCTCTGTGTGTCCAGAAGTTCTTATCATTTAGCTCTCACTTATAGGTGAGAACATGCAGTATTTGGTTTTCTCTTCCTGTGCTAGTTTGCTAACGATAATGGCCTCCAGTTCCATTTATGTTCCTGCAAAAGACACGATCTCATTCTTTTTTTATGGCTGTATAGTATTCCATGGTGTATATGCACCACATTTATCCAATTTATATTTCTTTAGGTATATGCCCAATAATGGGATTGTATTTATATCCCGTAATGTATTTTACAAATTGAGCTGCCTTATTATTGAGTGGTAAAACTTCTTTATATATTTGAATTTGACTTTAAAGGGTAAAACCTATCAGAGAGACTGTGCAAGAGTCCAGTTTAATAGTACTGTATAGCTATTATCAAAATATTCATAATAATAAACACCATAATGGTGGAAAAAGGTAATACATATAGATAGTTACCTCTCAAATGAATTTTTTATATACTTACACAAAAAGTAATTTTTTATTCTTTAATTTTCAAAAATCCTAACAGAGGAGAGGTACAATGAGGGTTCTAAAGGGATATGTGTTCTTTGTATCCGTCAAGGAATACTGGGCATGCCAAGGTAGGACTCTGAACATTGACGACTTTCATTAACCACTAAGGTGACGCCTGGAAAAAATGAAGAGTAGACAGGGCTGACAGCCAGCTCTCAGGACTGAGACTCTTGGTCAAACCTGAGCGGAAAGGGACAGGGGTAGAGAATAGATGGAAAGAATTCTCCGCTAACCTCCTAAGTGGTTAATCCACAGAAGTGGGTGGAGGCTGGGATTGTGAAACATTTCTCCTGCTGCTTCCCCAGTTCTATCACAGACCATGGGGGAAAAGTGATTGGGGAAAGGTGCCTAGAGGAAAGTGGGAAGGGTTGTCACTTAATTTCCAGTCTGGAGTCCCCGTTGGGGAAGAATTCCTCCTGAAGGGAGTAAGGAAGGGTATACTAAGGAATAGAGTCACCGGGAGGAGCAACTTCACATACACATAATCTGAGAGATTTAAAATCTTTTGTATTTGTACACAAATTCTAATGAAACTTGATGGCAAGAAAAAAATGTATTACAGTGAAAGAATGAACAAACTCAGACTTGCTATAGATTTGTCCATATGAAGGAGAGCTAACAGCTGTTATGTCAGTGGAGCATAATTGAAAAAACAAAGTTGCAGTTGTTGGGTGTATAAGGGTTTGAATTATCAGGTCAAGCAAGAAAATGACTTGAGTGGACAAAGGCCTCAAAAGGCTGAAGAGTTAGTTGGTATCACCAGAGGTTAGTGACTGTCTGCTGAGGCTCAAGCCTGTAATCCCAGAACTCTGAGAGGCCAAGGTGGGACGATCACTTGAGGGCAGGAGTTTGAGACGAGCCTGGGCAACATAGCGAAACCCCATTTCAACAAAAACTTAAAAATAAAATAAAATTAGCTGGGCATAATGGCATGTGCAGTCCTAGTTACTTAGGATGCTGAGACAGGGGGATTGCTTGAGCCCAGCAGTTCAAGGCTGCAGTGAGCTGTGATTGTGGCACTGCACTCCAGGCCTGGGCAATAGAACAAGACTCTGTCTCAAGAAAAAAAAAAAAAAAAAAAAGATAGATGGCAGGAGGATAAGCCATCAGGGGAAAAATGTTACCAACTTCAGAAATGAAATTTTCTGCCTTCAGAGAAAACAGGTGAGCCACTGGGAAGCATGCTTGGTGAAATAGGGGGCTTGGAGGTATGGGCTCCAAGGCATAAATTATTATTATGACCCACACTTCCTTGAAAATATCACTCTTGCCTGATATAACTTGGAAAAGCTTGGATACAAAAGTAAATAATTACATCTGGCTATAGTTTGGGTTTTACTGTTAAAAAGCTATAGTGAATACATGTACAGAAGATATAATGTAATTTATTTAAAGCTGCTATCACCAAATATTAATAATACATAGACAATCTTGATTTTTCTATTGCAAATTCAGTCTTACTCAGTGTGATACTTGGATAGAATATGAAGCTATCAATGAGGGGTGGAGTGTTAGGAGGGTGTGAAGACAGCATCCTGCTAAAAATTAAAGATACATTTGAACTTACTTAAATCTTAAGACCTTTTTCACAGGTATGATGCTCTCATGCTGTCTCTGTCACACTGCAGATACTAAAGCCTATAAATAAGAAACACTTCAAATGCACGGGGTTTTAAAAGGCTTTCTTCATTACACACCAATAAATCTTAAACAGCTAGAAAAAAAAAACATTTTGACTTTTATAATTGAAGCAGTTCCTTAAAGAACCAGATATATTTTGCGAGAGTCATGTAAGAACACCCCAACTGATAGTTTCTCTTTCGCTCACTCCCTCCCTGTATTTCTACTCCATAAGCCATCTTCGTGTACTGCACAGTAATCCATTACAATATGTTCCAACATCTGCCTCCCCATATGATGTATGACCTATTCGATTGACCCTTTTTATGCCGCTCCAGACTTGCTGTTTGTTACTGTGGGAGGATGAACACTCTGCATCTATTCCTGAGGTCACCAACCAGCAAATACATCTCCATCTGGCAAGGTAAGAAGGACACTGGCTGGAAGGCTCTTCAGATCTCTCTATGTATCAGTGATTATACTTATATCTTTAATTAGTTTAATTTAGGGAAAAATATTGCTGAAATTCCCTTCAAAGCAACGGTAAGAAGAGAAATGCTTGTTCATCAGGAGAAAAATTTCTGTGGTTACTAAATTTCATTATTTAATTTGGGTATTATGAGAATTACAGTATTATCAGAAAGAGTTCTAAAGCAAACACTTGTCTTTGGCTAAGTTCATATTTGTGAAATCACTGTTCAGTGTATCCCAACAGATTGGGGGGTAGTAATCAAGCCATTTTTAAACAGCATTCTAACTCAATATAAAGACAATTTGAGTTATTTCATATTAAATCAGACTACATATTATTTTGCATGTCAAAAAACATACTTCCAGAGTACATACTTGCTGGAGGCTTGCAAATACTTGAAACACATAAGGGGAGGAAGTACAAGAACCACGATTTTCTCCATGACTACGATATGTTAATCATTTTGCTAGAAGCTTGCATACTATTTCAGGGATCACCATAACAATTTTGTGAGTTTGGTGAGAAAGATGAAAAACGAATTGAACAGTGGTTCAATAACTTGCCAAAGGTTAAACAACTGGTAGTATCAGAAGTCCAAGTGGCCCTGAAATTCTTCTGTGATGTAATGCTACTATGGGAAAACACTTTCCAGATAAAATGTTCTATGATTAAATTCATCTCTTTTGCAGTGGGATAGAGGTGGAATCCCCCACCTGCTGGCCAGTGAAAAAAGGAATTTCCCCTGAACTCTGAGTCAAAAATAATAGTTTCCAAGGCCAAGGGTTAAAGGCTTCAAGAGTGAAAGACTTCTTGAGTCAGTAGTAGCAGAACTCAACGCTCCCTGAAGAAACCACAAAGTCACTTAAGTTTGCTATTATTGTTGTTGTTTTGGTTGCTGTTTTGTTTTGCTGTTATTACTAACAAACAACACATATGAGAGGTTTTAAAAAAGGACTGCTTCCTACGGATTCCGCTCTTACTTTTTTCTTCCTCCTTCCCTCATAAACCTTTAAGATTAAGAAAGTATCACATACAAATATTAGTTTTGGCTCTTTGAGTATACAAATTATGCTAAATAAAACTACATTTCAGGGGAAATCTGGACAGAGAATAACAGCAGCAATAATAATCATAATAGCTGAAGTTTATAGAATGCTTACTGTGAGACATGTCCATGTCATATCTCTTGGAACCTTCTCAACAACCTTAGGGAATAGGTATTATTTTTACTTTATGGAGCAGGACATTGAAGCCAAGAAAGAGTAAAAGTCATCTGTCCAAAGTTGCATAGGTAAGAGATCAAGCTGAAGTTGGAATCCAAATCTTTTTGACTTTTTACAGAGCTCTTAACTCTTAGCCTATGTCTTAGGAATCTATTTTCTGGTCATTTTAATACAGTAGTAGGGTTTGTGTGCTCTGAAACAAAGAGACAAACCTGGGAAGGGTAATTCAGAAAGCACCTTTTATGGAGGCTGGGCTCTTCTGATAAAAAGCGATAGTATTGGGGATGCAGAACAAGAAAGAAATGTGAAGTGTCCAACAGGAAATTTTTCCTGGCATCTTTCATCCATTTACTTCCTTTTGGCTACTGCCAGTAAAAACCGCTTCAGTGTGGTTTTCTTCTCAATTTGATATGTATTTTAACCATTTAAGTAATTGTAGGAAACAAGGTAATGCAATATGGAGAAAGCTGTTATACTTCTTATTATCTTTTATCATTCATGCTTTTATTCATGGAAAAAAATTATAAAATGCCAGTTTCATTCTAGGTCTTTAGCTCCATAGAGCTTACATAGAACAAGAAAGCCATCAATGAAATAATTACACAAATGAAAAGTAAAATCCCAAATGTGCAAAATACTACAAAATAGAAGTATATGGTGCTCTAAGAGCATGCAAGCGAGAGCTACACTACAGGCAGGCAAATCAGGAAAGACTTTCCTGTAACTATGAATACCTGGAGGTCAGAAGGATGAGCTGATATAATTACATACATACAGGAGGAAAAAAAACTGGCAGAAAAACTACGTGCTGGGAGGAAACATGACAAGTTTGTAGTGTCAGAAAGAAGCCAGTGAGACGCAGTGCAGTGGGAGAGATGTCTACAAAGGTAGATGGGAATATATAGTAATTTAATAAGAGGAATGACAGAATTAGATTTCTATTTCTACAAGATTAGTCTAGACATAATATGGAGAATAGATTGGGAGGGTTTGTTTCACCTACAACCCACTTTTAATTGAAGTAATATCTACCTAATCACATTTTTACAGATTTAAAATCGATTACAGAATAAATCTATATATATAATTTTCAACATTCTGAGCCTCATCTTTATTTAAATATTTCCTCTTTCTTGTATAATTTATATGAAGAATTAATCATATAAAACTCTATGCTTTGAGTAAATTCATGGTGGCCAACCTCGATTTTTCTAGACCATTTGAAAAAGAAAAAGGTATAGCAAAAATGAGTCCTTTTCACTACCCCAACACATATAACTCATAAATCAATTAAAATAACAATAACACACTCCAATAGCACCTTGCATTTACAATTCATTTTTACTTTCATTGACTTTTTTGATCACAATAGGCTTCATTTTCAATTGCACAGGACCTATTTCTCACGTACCAACGAAGCAATACAGAGAAACAACTCTTAACTTCTGCTCTCCTGCCTTAAATTGATGCATTCATTTAATAAATATTTATTGGGGACCTATTATGTGCCAAGCACTACTCTAAATAATTAGAAAATGTCAGTAAATAATTATCTCTGCTTTCATGAAAGGATTTTTAAACTTTTTCCCAAGAAGACTTGCAAGAATTTAATCTTTCATTATTTGTCACATAGTTGTTTAATATTTCTCTATTTGACACTACATATTAGTTATGATTATTATAATTGAGAACTTATACATCCACAATTCTTAACATTTATAAGTAAATGTTGTTTTTGAGAGAACTAAAGTCATTCTTAAAGTATATGTTTGAGGGATACGTGCAACAACATGGATGAACCTTGAAAATATTAGGCTAAATGACATAAACCAGACACAAAAGGACAAGGTACTTAGGATATGCAAATTCACAGAGACAGAAAGTAGAATAGAGCTTATCAGGGGATGGGGGAAGAGGAAATAAGAAATAGGAAATAATTGATAAATACAGAGGTTCTATTTTGCATGATGAAAATGTACTGGACACAGACAGTGGTGATGGTTATATAACATTGTATATAATGCTACACAGAACTGTACACTTAAACGTGGTTAAAATGTAAGTTTTATGTTATTTATATTTTACAATTAAAAAAGTGCATGATTAAGAGGGCGTTAGAAAAAATCACTGTTTTCCAAGACCACATTAGGCTTTATTTCTCTACAACAATTTCCTCCTATTTTATTCCCATGTGTTGGTATATGAACTAAAGAGAACAGGTGCAAAGGGGGGAAGAAATATTGTGATTTCAAAGTAAAAGAAGGTTGGAAATATTAGATTCTTTAAAAAATACTCAACATACACCCAGCTTTGGAAACAAATATAAATAGAAGAGGAAAGAGTACCAGATCCTAAATCAACCAAATCCAGTAATGCCTTCCAAGTTAAAGAATGCTCTGAAACAAGAGCTATGAGATCAACCCACCCTTCACTGACTTTGCAAAAACCACGGCATTTGCTAGTCACACCGTAAAAGGTAGTTCTCTCTTCATTTTCCCTTCCTACTCCAAAGCTAGCTTCTTTTTCATATTCAGATGACTGTTTATGAGCTCAATCCTGTTTCAACTGTCACTCTTTACATCAAGGAAAGATAGATGGGACACACCAACCCCAACCTAAATGACCTTTGGATGTGACAAGAGTTTTAGGTCAGCCTTGCTAAATGGAGGCCTTGGTGTATCGAGACATGCCTTGGGGTGAAATTTACAGTGAATTTATTATCTCCCAATGCCCTTTGGACTGCTTCCCACCATCAAACACCATGGCAGCACTTGGAACAGGAAGAAATACATTAACTGGAATCTGATCGTTTTAAAAGGTTACAGCTGCCCAAATATAATTTAATTTCATACTTGCCCTTTGAGGGTTTGGTGTATATTTTCATTTTATGACTGCAAATGATAAAGCTCTTAAGATTCCAGGCAATAAAAAGAGAAAAAAAAAAGTATTTTAAGGGCTAGAAGTCTATTCAGTTCATATTCCAATGAGTGAAGTGACAAATTAGCTTTTTTAAAAAAATCTAATATTTCTCTTTTTTATTTGGATCATCACTTATTCCTTTTCTGATCCTACACTTCAATGGTTGGTTGATATCAGTATGTGAACTCCAAACTCAGATCTCAGCGAATTTGAAAATAAAAAGGGTGATTTTTTTAAAATGAAGAAAAATCCATCAGATGTGAAGTGAAAATATTTTAGTACAAGAAACAAATATTTTTCCAGTAGCATTTTATCTCACATAATTGGGAAAATTTACCCATTAAAATATATCAACACTGCGTCAACTTACCATTGATCTGGTACATCACACTTCCATAAACTTTAATAAAAGATTCACAAAATCCTACTTAAATACTATGCTATACCATCATTAATTTAATTGGTAAATATTATTACTATTATTTTATTGACAGAAAATCAGAGATATGGTATTGTTAATGCCACAGAATAAGTCAGAAAATCAGAAACGAAATTCAGATAAACTCATCTATAGTCTATTATTTTAGCCATTAAAAATAAAAAACAAACTTTTGCCACCTCTTTTTTAACTTGATACCTTTCCAGAAGACTTAAACATTCTTTAAAGATCAATCCAATAGAGTTTGAGGAAATGCATACTTTGGATTCAAGGGTAGTAATGAGAAAAACAACATGGTGAAACTTTTAAACCATACAGGTCAAATGTAACAAAGTTGTGTTTGTGTGTGTGCAGGAGACTGGCACACACATGCATATGCCATTCATCCATTCTTTTATTCAATCAGCAAAAACATTTTTTGAAAGGTACTGAGTTAGATCCTGTGAAGTTTATGCTTTTAAAAAATATTTCAATTATAAAAGAGTACTCCTAACATATGAACAGTAGAGACAGAAGCATAAAGCATTTAAGTATTATTATAAGACAAATGTATTAGATAATTATAAACACTGATATATTTTTATTAGCAAATTTTAATTTGATCTTGATATGCTACTGTGTTAAGAGTGTTTTGCACATTGTTTAATCTGCATACCAATACCATGGGGCAGGAAATATTACTATTCTTATTTCTAGATTATAAGATGTAGCCCAGCCCCAAGTAGCAAATCTAGTGGTTACTAAGACTCAAATGCTCTAGATGGTACTTAGAAACAGTGTTATTCATTTACTTGCTCATTTATCCCTCTTTCATTCAAGAAATATAAAAGACCTACCTAAAGTGAGAAATATTACAAAGCAAATATTATCTAGGAATCAATTCTCAGAAGTTTTATCAAAAATAATCTTATTCACATTTCTACAAAAAAAGGTATAAAATTGACCAATAAACATACAAAAATATACTCAACCACTAATAATTAATGAAATGAAAACCCAAATCACAATTAGATATCACCTCACATCCATTAGGATAACAATCATAAAAAAAGAAACATACAATTACCACATGATCCAGCAATTCCACTTTTGGGTATATACCGAAAATGGACTGAAAGCAGGATCTAGAAGAGATATGTGTATATCCAATATTCATAACAGCATTCGTCATAATAGCCCAAAGGTAGAAATAACTCAAACGTCCATAGATGGAGGAATCAATAAACAAAATGTGGTACATAGATACTATGGAATATTATTCAGTCTTAAAAAGGCATGGAATTCTAACACATGCTACAACATGGATAAACATTGAAGACATTATGTTAAATGAATAAAATCAGATATGGAAGGCCAAATACTGTATGATTAAGTAACAAGAGGTGCCTAGAACAGTTAAATTCATAGAGAGTGAAGGTAGAATGCTGACTACCAGAGATGAGAAGATGGGAGAATGAGGAGTTGTTGAAAAATGGGTATGTAGTTTCAGTTTGGGATGATGAAACGTTCTGGAGACGGGTAGTGGTGATGGTTGTACAACAGTGTAAATGTATGTAATGCCACTGAACTGTGTACATAAAAATGGTTAATATGGTAAATTTTATGTTAAACATATTTTACCATGATAAAAAGAAACCTACAGAGGATTCACACAAATTAGTAAAGTTTTAGGGCACAATTAAAATTTTTAAGAATAAAATTAAAAGTAGAAATTTACCTCAGCAAAATAAGGTGAGGAGTAATATAGAGAGAAAACCAAGTGTTTACTTTCTAGAGCAAATGCTGGATTGAAAGACACTAAACAGAACTGAAAGCAGTTATAAAATGGAGGGAGCGAAAGAACACCTATTACAATGTAAGACACCTGGTTCCAGCCCACGCTCAAACTCCACTGTCTTATCAGCCAGGCTTAGACTTTCTGAGGAGGAGATTGGAGAATTGCTTTCTGAGGTTGTCAAGGAGATCAAGAGAATTTTGGGGGTTGATGGAACTGTCCCATATCCTGATTACAGAGGTGGTGAAAATTCAGAATTGTACATCCAAAATATAGCCAATTTTACTGTATAATAATTTTAGAAATTACAAAACAAAAGATACAAATGCAACAAGATAAAAAGGATCTCACTCAACAACTTTGACTTTTAATTCTTAAACATTTTGGCCTTTCTTCCTAAGAAGGAGTTAGAAAGTGGGAATTTGCTACCATTTTAGATTATAAAGGTTTTCTAAAACACTAGCTAACTTAGATTGATCCCTATATATGTATAATATACCATATGCGTATAAAGAATGAATAGCAAATGTTTTAAGTGTGCAGGAGAGCAGGTAGTCAGGGTTCACCATACACCATTTAAGATAATAAGAATATAACGTAATGATAGTAGACTCTTAAACAAACAAAGTGTAAAGCAATTCTTTCCATTTCAACTGATGCTAAGAAACCAATTGTGTAGTACTTTCTGAGTACAAAAATAATGAGCTGTGCTTCCACCTCTACGTTTTTCCTTGCCAAGAGAACTCACACTTCCTTCCCAATCTCTGAAACACAGTTTGAAAACATCTCATTCTAATGGGAGAGTGGGTGAAAGTGGGGGCTGTTACTGGTGTTACGGTCTAAATGGAATCCTCTCTCTTTAAAGTTATTTGGCTTTATTAATACAAAGAGATGAAATATGGATGAAAACATTTGAAGGCTTGTATCTTCTAATATATATGATGTTATCAATTATATTTAGACAAAACAATCCCAGATATCTTTTTCTTTGATATCCACCATCCTTGCCACTTGAAATCCCCAATTCCAGCTCTTGACTCATGTGCTCACATATGGATTACTAACAGAATTGTTCAGCCAACAGGCAAATATTTGTTTTTGTTTTTTGTTGTTTGAGACTAAGTCTCGCTCCGTTGCCCAGGCTGGTGTGCGGTGGCGTGATCTTGGCTCACTGCAACCTCTGCGTCCTGGGTTCAAATGATTCTCCTGCCTCAGCCTCCTGAGTAGCTGGGATTACAGGCGCCTGCCACCACGCCGGCTAATTTTTGTATTTTTAATAGAGATGGGGTTTCACCATGTTGGTCAGGCTGGTCTTGAACTCCTGACCTCATGATCCGCCTGCCTCGGCCTCCCAAAGTGTTGGGATTACAGGCATGAGCCACCGCGCCCGGCCTCAAGCAAATGTTTCTAAAGAAGACAGTCCCTCCATTGTTTCACAATTGTGGGAGAATAAAAACATAGCTAGAACTTGAAGAAAAAAGAGAGGAGGAAAGTATTGAAGAAAATAGTTAAGGGGAAGAAAGAGGTAAAGAGGAATTA
This sequence comes from Homo sapiens, assembly GCF_000001405.40. Lineage (NCBI taxonomy): Eukaryota > Metazoa > Chordata > Mammalia > Primates > Hominidae > Homo > Homo sapiens. Next base: position 23,626,053 of record NC_000012.12, read on the forward strand.
ACAGAGGAAGGTAGTTAAAAATAGAGGAAAAAATGAAGAAAAAAGGAAAGAGAAAAAGAAAGAGACAGAGAAACGGAGAGAGATAGTCAAGAAATAGGAACAGAAAGGTAAATATTTGGAAATTCCTATTTTTAAATCTTTAGAAGCCCTAAGGACCAAAAAGTATATGGTGTCCATCTAGTTGGCTATGCAGTTCAAAATAAAACAGCATTCTGATTTCTGCTATGAAACTACTTTATGTCCAACTTGTCATTTACTTATTTATTTCTAGATGGTCCTTCTTTTTCATGTGTAATCATGTTCTTAATGTTCTTAGGTTGTCTCTTGGGTTATCTAGCCCTGGTCTGACCTGCTCATCTTCCTTCTTATTCCATGGAGATGGAATGAGAATAATTAAAACTTTCCTGCTTAATTGGATCTTCAGTGCTGGCTTGACAATTTTCAAGGTTCCAAAGCATTTCTTTCGAATGCCTCAAATCAATGCTTGCCTCATTATTCTTCTCCCATTTTTTCCTTGATAGCACATGAATAAATGTGTCCATGAATCAGGAAAGTCCACTCACAAGGTGCAGAGTTTCCTTCTGGGGATTTCTGGGCTCTTGGCTGCTTTCATTAGTGCTTTTTTTTTTTTTTTTTTTATCTTATCCCTTTCTCCATGAGATATAGGTAGATAGCTATACTTATAGGTATTTAACAAATAAGAAAACTTGAGTGCTAAGTAGGTTAAAAGACATGAGACCAGATTCATACATCACTTCTGAGGCAGGTTGAGACTAGAACCCTTAATCCATTTATGCCAGAGGTTGCAGTTTTTTTGTGTGTGAAAAAGAAGACACTGGCAATGACCTTAAGCAGTAGGATATAAAGAACTCCCACAAGCTTAGCATTCCAATAACGGAACACCGGGCATAAATGCGTTAATTCACTGCTGTATTTGTAGAGCAATATGGGAGGTTAGAATGGATCATCATAGGTAGGCCAGCTATTTTGGTTGCCTTTATAATGCCCTAATTATTCATTCTTGCTGTAAAACTCTCTTTATTATGACAAATACTGCAAATTTCCAGTAACACAATGGCTTGCCCTTCCAAGAGGAATGTTTGTTCCTTTCACAAATAATTGTCAGTGCTATTAAAGCAAAGCTCTAGTAACTTTTACGGAATGGAAAGAAAGAGAGACATAGATTATTTGTATTTTTAGTAAGAATTGAAACATACATTTTTGTAATCTGACATTCAGAAGAAAAGATTTTTATACTTAAGGGATATTTTGTTTTCATAAAGACGTTCTGCTTGCATTAAATATGAGGACTTGGCTTCCAAAGGTGTTCAACCGAAACTTGAATTAAGATGAATTTCTCTATTTGCCTTAAACCTTTATACTGCAGAATATAATTTCTGCATCCAAGAAAGTTACTTGCTAACTTGAAATATGGATAGGCTCTTTGCCAGTTTTATACCCTTGAATCTAGGAGATAATGATGAATATAACAGCTAATGAGGCTGAATGCTTACACTACGCTGAGTATTTCGTGTGTGCCATGTCATTTAATCCTCACAACACCTTTATCATGTAGGAATAACAGTATCTCATTTCACAGGTGAAGACACTGAGACTATGAGATATTCAATATCTTGATCAAAGATACATGCAAATAAGGCCTGTGTTATCCTAGAGCTCAAGCTCATAACCCATTATATCAAACCTACCATTTAAATATTATTACTTGTAAGTTTTAACATTTGTAAATGTTTAAATAAAATTTAGTGGAGCATGTTTTAAAGGAAAAAAAAAACACCTCAAGTCATGAAAGTTATCTAACTGGTTACTCACTCTCAGTATACTAGTATACTACTAACTGGTTACCGTGCAAATATTCTATGTACAAAAACTTGATATTTTATGGTTTTATATTGTATTTAATGCTAGGCTTGTATCTTAGGTCACACAAAAACATCAAAATTCAAAATTTCTCTGGAAGAAAACCAGCAGCAGCATAAATCAAACCAAAACAAGAATAAAAATAAAGAATGTGTAAGGGCGTTTACTTTTTTTATTGTTTGGTTTAACTTTTTTTGTTGTTGTTTGGTTAAGTGTCTTTGCTTATCTCCTTTCTGTTAATCAAATATTTTAGTTATACTATTCCTAATAATTTAAAATTTCTTTTAAACCAAAGAATGAAAACCAGGTGTGGGGGTGGGGAACTAGCCATATGAAAAATACTTGGAGCACATATTTAAAATAGTAGGAGTCATATGCTACAGTATAGTGAAATTTCGGATGGAATTGTCTCTGTTACCTTAAGCAACTGTTACAGATGAAAGGACAATATTTTCTATAGTTCTGCTTCACTCCATAAAGGAAGTAATTGTAACTTTCACTAACACTATTACTTTTAAAATTATATGTTGAAGAAGTTCTAGTAGTAGAGAAAGCAAGACATAATATTGTTGTAATTTTCATGTTAGAGGCATTAATTACGCTGCCCCAAAGCTCACTGTAGCAAATAATTTGTGAGCATACTTTGAGTCTGTTCCTCCGTTTCTCCTTGTTCACTTTCTTCATTCAAGGAGCAGTTGGATAAGAAAAAGGAGTACGGCATTAAGAGAAAGGTCAAGATTAAGAAAAATGGAAAAACTAGAGTTCATCCCTCCCTTTCCTCTTGTTTTCGTACCCTCAATTTGGCAGGAAAATACTGAAACTTCCACAGGAAACAGCAAATTTGAAATGTGCAGGGCTGGCTTAAGCTTTTTTTTTTTATTTTTATTTTTTCTGTAGGAATCAAATAGGGCTCTATTTTCAAGTCTTGTGAAGACACTTGCCAACCAAACCCAGCTCGAAATTGTCATGTGGTTTTTCTTCTTGGTCCTTCTCTCAGAACAGTTCATTCATGACTGCAACGTCTTATCTGCATGATTATATAATCATTTTTGAATACTATCTTTCTTCTAAGAAGCAAATAAAATGTCAACAAGACTTGTGATGTAAACAATCTCACTTTGAACCTTCTATGTACAAATAGATATGAAACAGCACGCTTCTCTGTTGTTTTGTTTTCTAAATTCCTTGATCTTTCAATAGCTTTCCACAAAAGAATTAATTCACAGAGCACAATCACTGAACTCAGCAAAATGAAAGCAATTCAGAAGGTTGCCATTGTTACCAATATGCAAATCCTAACCATTGTTTTATTCATTCTTTCTTAATTTAATGGCCTAAGTGCAAAATTAACAATTTCTCTTCCTATCCTTTTAAACGAAACAACTTAAAAATAACATATACAAATATATGCATTTATTTTTAAGAATATCATGGCAAAATGGGAAGAAGGTAGATTTAATTTTCAGTTGCTAGGATTCCGGGCACCCTTTTGTTAATATCTGTTTTAGCCAGGTCACTATTTAGAGTCTAAATTGCCTCATCCATAAAATTAAGGAGCTGGAATAGAAGAATGGTTTTTAAGTTTTGCTTAGCAGCAGAAATCTTTAACTCAAACAATTTTAACCAGTGGAACTTAATATATAAAACAAATAAAAGTCAATGGTACTATCTGGAGGGTGCTTGAACATACTTGGAGTCCGGTGAATAGTTTGAAACAACGTTTTCAACCATCTGTGAGGTCTTTTTCATTTCAAATACACTTGTTAGAATGATAGGTTGTTTGCCTTTCTTCAAACTCTATTCCACTTTCATATTTCATTCATTCTCTTTCATTTCAACCTCCTCTATCATCCACCAAGGATCCTTGACTGATTCATCTTTGCATTTCTTATAATGCTTAGCTCAATAGCTTACAAAGAATAAATATTTGCTGAATAAATAAAGATTCCAGGATACTATGGGTCTATAAAAATAATTCACTTTCATATTCAAGTTTGAAATAAAACTGTTTGGTCAAATAAAAATTTTCTCAATTCAAGAAATAATTTTGCTGTAGACAACATGTAGGTGGAATAAGGGACATGTATCCTAGTGTATCAAGGACATGTATCTATTACCTAGGAAATAAATAAGCTTTGAATGGCTATACAAGAAAATATTTTTATATGATTTATAAAAAAGTTGCATATTACATTAAAAGCACCTATGTAAAAATAATTTATTTTAGACTTTGTAAGAAATTTATTTAGAATAGTTAGAGGCAGCACATAGAAACAATTCATTTGCATTACCTCCATGGAAAAATGGGAATTGACTGGAGATGTTATTCTCATTTTACAGATATAAATATTGTAACAAGGAACGAACCATAGCAAAATATGAAAAACTACCCTTCATGTAACTGCCCAGATTGTCTTCTGGATAAGTAAACTCATTGCCTCCCATAGATTCTTGCGATGGGCCTTTATTTTATACCACAGAGATGAATGAAATTATTTCTTCAAAAATAAGACATTTTGTCTCAGTTTTATTAACACACTTTAGTGCTGCTCTGAAACGTAAGGAAAGTCTGCCATGCCCTAATTTTCAAGACTTCCTTTAAGCAATAACAAATAGTTCTCAAATCTACTAATAACAATTATTAATCAGCTAATACTATTAAATATTAACTCAAATCCAGCACATGGTATTTGAGAAATAATACATTTATTGTTCCAAGACTTTGCATGCATTATTTCATTTAATCCTCAACAATAAGAGGTCATTTATACCCACTTTACAGACAAGAAAATTGAGGCATGGAGAGGTTAGGTAACTTGCCCAGAGTCACAGAGCTTGAAAGTAACAGTATGATAATTTAAGGAAGAGATGGCTGCAAGAACCACACTTATAACCATTATGTTATACTGCCTCTCACTAAACAAAGTGCTTCTTAAAAGATTAATCTAAAGACAATAGCTTAAAAAGATAAAATTGCTTTCATCATTTTATCTTTCCTCTAATTATCCCCTAAGACATTAAATTTGTGTGTGTGTATCTATACATAATTAAGTACATTTTTCTGTGTATATTTAATTAAGACTCCACCCTATGTTACAAGTTGTATGTAATGCAATTTGTATGTCCCAGTAGCATGCTTTGACTAAACCATACGAATAATGGATAAAAATCCATGGATAATATTAAATAGTTTTCTAGTATCAACAGCAACAACAACAGTAACAAAAACCCCAGCATTTGTTCCTCTTAAGATGCATCTGTCTTCACATGGGTCATTGGTCCTATTAAGGTGATAACTCTTATTTAGGTAAAATTTTACTCCGAAGATTGAATTTGTCTTCATAAAATATTCCTTAAATAAATTAAAGAATACTAGTAAAATAAACTAAACCAACAATTAGGCTGAAGAACAAATTTCTAAGATAAACATAATCTGTGAACTTGAAACACATTAGTTGCCCTCTCTTCTTATCCACAGCCAAAACTAGAAAACTGAATATTTCTGTTTTTCTTGATAAAATTTAAAAAAGTATACTTTAAAAATTTCAATAAATTGGTATTGCTCATAGAATTACATCTACTGCTGGTCTTGGGACAGCAGTTCTTTTATGTATGTTTATTAGCCCAGAAACATTTTAAAGTTACCTAAAACATGTTTTGATTAAGATAACACAGGATACTATCAAGGAATGGGCATGGACTTGTGACCAGAAAACCTGGCACTGACTGAAGTTATATAGCTTTAGTATAGGTAATAACAAAATTTCAAATATAATTTTAAAGTTTACCATTTATTTAATCGACCATTACAATAAAAATGAATACTTTGGAAAAACACACGTGTACTGATGTTTCTGTCAGCATGTAATAAGACACCATGAAGCTGCTGAAAGCAAGAAAACACAGAAATAGTATGAAAAAGACACTGTGTGTACTGACTCCATTGTCCAAATGTCAACACCTCCCAGGAACTCTAGGGGTGGTAATAACTATGGAAGCAGTTCCTAATAGGTTCTTCCTTAAAGGGGATTCTCGACAAACTGCTGGGCTCTGACTCTAGCCCATATGGGCTTGGAAAAGTCAGAGAAAATGTTGGCTGCACTTTTTCAGGCCTATTTGCATATGTTCTTTAGTATGCAAAATGTCTCTGTATATAATTTAATTGTTGTTGGGGTTTTTTTGCCTCTATTAATACATATGCAAATGACTCACTCTTGCAGCTGTGCTGTATTAATCATATGTGTGCTTCTGTCTGTCTGCCCTCCAGGCTCAGGGTCGAAGGGAGAGGAAAAGAAGGAATTCAGTCTTTTAACCTGCAAGAAAACTCACTCATGCAGACAGAAGTCCAACAGCAAACAGCACACCAGGGTTGCGACTGAAATGAAGAGCAGTTGATCATTATTCACCCTGTATGAAAATGATACGACCTAAAAGTTTAACTGAGTAGTACAGTATTTTGGTAGGTAAAGATGAACACTTAACAAGTATACATCCTTGTAAGTAATTCCTTCAATAACAAGATAAAAATCCTCACATCTAGATTTTTCTATATGGTTATTACTTCCTTATTGATTTTCTGGAAGTTTCTCTTGGCCAAGCATATAAAGCCATGCTCAGTCACTCACAGTGCTGGGAAATATGGAGCATTCTTTTATCTGTGTCCTGTCATAATTATTGACCTTCTTCAGAGACTGGCAGGAGTTTGATAAAAAGATGAGCTTCAGTATTTCATCTACCTCTACCTTGATGTTACTCTCCATCAGACAGGAGCTTAAGCCATTTCCAATATTACTTCGTATACCTATGATTGCTATGAAAAAAGATTGATTTCAGTTGATATTTTGTATGATTCATTCTCTAACATGATCACACATCATCTATCATTTTCTCTATTCCAGAGAATGCATGCTACTAATATTACTAGTTACTGAAGCTGTAAGCCCATGAGGTTTCATTTATGACAACTTGGAATTTTGAGCCTTTATTCCAAAAATATTATTATGAATTTTTAAAATAGTCCTACTAAAATAATTTTAAAAGTTTAATTAAGTCAATAAAAATGATGATTGGATGCTACTTGCTTATTTTGAATTAAATAAGATCATCCAAAAAGAATTTCAATCTTTTTTTCCTTCTGCTTATCACTATCAATCATTGGTTGGAGTCAACATTTTTGGCTTCCTATAGGTAGAACAGGTGGCAACCATCTTTTGGCCAAGACAAATACAGTATTTATAAAGTGAGAAGTAAGTGGATAAATATTTCCTTCCAATTTCAAATCTTAGAAGTGTAGCAAAAAACAGAAACAGTACATTACAGAAGAATTATTACTATTAAAAATATTCATGATGCCCATTAAGTAAAATGCAAATTATAACGAAAATGAATATGAGAAATAAATGCTAGATGGATTGTTGCCATCATTTGATCTTATTAATTAGAAACAGATTATTCACATAGCTGATTTTATCTTGTCACAAATGTCCAAAAATTCAAAGTGTAACTTCGTTTTGTGTAAATAGTGATATTCATTTTTAATATTAAAATGAACATAGATAAGTAAGCTATATAAATGAACCCCTCGCCTTTAAAAAGAGTCAGCATCAGTATAATAAATAAGTAAATATCTAAATCATCATTGGCTCTTGGAGGTAAAAAAGAGTACTTGAGGATGAAGAAGAATGAAAAAAAGAAGGAAGGAGAGGAAGAGAGAAGGTAAACTCAGTGTATGGAGCTGCTAATTGGCTAGTAATTATTTTGATAAACACATCCTTCCATTATTTAGAAATAATTTACTTCAGTATTGTATTGGCAGAATAAGCCATGAGTCAAATAAAAGTACCTCCAGTAGTTCATATTTTTATATATGTCTATACACACACTATCACATAATATAGGAATTCTCAAGTATTGTAACATTTGGTCTTTTATTGTGAATTATAATGATTTTAAAAGAATTACATAAACTGTAATAAGTGCTAAAACACATTCTTTATGCAGCAACCCACTGTTATGGTAAGATAAAGGGAAGAAAGAGCAGGAGAGACAGAGAGCTGTGGATTTTTCATACTCTTAGAATCTTCCAATGGGGGCAAGAAAAAACATCAAGTTCCCTGGCCATTAAATTAATATCATTTAACGCAGAAATCAATATATGCTGCTTTTTTTAATTAAAAATTCTTATGACCATTAGCCATGATAGTCTCTTTCATTTGCAAGTATGCACTGAATACCTGCTATTTGCTAGGCATTCTTCTGGATACCTGAGATACATTATTGAACAACAGCAACAATTCTTGTCCTTGTGGGGCGGTACATTTGGAAAAGAAAGACAATAAATAAGAAACATAATACATTTTATAGTATATTTGAAGATGACTAGTGCTATAGAGAAAAATGTAGAATAAAAGAGCTAGGAAGTGTGCTATCTCTTAGGATCCACCTTACGATTTTAAGTAGGTTGGTTAAGGTAGGCCTCAGAGAGATGGTATTAGAGTAAATACATGAATGAAGTGAAAGAATTAGCCTTCCATGCAGAGGAAAGAGCTAGAGAGAACAGCTAGCACAAAACTCTAGGAAGGGAGTATGCCTTGGTAAGATAAGGGCCAGAAAACAGCCTAATGTATCCGGAATAGACTGAGTAGGTGATGTGGAGCAAAACAGTTACAAAATTAATGTCTGTAAACATTGTAGTGCCAAACATGCTACCAGGCACAGAGAGTGTTTTCATATGTTTATTTCATTAAATGAGAATAGTTTATTATAAAATTTCAACATTATCTTAATTAACCAAATTCAAACTGTTTTTTTCTTCTATCAGCCAACCATGCCTTTGATATTTGAAATTCTGCTATTGTCTCGTTTTAAAAGGTGATTAATTAATATAGAAAACTAATTATTAGTATTCAGCTTAATTTCAATATTATAAAGCAAGATAGCTATTTGAGCAAAATAGATGAATAATTTATTGAAAATACATTGTTAAGATTCATTCCTCATTCTTTATTTAACACATATTTATTGAGTCCATAAAATATTTCAAGCACTTGGTTAAGTGCAAATGATGGTAAACCATTGATGCTACAGACTTTACCATCTGGTAGATGCTAGAAAGTATGATTTAAAACATTCTACCAGCAATGTGAGAAGGGAAATACAGCATGCTCTCAGAACACGCGGGAACTACTTTAAGCCAGACTTAAGACCAATGAAGTCTTCCCTGAAAAAAGTGATGTTTTAACCTGAAACCTGAGGGGTAAGTGGGATTCGATTAGTAAAGATGGTGAGTAATGGGGTTATTTCCTGGGGTTATTCCAGGAAGAGAAAACACCACTTGTAAAGATCCAGGGTGGAGAAAGAACTTCAAAACACCAGAGAGTCATTGAAGGTCCTTGAGCAGGAAGAGGACATGACAAAATTTTCTAAAATCAGAAAGGGACATGGATGAAGCTAGAAACCATCATTCTGAGCAAACTATTGCAAGGACAGAAAACCAAACACCACATGTTCTCACTCACAGGTGGGAACTGAACAATGAGAACACATGGACACAGGAAGGGGAACATCACACACCACACCGGGGCCTGTCGTGGGGTGGGAGGAGGGGGGAGGGAGAGCATTAGGAGATATACCTAATGTAAATGACAAGTTAATGGGTGCAGCACACCAACATGGCACATGTATACATATGTAACAAATCTGCACGTTGTGCACATGTACCCTAGAACTTAAAGTATAATAATAATTTAAAAAAATAAAAAAAGGAAGATTATTCTGACTAATGCATAGTGGAGAGTGCATTGAAAGGGGCAAGATCAAGATAGAAAGACCAGTTTAGGGGCTGCTGTGGTGAATTAGGAAAGTCATAAGGATAGCTCGACCCAAATGAGTGACAATTATGATGGAAGGAAGTGGATAGATTCTTGGTGTATTAGTAGGTGGAATGAAAAGCTAGTGAATGAATAAATTTATGGGGAAGAGGGAGGAAGAGAAGCTAAGAAGAGCTCTCATGTTTCTGGGTTGAGAAATAGATGAAATGGAGTCATTCACTAAGACCAAAGAATAAGGAAGTCTAGGGACAAGGCATACAACTACTGATGAGTTCCATTTTGGACTCAGTTTACAGTGTCTGTGAATTTCTGTATATTTCCTCTTCATAGTCAACAAGCAGTTGGCTAATGTGAATTGAAGCTCAAGGGAGATTTAAAATGTGTAAAGAAAAAGACAGATTTAATATTAAAATAATAAATGGTGTCTATGGCACATGCTAATTTGTATTATTTATATACATGAACTAGATTAAGCTGATTTTCTCCATTAAATAACAAATATATATGATGATTTTTAGAATATTTTAACTGCTTCTGAAAGTACACAGTAAGGTGATTTTTCTACATGAACAATTTTTTATTATATAAGGATCTCCAGGGACATAAAATAATAGTTAATAAACAGTAGTTTGCTTTAAAGCATATCATTTTGCTTGTCTTTTAAAATAATTGTACTTGTCTGCACTCTTTAATAAAAATTCTGGATTTACTTATCATAATATTATCCAAGTTTGAACAATTATATGCAAAAGGTTATTTCAAATGAAAACACATATGGTAGGTAAACAAAGTCAACCATAAGTAGGAATAGATTTATAATGTCCTTTATTTAATCTAGGTGTTCAAAAAGAAGTACCTGAATTAACATATATCCATGTAAAGAGGCATGAAATAGAAAATTCAGAGTCCGAAGTAGACAGCTGTCATTATGAATCCTGCTACTTCTTTCATTATTGCAAAGCACACAGAGTATTTGTATTAATGTCAATTAGTCAGCATTATTGTTATAATTTCATTAGCTGGTTATGAGTTACCAAATGTCTGAAGAAGGGCAATGCCTCCAAAGTTTAACATAAAGTCTCCTGTACTTGAAGAAGCAAATATAATTGTTCAAAGGCCATGGATTTTGGACTCTGTGACCCCGCTTTCTTCTTTGTCAAATGGAGATATTAATACATAACACAAAACGTAATATGAATTAAATAAGATAATCCTCGGAAAATCTTTACCAGAGAAACTAGCTTAAGAAAATATTCCATAACCATGGGTGATATTAACTAGTGACATCAGTTGTTACGGCACTTTACATGAGTTAAAATCATTATGTTTGCACCCAAGGAAAAGAAAACAGGATCCTTTTGTGTTTAAAATATATATCCCCTCCACATTATTCTCATTACCATTGAATAAAGATTAATTCAGAAAACCACTAGTTCTTTGGCAAGGCTATTTCAGCTGTTCCTCCAACTGGTCTTCCTACTGTTACCTCAACCCATCTTACTGCTGCCTTATCGAGTATAGCTGTGAGTTTATCACTACCTACTTAAAACATACACGAACAGATTAAACAAAAACAGAAAACGAGTGAGAACAAGCCAACAACAACAAACTCTTCAATGGTTCTAAAGAAAGACATCAGCAATTGGTACTAGACAGCACCCATACCACCAACCATACTCCCCTCATTAAAACCTTGCTGACCTGGCCCTACTTCAGTCAATGTTCATTACTGTCTCACACCTCTCTCTCATTCCTCCCACCCTATCTTTCCATTCCCACAATATATATGAGCTGATGTCTGGTGAGGGAGCTGAGGAGAGAGAAGATTGGGTTAACAGCTTTACAGGGTGGCTTGGTTCTTAGTGGTCTTCCCTGCTTACCCAAAAAGCAGAATAAAGCAAAAACTGGAGAAGGCAGAATAAAGCAAAAACTTGAATGTTGTTCCTCAACTGGCTTTTTGTTGAGCTAAAAACCGAAAGACTCCTCCATCCTTAGTGTGGTGAGAAAGGTCTTAGGAGAACTGGACAGTGTACAGCTTGGTGGTGTATTATGTAACTAAAGACACAGTAATGCCTGTTTTCTCTTCTGAAGTTTTCTAAAGCCGGAGGTGGGTTGCTGGAAAACAATGCGGTGTTTGCTGCAGGCTGAGAGGAGGACTGCGATGTACTACCACCACAGCTCTAACAGGGCACAGAAGAGGACCTCAGTAGAAGACTACAGGTTTCTCCATGGAGCAGCACAGAGGGTGAACAAAGGCAGGTGTCATGTTACCCAGGTAGCTCCTGGCCAATAGTGGTGACACCCCAAATAAAAAAAAAAAGAGTAGGAAGCATAGATCAACAGACCTGGCCACCCCTCTCTTAACAGACCAAGAAAAGCTGTTCAATACACAAGAAAATAACACACACACTGTTTCCACGGTATCTCACGGCAGACATAACTTCCTAAGCCCACCCACATCTGCACAGGAACAAAATTGGAGCTGAAGAAGCAAAAGAGTAAGCTGCACCCTTCTTATTTCTGGTCTCTAGAGCTGGGATTCTTGACTAACGATGGAAGGGGAAGCAGTGAGATATGAAATGGATATGAGATTAAAGTTTCCAGCAGGACTGAATTTTAATAACTGAAAGGACTGGAAAGTGATGCAGTCTACTCAAGATATTAAGATATGGAAAATAGAGATTTAACAGAGCATAATTAAAAGCAGAGTTTGGAGAAAATTAAAACTAGTCCATATATTATACTCCACTGAGATGAAACATCTCAAAAATAGGTTTCAAAGATTGGGGTGAATTTTAGGTAAGGCTTATAATAAAACATCTGACTAGGCATTGTAGTTAGCTTTTCTCTCACCCATCTCAGCAGGTTTGTGGAGAAAAAAGAATTTTGATGCTATTTTAAGGCAAAGGGAGGGAGAGTAACAGATATCCTGTGTAGCTCTGGGGAAGGCTGAAGTCAAGGTCAAGGGGTCTGTGAATATTGTGTTAGGAACAAGTAGAAAAGTGAGTTGGTGTAAGCACCCTAGCAAAAGTGAGAGTCAGTCCACTTCAAAGAAAAGCCAGGTTCTCTGATACGACATGCTTTGGGCATGTGTTTGTTCTGAATAACGGTTATTTTCTCACTGCAAAAAAAAAAAAAACAACTTTTTTATATGTTTATGTAAATGTGTTTTAATAGTAGCTGATGGCTTTCCATGAAAAAATTTTGGATTATTAATTTTCTTGTTATACTACAGGATTATTTGAGGCTCTAAAACTCATGCATTTTAATGGGTACAATACCACTTCTATGAAAGGAACTTTATCCCATTTACATCTCAAATCATAGTTAAAGTAAGAACATATATGTTTGGTGTCTAAAGTTTCTCTTGTTCAGTGACAAAATTGTTTATATTTTAATATCTTAATGTCTCAAGATATTTAATATCTTGAGATAATCTCATATATTATAAAAATAAAAATCTCATATAGTATAAAAATAAAAATTAGCATCAAATATTCTCCCACTGTCTCTACAGGAAAAGTTGATTAGATTGTTGCTTAACATAGCTACTTTCGAAGAGAGTCGTGCAATGAACATAGGAGTTGCCTCTAACTTGCTCTCACTTCCTCTCATCGCTAATCCAATGGTCAAAGGAGAATGTCTAACTTGCTTTGAAAACCAACATCTGAAATCTCTAAAACCCCTATTCCTATATTTAAATCTATTGCTGGATATTATTCCCTCTTGCTAATTCCACTACTCTTTTTAGCTTTACCTATTACAATCACTTTTTCATGTTATAGTTATTCCCCAGATCTCATTTCAAAGGGTAACAAATGTTATGTTACTTTTATTGTCCCCACAGCTCCAACACTTCCCAAGACATTTCCAGCTCAAAGAAAACAGATACTCACAGTGTAGCTGTTCACAGAAAAGGAAGAATAGAAATGAATGTTATTAACCTCTGTAGAACACAGTATGTCTCAGCTTTCACACTGGTAGTTCCTCCTGGGAAACTCAGCTGGCCTTTCAGAAACCCACCAGGTCTTCTGACAAACCCATGTGCAGGCCAGATGTTATCTGTCTCTTGATGCTACAATATAAAACTATATTTTCCTTATAGACTAAGATCACCTATCATGACAATACCTTTTCACGAAGAAAAATTAATTATTAAGTATAACTGCTTTATCTCTGGCTTCATAGGCATACTGTGTCTTTCAGGCTAACAGTATTCATAGGCATACTGTGTCTTTCAGGTTAACTTCTCACAAGAGGAGAGTAATCCTATTATTAGATAATTTTCTATTCCCGTTAATTGCATAATCACAGGTCCATACCGATAGAAACTAAGGAATGTTTTGTGGGATGCTGATTCAAAAATGTCAACAGTTAATCAAAGCTACCTGTTACTATAATTGTATTGATTTTCTTTTCAACCTCAGAGACAAAGCTTCTCAAATCACTTGGACATCTGGTAAAGTTATCGTTGACATTCTCGGATTATAGGAATATATATTTCGCACGGCTAGAAAAGTCTTAATTGGGATGACTGGGATAAAGTTGTGCTTATTTAGTCTTCAGCTTATTTGGTCTACTTTTCCTTGCTTGCCCAACTCAGCTGGTATTAGCAAGAGAACAAAGAGACCTACAGACCATTTCAATGATACTGGGCATCCTGAGCAATTTGAAATGCATTTTTGTTAAGTCGCCTTGCTCCTCAAGTGTCTGAATATCTTTTGCAGGGTTTTTTGTTCTTTTTACCTTGATAAGGACCATACTGTGACAAAATTATGGCACGCAGTAATCAAAGCAAAACTACAGCTCACTTTCTTAATAATACCGGCAAGAAAAGAAATACGATAAGCTATGTTTAGTGCAGAAAACAGGGCTAAAAATTAAGAGAATCAACATTTCAACTTGTGGTTGAGGATCATTACAAATAAATTTAAAAACAGAAAGTGTGAGACGAATATCACGAGTCAGTTTTATTTTGCTTTAACACCATAATAGCTGTTTTCGATATTTACTTAACCTTTGTCTCCTCTGTATTGTTTCCTGACTTACCTGCAGTTGGAGTGGGCCTAAGCCTGGTGTTGCTGCGGCAGCAGCTGCCATGGTAGTTGGGATCAGCTGAACAGGGTAAGGGTCACCTAAGTAAGAGAATAATAGAGGCGTCAGCACCTTTTATCTACTCTCCACCTGCAAATTAAACTCATGCATTCACTCTTTCCAAAAGCCTTCTTTTGTGTGCCTTGCTGAGGCCTAATGAAAAGCTCTATTGTGCAGCCTTTTACTAACACTCTTTTCACAATTCTGGCTGAGAGAGGAATGTGAATAAAAGGCACAAGCAATTAAGGCGGAAACCTCATCCTTTTTTCATGATGTATTTAGGAAAATGGGAGGGAAAGTGAGCATTGATCAGAGGGCTGCACTTGATAACACACACGCGCGTGCACACACACACACACAATTTTAATATGAGCACAGTAACTCCTCAGCAAATTTACAGTATTATTATAAAAGGAACTTAACTTACTTTTATTTTAATGAATTAAACTCCAAAGATTTAAACAAAGTAGCTTATCTTTGAAATGCTATGTTACGGTCTTGATTCAAATAATCTTAATCTCTTAAATAATATGGACAAATTAACAACGAAGAAAACATTTTATGTGTTTTTCAAGTTATATGAAATATTGACATCTTTATTATCCAGGGATAAATGTTTACAAAACTATATTGTAATGAAAATGGAAAATAGATCCCTTCCCCCCGACATTTTTTATCTATTAAAAAAGCACACTAATTCAAAATTAATCCTGAAGTTTTACTGTTATATGACCTGTAAAAATATAGGCACACACAAAAACATACAGAGAAGCACATAGAGAAGGTTATTCTGCTTATTTTTTATGAAAATCAAGGGGGTTCTTAATTAGTAAAGAGGTACAATAGACCTGTTGCATAGGGCCCAATAAATTGCTAAGAAATATAAGTAATGTACATTATTTGTCATCTGACACATGACCATAGCAAATAACTAAAAATAATAGAACAATTTTGTAATGCATAAAACATTTTGTAGAAATCTAATTTATAAAAAATGTGTTGAATATTGCACGCATGAAAAATATAACTTAAAATAACTCAGTTAATACGCCATTCAAAAACATTTATTGAGTACCTGCTATGTATTAAGCATTCCTCTTGGCCCTAGACATAAAGCTTTGGAAAAGATTAATATGCAGATGTGAATTTACTGGGAATTTAATGAAGCTTAAACTTTGGGCTTTTGAAACTGGCCTCTTGCAGTATGTTCACTGCGTATTTTTATATTTGTCATATATTTTTATATTTATCAGTTGTTGTAATTTGTTGTGATTTGTTATAAATGAATATTCACTTTTCTACCTAAGTGTGTGTGTTTGTGTGCGTGTCTGAGCATATAAAATTTTTGCATTTTTATTCTAAAGAGAGTCTCCCAGGTTATTTTTTAGGCTTCAAAATACCTGGATCTACCTCTCTGGATCTGGCCTTCCAAAAGCTTACAGTTTAATGGGAGAAAAAGATAATTAAATGATTAGTATAATATATAATGGCAGTTAAGACAGCGAAGTACATAATGCTATGGACTGCACTGTGGTTGTCCCAAACCTAGTCTAATATGTTAAAGACAGCCTCCAGGAAAAGGTGATGTTTAAGCTGAAACTTGAATTAAATTATAGTTAGCTAGACAAAGAAGGGAAGAAAGATTGTTCCAGGCAGGGAAACAATTTTCATGAAGAATCAAATGGAAGTGTTAGTTATAGCCCAGTCCCTGTATTGCTGAAGTACAGAGAGCATGTAGGGAAGTGAGATCAATGGGATTGGGGAGGGAGTAAGATGCCAGATTATGTGTGATTTCTGTAAACATTAAATGATCTAAACTTTATCCTATACGGTAAAGGAAATCATGAACGTGGAAAACAGATGGGTTGAGTAAAATCACTTGGGTGGGAGGTTGAGAGCTGTAATCAACTAGTGAGCAGATGCAGAAATCTGTATAAAAGGTAATTATGGGCCGGGCGCGGTGGCTCACGCCTGTAATCCCAGCACTTTGGGAGGCCGAGGCGGGCGGATCACGAGGTCAGGAGATCGAGACCATCCCGGCTAAAACGGTGAAACCCCGTCTCTACTAAAAATACAAAAAATTAGCCGGGCGTAGTGGCGGGCGCCTGTAGTCCCAGCTACTTGGGAGGCTGAGGCAGGAGAATGGCATGAACCCGGGAGGCGGAGCTTGCAGTGAGCCGAGATCCCGCCACTGCACTCCAGCCTGGGCGACAGAGCGAGACTCCGTCTCAAAAAAAAAAAAAAAAAAAAAAGGTAATTATGGTCAGACTAGGATGGTGACATGGGGATGGAGAGTGAGGCAGGGACTCCAGAGATATTTAAATGGTATAACTGGTAAAACCTAATGACTGTTACGTATGAGAGTAACAGAAGACTCAAGGATGACTTCCAGGTTTTTCACTAAAACAACTGATTGACATGTGGTAGTATGTACTGGGTTTGTAAACACAGATTAGAAGCAAGACTGCCAGGTGGGGCCTAAAGGGTGTTGTTGCGGGGAAGGAACAAAGAGTTCTGTTTTAGATATTTTAAGTTTGAAATTATGATTAGATATCCAGGTTGAGGTATTTATTAGACACTTGATAAACATGTTAAAATTTTAGGGGAAAAGCCCTCATAGGAGACATATACTTGAGAGTGGTTAGCATGTATCTGGAATTTAAGCTGTAAGCCTTGATAAGACCACTTAGGAGTTAACCATAGATTAAAAAGAGGTCCAAAAATTTGGACTGTGGGATGTACTAACATTTATACTCAGGCAGATAGGTAACTAGCAGAAGAGACTGAGAAGAAATGTAAATTTGGTGTTCCAGAAGCCAAGTAAAGAAAGACTTCCAGACAGTGATAATTTTTTTCATTTAAGTGCTGGATTTAATGATGTGGAGGTCACTGGCAACTGCAACAATGGCGGTTTCAGTGGAGTGGAGGTTGAGAAGGCCTAATCAGAAAGAGTGTGATCAACAAAGGATGATCGAAAGAAAGGAATTGGAGGCAGGAAGTGTAGACCCTCGCTTTTCAATGCAAGATTCAGATGAGGAGCATTAGCATCACCTGGAGTTTCTTGGAAATGCACATTTTTAGAACCCACCCTAAAGCTACTGTGCAGACAGCCCCTAAGATAGAACCTCCAATGACTCCCACTCCCTGGTATTTATGTCCCATGTAATCACCTCCCTTTCAGTGTGTCCTGGGTCTGGTAATTGCCTTCTAATGCACAGAATATGGCTAAAGTAATGCTATTTTACATTTGAGATTAAGTTACAAAAGTATTTTGGCTGCCTTGGTTGCCCACACCCTCTGTTGGAGCAAGCCGCTAGGTTGTGAGCTGCTCTGTGGAAAGACTCATATAGCAAAAGACAGATGTTTTTGGCCAATAGCAAGCAAAGAAATGAGGCATGCCAACAGTTAATGAAGGGAGCTTGGAACAGATTCTACCCAGGCCAAGCCTAGAGATGACTGCAATCCAGGCCAATACCTGGACTACAGTGGGAAAGATCCGGAGCCAGAGGTACCCAGCATGGCTGTGTCCAAATAAATGTTTGTTGTCTTAAGGCACAACAGTTTTAGGCTAATTTATTGAAGTAGGAAACATGTGGCATCTGAATCAGAATTTAAATTTTAACAAGAGCCCCAGATTATTTGTATGTGTATTAGAGTTTGAGAAGTGCTAGAACAGACAACTACACTGAGGTGTTTTACAGTAGCTAGTGAAAGTTGTGTGATCAAGCAAACTTTATAAGAAGGTACATATGTAGAAAAATTATACCATGCTCGTATGCTAATGAGAAAGATTCAGTAAATAGAGCAAAAACCTATGATACAGGAGAGAGAAGGGACAACCAATATTACATAATGGTGCTTTATCATTTCATATTTTTAGTATTTAATCTTCCAAACACTATCCAATTTTATAATAGGACATTTAGATATTTAAAAGCTAAATTCATGCAAACTAGTTAAAATTGTAAATACTATTATAGTATGACTATTAGAATTGACAATTTAAATGCTTAAAACTACTTAATTCATTTGTATTCTTAACTTAGGATACATAATCTTAAAATTAACAAAAGCAAAATTGTAGAGGCTGTGGTACTCTTCACAGTGAAAATTCATTTTTTATTATTTATTTTCCCTATTGTAAATTAACCAATTCATAAGCACTATAACATTTATCATGAACAGAATTCTGCTAGCTGCTCTGTGAGACAAAACAAAACTTGGTCTGTATTTACTGCATTTCTATCTTTTCTAATTAAGTGCTTATTTGAATAATGTTGACCATCATCAGTAGGTAGTATAGGAGGTAAGGGAGAACTAATCCAGGCTTCAATCTTAAGGGAATAGTTACAGATGAAAATAAGAGTGAGCTTGGTCTTGAAAATGTGCAGATGGAGGGGAGGAGAGACCTTTCGGATAGGGTGAAATGCATCAAAGCAGGAGTATGACATGCTAAAGGAATGTAGAGAAGAAACAGTTTAAATAACAGGTGATAGAATAAAGTAGAGGGAAAAGAGATTGAAGACAAGGAGTTGGGAAACTTTTAATACTCCAATCTTGAGATCTGGATATGAAAAGGCAATGGACAAGAAATGAAGTTTTAAGAAGCCTCATTAAAGAGCTTAAGTAGTAGGAAGTATTAAAGATCACCTGGTTCTCCATCCTAGAGACAAAGACGTATTCCTAAATTTGTTTAACTCCTAAATTTAGCAAAACACCTGCAGATGTTTGGGACACTTTTGCATTACTTGCATCTAATTATTAATATCAAATTTCATGTAAATTTAAAGCTCATTACTTATAATACAGATTATTCCATAAAATTTAAAAATATGCATATGTTATAATCTTTTTATTTCCTAAATTAATGAATGTGTATTAATGAAATTAACTATCTTTCCTTTGGATATGCATATATATGTAAATAGCTGATATGTTTTACTAATGCCATATTGTATGTGTATAAATGTATATATACACAGGAATACCTTGGAGATATTGTAAGTTTGAATCCAACTACCACAATAAAGCAAGTAGCACAATAAAGCAAGTTATGCACACTTTTTTGTTTCACAGTACATATAAGTCGTGTTTAGACAAAACTATAGTCTATTAAGTGTGCAATAGAATTATGTCTAAAACATATACATACCTTAATAAAAAAATACTTTATTGCTAAAAAATGCTATCATCTGAGCCTTCAGTGAGTTGTAATCTTTTTGCTGCTTAAAGGTCTTGCCTTGATGTTGATGGCTGCTGACTGATCAGGATGGTGGCTGTTGAAGGTTAGGGTAGCTAACCTTCCTTTTCTTTTCTCTTATTTACTTATTTATTTTGAGACAGGGTCTGGCTATGTCGCCCAGGGTGGAGTGCAGTGGCGCAAACATTACTCACTGCATCCTTGACCTCCTGGTCTCAGGCAATCCTCTCACCTCAGTCTCTTGGGTAGCTGGGACCACATGCCCACACCACTCCAACCAGCTAATTTTTTGTAAAGGCAAGGTTTTTTAATATTGACCAGGCTGGACTTGAACTCCTGGGCTCAAGCAATCCACCTGCCTTGGCCTCCCAAAGTGCTGGGATTATGGGCATGAGCCACCGCGCCTGGTGGGAATTTCTTCAAATAAGACAACAATGAAGTTTGCAGCATTGATTGACTCTTCCTTTCACAAAAGATCTCTCTGTAGCATGTGATGCTAATTGATAGCAGTTATCTACAGCAGAACTTCTTTCAGCTTTGAAGTTCCATCAAACCCTGCCACTGCTTCATCAACTAAGTTTATTTAATGTTCTCAATCCTTTGTTGTCATTTCAATAATGCTCACATAATCTTCATCAGAAGTAGAATTAATTTCAAGAAACCATTTTCTTTGCTCATTCATAAGAAGAAACTCCTCATCCATTCAAGTTTTATCATGAGATGGCAGCAATTTAGTCACATCTTCAAGCTCCATTTCTAATTCTAGTTCTACTGCTATTTCCACCACATCTGCAATTATTTCCTCTACTGATGTCTTGAACCCCTCAAAGTCATCCAAGGGGGGTAAAATCAAATTCTTTCAAAATCCTGTTAATGTTGGTATTTTGACCTCCTCCCTCCCATCAATCATTAATGTTCTTAATAGCATTTATAATTGTAAATCTTTTCTAGAAGGTTTTCAATAATTACTTTCTTTCCAGATCCATCAGAGGAATCACTGTGGCAGTGACAGGTTATGAAATGTATTTCTAAAATAATAGGGCTTGAAAGTCAAAATTACTCCTTGACTCGTTGGCTGTAGAACAAATGTTGTGTTAGCAGGCATGAAAACAACATCCATCTCCTTGTACACCACCATCAGAGTTCTTGGGTGACTGGGTGCAACTGTCAATGAGCAGTAATGTTTTGAAAGAAATCTTTTTTCTGAGCTGTGGGTCTCACTAGTGGGCTTAAAATATTCAGTAAATCACGCTGTCAATAGATGTGCTGTCATCCAGGCTTTTGCTGTTCCATTTATAGAGCACAGGCAAGGTAGATTTAGCTTAATTCTTAAAAAAACTAAGATTTTCAAAATAGTAAATGAGCTTTGGCTTCAACTTAATTCACCAGCTGCAGTAGCTCCTAAGAGTCAGCTTGTCCTTTGAAGCCAGACATTGACTTGACTTGTCCTCTCTAGCTATGAAAGTTCTGGATGGCATCTTCTTCCAGTAAAAGGCTGTTTTATCTACACTGAAAATCTGTTGGTTAGTGTAGCCACTTTTGCATCAATGACCTTAGACAAATCTTCTAGATAACTTGCTGCAGCTTCTACATCAGCACTTGCTGTTTCATCTTGCACTTTTATGTAGGTAGATGGCTTCCTGAACCAACCTCCCCAACACCAAACTTTTCTTCTGCAGCTTTCTCATCTCTCTCAGCCTTCGTAGAATTGAAGAGAGTTATAGGTCCTTCCTCTGGATTAGGCTTTGGCTTAAGGGAATGTTGTGGCTGGTTTGATCTTCTATTTCAACTACTCAAACTTCCTGCAACTCAACAATAAGGCTGTTTCACTTTCTTATTATTTGTGTGTTCACTGGCATAGCACTTTTAATTTCCTTCCAGAACTTTTCCTTTGCATTCGCAACTTGTCTGTCTCGTGCAAGAGGCCTAGCTTTTAGCCTGCCCCATCTTTTGACACACCTTCTTCATCAAGCTCAATCATTTCTAGCTCACATTTTTTAAGTTTCCCATCTTATGTGGGTGCAGTTTATGGCATCCCAAAACAATTATAACTATAATACCAAAGATCATTGATCACAGATCACCATAACATATAATAATAATCAAGTTTGAAATATTGAAAAAATTATCAAAATATGACAAAGAGACATGAAGTGAGCACATGCTGTTGGAAAAATGGTGCTGACAGACTTGCTCTATGCAGAATTGCTATAAACCTTCAATTTGTAAAAAATGCAATCTGCGTGAAACACACTAAAGCAAAACACAGTAAAATGAGGTATTCCTTTATGTGAAAGTTTATATAAGCTAAATACTTTTTATATGTGTCATGGATTGAATTATGTCTGTCTACAAATTGATATGTTCAAGTTGTTACTACTAATACTCCAGAATGTGACTATATTTAAAAATAGAGCCTTTAAAGAGCTAATTTAAGATAAAATTAAGTCATATGCATGGTGACTTAACCAAATATGTCTGGTGTTCTTATAAGCAGAACAGATTAGGACACAAACAAAATAGAGTCTGTCTGGTATGACCAGGTGTGAACACAGAGAGAAGGTGGTCATCTACAGGCTGCAAAGAGTGGTATCAGAAGAAACAACCTGCTGACACTCTGATCTCAGCTATACAGCATACAGAGCTGTGAAAAAATAAGTTTCTGTTGTGCAAGCCACTCAGTCTATGCTATTTTGTTATAGCAGCCATAACAAACTCATGCAATATGTTTGCCATATACAGCCATATGTCAATATATTTGGTGTCTAAGTGAATTGGGGAAAAGAAAAGACTGGCAGCAGGAATTTAAAAGACTACTACAGTTATTATATATCTTTAATCATATATAGTTTCAAATATACAAATATATCCAATATGTCGACTAATTAATTTCAAAAGGATTGTGTCTAATAGCGCTACGCTATTTCAATGATATTCACCCAACACATAAACACAATTAACTTAAAGCATGTCTCTACCTTGTTACCATTTTTTCAAGCCAAGATTACTTTGGTTGAAGTATGCTCCTGGTTACAACAAAGTGAATACAAATAAAATACCTGTGAAAATTTCCAATGCAGCCATTTAACTCTCAATTTAAAAAATTCAAAATATATTACATGGATGTGTCAGTGTTCTACAGTGGACACAGAATCTACAAAGCTTCACAAACAAGGTCAGGGGTCATTTTTAATGGCAAAGGAAAAATACAGAAGCTGCTGTAAGAAAAAAAAAAGAGTTTTTATTGAAGTAAATACTGTCATCTATTTGCGCCATTCCTCAATTAACTGTACTAAAAAACATTACAACAGATTTATTTTGTAAATACCTCATGAGATTCATACTTAGTAAAAAAATCAGATAATGGAAAACTTTGACTTTTAAAGTTCAACCATGTGTAAGTTATTCAAGTTGACTTTCAACTAGTTAAAAGTAATTTCTTCTACTCTTCCCTAGGTTTTAACCATTTGAAAAATTTTTCCCTAAGCCTTTCCAACATTAATTTGCTTCTTATTTCAAGACCAAGCATGGAAATTCTAGCTCAAAACTAAAATTTTTCAAAAAGCTAAAAAGTATACTGAGGCATGTTATTCTATTGCTTTCAGAATACAACATAGCTTACAGTGTCTACTGACACAAATGATACGGCTTATATTAACTCTTTAAAAGCATTCAATTGCATCATTATTATAGTTGTGCATATTTAGATATTAATTATCTCCAGTCATACTATGAAGAATTCATCTCTATACTGTATAACACAGCCTAAGAAAAACAATTTTTCCAACAAGATTATTTAGGATGAAGGAAAATGTGAAATGCAGATGTGGTTTTAACAAGACTCAACAATACACACTCTTTCATCTACTGAACTAATGCAAAAGTTTTGGACAGTTTTATGGCATTATCTTCACTGAAATGTGGAGACTCATTCCTTTATTGGCCTTACATGTTTTTTTGTTTGTTTTTGTTTTGCCTCCTTGACAAATACCAGCTTGCCTTCTGTAGGTGCTGGGAAATATGAAAATCAACCCCTCTCTGACATACACACATACAATCCCTGTCCCAGTCTTAATCAAGTGAGGAGGATTCACCATGTAAACTAATCCAAATATACAATAAGCAAAGTAGAAGAGTGTAAAAGTTATTCTGGAAACCTGAAAGAAAGAACTCAACCTGAAAGAGACTCGATAGTCAAGGAATTGTATTTACTGAGGTGTCTCTTAAAAGATGGCCACTATCAATACCAAATTATACTTCGGGACCATTTTACCACCTCCTTCCCATGTATTATAAATGTTACAGGGTCAACAGTAAGCATGCACCTTTCAGTGCAACGAGCATTGCTCCTATTAAAAACCTTCTCAGATTGGTACTGAGTTCTCACCCTGTTCTTACCACTCTCATTTCCAGGTAGAGGAGGCCTTGTAGAATTCTAAGACAAAATGAAGTTAGTAAGGACACTGTAGATGGAACTTTGGAAGAAAACTGCTTTCTTTCATCTCATGTTGCTTTCTTTCATGTCATGGGCTGATAGAGAAATTGGTGGGTGCCTTCAAGCTTGGGGGAGCCCCCTGCCATTTATAGGGCTAATAAGAACAACTATATTTATGCCTACATCCAGGGATAGTTTCATTACCCCCAGTGTTTCTGATGCAGAAACGGAATGAATGGGGAACTATTCAGCTAAAGAAGCAAGTAGAGCTCATATCTTGAAGAGCCTTATGTTTTCCTTTGAAGACAACGTTAAGTCACTGAAAGGTTTTAAGCAGGAAAATAATATTTTTTGTTAGTATTTGTGTTCCAGATATATCAGTTTTGTGGCAAGGCATAGAACGATTGGAAGAAGGAGAGACTGCAGATAGATATGTTAAAAACTATTGCAAATAAATCAATGAAGGAGAGCAGAGAATAGCTTTGGGAGACAGACTTGATAACTGATTTGATGAAGTAAAAGAAAAAAGAAAATATGTGAGAATTTTTTTTCAGTGTTTGAAGTTTTATTTTGGTATATGATTTAAGAAATATTGTTTCCCCAAATATTTAATTATTCCCTCATCGTTTTTGAATAATTACTTGTTCTCCCACTGATTTGAAATGTGGGAAGCTATTATTTGTTGACTTTTGGCACTGTGTTGAAATATCTTACATATACATATACACATATATACATATATACATATATGTAAATGTATAAAATTGCTTTTAATCTTCACAACAACTCTTTAGGGTAGAAATTATTATTCCCATTCTACACAATTTTTTAAACTGGCCAGGATTATCCCACGGTTAATCATTACTAGAGTTCTTACTATTTTAATAAGGAAAACATTATTGCAGAACACACAGACTACTTTTAAAGCATTATGCAAATGTATACTTCAATTTTCATAACATATTCAACTAATTTCCATTCAATTAACATGTATCAAACTCTTACTATGTGGAGAACACAAAGCACTAAAAGGTACAATCCTTGCCTTCAAAACACTTTCAGTTATGAAAATAAGACATATAAATATGGAAAGTGAAATGAATCAAAACTATACAATTGGAGTCAAATGAATATAGGCAGTAATTACCAGAGAAAAGGATTTATACAAGTTGGATCACTGGGGAAAGAATCAGAGGAGGGGCTGAGATTGAGTTAGGCCTTGAATATAAAATACGAAGTAGAAAAGATGCGAGAAGCCTATGAGCTGAAATGCCTGGCATAGAGTAGATGCTCAATTAAAAAAATGAGCCCCAAAGTAGGAGGTACAACAGGATCAAAGAAATGAGCAAGCAAAATTCAAGATCTAGCCTGTAGTTGAACCCATTTCATCTAGTAGCAAAAATTATTTAGAAGGCTGATTATGGTCTATCGATGACCTCAAATACCAACATAAGCAATTTGTACATAATTATGTCTTTAAATATATGCACAATTACCTCCTATCCTAAAAAAAATGAACTATCTAGAATATAAAACCCCTTCTGAAACCATCATCTATTTTCTCTCATCTAAATTGTTAAAAACTAGTGATAATCTTAAATCCTTCTCCTACTCTTTAGTTCTCAATCCATATATTTTTGGGGAAATGCTTTATAAATTTACTAATGACCTCTGAATTGCCAAATTTTAATGAACATATATCTGCAACAGCTGCCTCTGTTAATGATTTTCTTCTTCTCTAATTATATCTATACATTCTCTTGGCTTTTCTTAAAACAGCTGTCCTGGTTCTCCTTATATCTTGTTCATGCCAACTTTATTATCTGTTTCTGCAATAGGCTGTTCCACCTTCCTTCATCCATCCCTTCCTTAAATATTGGTATTCCTTGGCGTCTAATCCTTGGCACTTGGTTCTTCTCCTTCTATTCACTTTATCTGAATGATCTTATCCAATCTCATGGTTCAGCAACCATATACAAACTAATATTTTCCAAATCAGTGACTGTAGCCTAGACCTCTTCTACTGTTTTTTTTTTTTTTTGAGCAATTCTCCCTAGCTGTCCCACAATAAGCTCCACCTTCACATGTACAAAATGTAATTTATCTTCTTTCTTCCAAAAGCTGCTTCTACTCCTGGTGTTCTTATAACACTTAGTGACACTCAGTCACCCAGACTACAAATATGAAAGTAACCTTGATTTCTCCATCCCTTTCACCCTCCACGGCCAATAAATCATGAAGATCTTTTCCTTTAAACTCCTAGGTCTACATGTCTTTCTATTATAAGAGCTTCTCAATCAGTCTCCCAGGCTCTAGTCCTCTGCTAACGAAATTCGTTCTCTCTCTAGTTTCCAGTAGCATTCAATACAGGCAATCTGTAGTATTCATTCCTTGTATTTGAAGTATAGTAAGTATTTATTAATTATATACTATGTTTTAGGGGCTGAAAATGTAACAGGGAACAAGAGAAGCATGCTTTGATGTGGATATATGGATGGATGAATGAATATGGATGGATGGATGGATGAATGTACAGATAGATGGATGGATGGATGGATGGATGGATGGATGGATGGATGGATGGGTGGATGGATGCCAGTATGATCTCAATCCTAGGCTTCAGACCTTTCGTGGTTTTCTGGCTCCTGCAGCATATGTCTAAACATATTTCCCTGAATTGGTCTCATGTCCTCAAAGTACTACTCACTTGTCACTTCCTACCATATACATTATTCTTAACACTTAGCTGTTTATAGGTCCATGTCCACCCTATTTTATCTCTTGCTTTCTGGTCTTTAGGCTTTTTTTTTCTGCTTGGAATAGTCTGTCTGTATCCCTTCAGCCCAATCACTTCTTCGATTGTATAGCTGCCTTTATCCTTTAGGTTGACTTGAGACCCCTCACACTAAGAATCCTTTCCTGATACTTCAACACTCTTGGATTTAAAGTAATTCCTTTTCCAAAGACTTCTCTTAAAATATGATGCATATCTGTATATTACCACTGCTTATATCCTTATTCTGTCTGTTCGGGCTGATACAACAAAATACCATGAACTGGGTGGCTTATAAAGAACAAACATTTGTTTCTCACAGTTCTGGAGGCCGGGAAGCCCAAAATAAGGGCACCAGCAAATTCTGGGCCTGATGAAGGCCCATTTTTTGATGAATAAATGGTGCATTCTTTCTGTGTCCTCACACTGTAGAAGGAGCAAGGCAGCTCTCTGGGGCCACTCTTATAAGGACTTTGCCCTCATGACCTAATCACCTCCTATTAACTTGAAGGTGAGGATTTCAGCATATGAATTTTGGGGGAAAATAAACATTCAGACCATAGCAATCCCATTCTCCCCAACTAGACTAAGAGCATCCTAAAGGGAGGAATTATGTCTTGCTCATCTTTAAATCCCTAGTCCCTAGCACAATGCCTGACACACTTAAGCCTATTAAAATGTTTATTGACTGAATAAATGAAGGAAGAATTCATTTAAGAAGTTAACAAATATCAAATACAAGAGACAACTCTTGGCATATCAAAAGCCTAAGGTTTAGTAGAAAAACCATATTATAAGACAATAATTATACAAATAAGTATTAGTTTTTTGTGCACGGTTTAATTCAAACAAATACTTTGTTGAGTTGCAAATGTTGAAAGGAAGAACAGATAATGAAACGGGACAGAGAGGCCTAGAATTTAGGGGTAGGAGGAAATCAGGACCCAGAGAAGGTAGTTAAAGAATAAAATAATCTCTTTTAACATATTTTCATATAACAATAATTCTTTTATAATATTCCATAATTTATCTCTTGTAAATTTTGATTTTATAAACAATTCTTATCCTCTTAGGTATGAAAATTAAGTAATATGCACTTCCAAAGTCTTAAAATGATTTCTGTTCATCAACAAGAATCTTTTATTATGATTTCATTAAAGCACCTGCACTTGGTCATTGTATCCACTAGAAAATAAGATGTTACATATAAACATATAATCAAAACAAAATCATTCTTCACTGTGATTGTTTCATATCATTTTATACTTTCTTAAATCCAACCAAGATGAAATTTGTTTCCTTATGGCAATAAGTTCAGCTATACTTTTTTCCTCATTATAAGTAGTTACATTTATAACAACTCTCCTACAGCATCTTGAGCAACCAAGAACAAGTGATTTGCTATACACAAGTAAAGGTGAAGGAATTTCGAAATGTGGAAGATCTGTACAGTCTTTTTAGATTTGCTAGAATAGTATAATATGACTTTAACATTTGAAACTTTTTATAAGAAATGCTAATATTTTGTATTAAATTTCATAGAATGGTAAGTAATGAATGGGAATATTTCATATACATTTTATTCGAGAGAGTAAAATAAATTAGCTCTTGTTTGACTATATAGATATTTTAAAATAAGACAATATAAGGTAATTGTTAGTTCTTAACTGCTTTGTCACAGCTAACTATTTTCAATAAGAGATTTTTTAAAATAAAATATATTTTTATGACGTCTTAATGTAGCATAGCAAATGAAAACTTTATCCTATTTAATTTAATAGTTACCTAGTTGGCTAGTTTAGAAAGAGATTAATTTATGAACTCTTTAAGAAACACCTCTCAGAATGGGAAGACCTTTCTGCATATAAAAAATACATTGTTCTTCATCTCCTTGCCCGTAAATTGGAGAATGTGATTATCAATAAAACTTCTTGGATTAATTATCTAAGAAGTCTGAGTATCCCTGAAAAGGTGACAATGAATCAAATATGTCTCCTTTTCCTTCTGTATTCCCGCCTGACTGCTAAGGCATCATTTAAGGTATTGCACAATAACTCATTTTAAGCTGCTTAACAAGAATCATGAATTATGGAACTGCTTCTATATCCAGCTCTATCTTAGAATACTATGTCTACATTTTGCCTCTGTGTCTTATGAAGAAATGAATGGTCCCGAGAAAATTCATCCAAAATGTTTCAAGTATTAGAGAGTAGGAATTTGGAAGAGGGGCATTCGCATAAGCCACTTAAGACCAAATTAAATGCAATTCCTCTTTTATTTCCCACTTTTAATATTAAGGCTTAGCAACCATTTAATTTGCTGACTCCCTTTCTAGCCATTGCACCTTTCTCTCTTATCTGGGCTTTTGGCAGACATCGTATACCTCCTGAGTGTATCCAGGGTCTGAGGTTCACAGGTGAGAATAGGAAGCTTCCTAAATCACTACAATGGTAAGCCTATGAGATACACATTTAGAATGATTGCTGGCCTAGAGATTCCTACTAAAATAATAAATGTTAAACCTCTAGAAGTTAATAAATGTTGTCATTAACATGAATGAATATGAAAAAATACATAATATAAATGTCTTGAATGGTCAGAGGCATAGTGACCTAGAATAGAAAAACTCTTGACATCCTTTTCATTATGACATATTTAATAGTTTCACAACAGGAGTATATATTTAATGAATCATAATGATATTTTATATTTATACAATAATTTGACTTCTTTAGAAATGCATATACTCATCCCATCCACATTTTACAATCTCCTTATAAAGTATGTAGAGCAGACATTACTGTGGCTGCCTGAAAGATGAAAAAGATAAAACAGGGAGAGCAAGATGACTTGCCCAAGGGCACAGATTAATATGAAACGGGACTGTGACTACTAAGGTCTTCTGACCCCTTGTTTCATTGTATTTTTTTTTTTCTGATAGAATTCATTAAAGCCAGACAATTAGTTTCTGATTTCAAGTCTTATGAATGCTAATTCACAGATAACTTGGGCCACTCCATTTTGAAAGTTTTAAATTCTCCATTAACAAACTCAGAGAGCATTAGAATTTAGATGCAAACTCTCAGGTGCAAAATGTTCAGAAAGAAACTAAAGTAAAATATCACATACTAGAAATGGAACTGGTTACATGAAAAATTCATTTGGGGCAATATGCGCATACAAAAATATTCATTGTAGCATGGTTTGAAACTGTAAATGCAGTAGAAATACCTAAATGTCCATTAGTGGGGAAACCAAATAAAATACGATGTATCCATCATAAGGAAATATAGAATAATTTACATCTGAAAGTATGGAGGAAGAAGATATCCATAATGTATTTTTCATACATGTAAGTAGTTTGTCATCTATGTAGCATATATCCTCAGGTATATGATATACAGTACATATCGTAAATATACATAGTATATGTATCATATTATGCATATTACAATACACAGGCTATTTTGCTACATATTACACATCTATATCTAAATATTTTTATATAAATATATATAATGGATTCATATTTACATGTATACCTAGCTCTGGAAAAACATGTATAAAATTAATGGTAGTTACACCTGGGTAGTGGGATTATAGGAGTATGTGAGTGAAGGCAGATAACTTTTAGTTTGTTTTCTACAATTCTCCATTGTTTGAGGTTGTTGCAGTCAGAAAGTGCCACCTTTAATATATTAGAAAAAAAATATGAAGGGTATTATGAGCTGACTATAGAGACAGGTTTAAGAAATGTTTGAGTATACTCTTTGAAAATAGAGCCAAAATCAATTATTAGGGAAATAGTACTGTCTGAAAAGTTGCTGTAGTTCTTTCTCGCCTGACTTTTCTCTTTTCATTGTTGGAATGTGGAAATGGAAGCTGGATAAGGTATCTAAGACCATAAGATGTAAGCTACAATTTGTGGAAAGCCGTAAAATCAATAAGAGAGCAAGCCTGAGACTGGATGTCATGGAGTTACCATATAAGCGATGCTTAGATTATTACGGAAGTAAAAAATATTCTTTCATCATGTTTAAGCTAGTACTATTTTGGCCTTTTACAGCAGCTAAACCTGTATCCAAATTAATGCAGCATCCTATTCCACATGACATTTCAAAATCAGGACTTTTTAAGTCCTTACGGAAAATATATATCTATTGTAGAGTTTGAAGCAAAATGTTTTATCTTAGCTTGTTTTACTAAATATTTTTCTTCTTCCATACTTTCCAATCAATCTTATGACATAAGTTTGCCTTCTAGTGGAGTCTTAGAACATGCTTACTGGAGATTTCCGTTGTATTGTATCATGAACTGTTACATTTATTCAGATAAAATAATATATTGTTCTTCTGGGCTTACACTTCAGGTTGATGAACTTAGTCTGTTACTGAGATGAAATTCCATTCTTGCCGTGGCAACAAAAATAAAAACTTAGAAGTCTAAGGGTTAGGCTCAGCTATGACAAACTCATATGGTAATTCCATATTTTGAAGTCTTTTGGCTGACAGCACAGAGTGCCATTAATCACTCTTTCCATCTTATGTTTATACATTGTGAAGGAGGAGACTCATGTTGAAAAGAGAATACTAAGCTGAATGAGCTTTAGGTTTAAAATGAATGACATTCTGATGTTCTTAAATGTTAAAAAGTAAATGACATGGATTAAAAGAAAAGCTAGTTATGGCCTAATAAAATCTGAGAAATTTATCAAAGAAAGAGTCTTTGCTTTTTTGTTTGCTTGTGTGTACGTATTTTGGTGGTGGCAGTGTGCATATGTTGGGGTGGAAGTTGGATTAAATGCTGGTTACTAATATAGATCAGTTATCATCTCACAGTTATAATGATTAAAATCAATTATGTGACAATATTTAATAAATAATAAAGTACAGTATAAGCTATTATTTTTATGTCAAGTTATAATACTGTGATTGCCACAACAAAGACATATCCCTTTTTCAGTAATATAATCTTAAGACAATAATGTCAACTCCATTTTCAATCAAAAGATATATTTTAATGACCTAGAAACACTTTTCTCATGAGAAGTGGAAGATGACTGTCACCACATAATTATGGAATGTTGTATACATTTTTGAACCCAGTTCTCTTTATTTTTCAATCATTTCATATTTTTAAACCACTAATGTAACTACCTCAAAAGGGAACTTAAATGACTGGCCATTCAGGTACCAAAATAATTCAATTCTTTACAAATATAAACATTTACAAAGCTTTACAACTAAATCAGGATCTCCCAAAGTCATCGGTTTATAAACTTCTGGGAAGGCAGAGGAGAGGGGAAGAGCTGGTCACAATAATTCTAACACAAAAAATACAGAAACCAGCTGGGCATGGTGGCTCATGCCTTAATCCTAACACTTTGGGAGGCCAAGATGGGTGGATCACTTGAGGTAGGAGTTCGAAACCAGGCTGGCCAACATGGTGAAACCCCATGTCTGCTAAAAATACAAAAAAATTAGCAAGGCATGGTGGCAGACGCCTGTAATCCCAGCTACTCAGGAGGCTGGGGCAGGAGAATCGCTTGAACTCAGGAGGCGGAGCTTGCAGTGAGCCGAGATCGTGCCATTGCACTCCAGCCTGGGCAACAGAGCGAGACTCCGTCTCAAAAAAATAAAAAATAAAAACAAACAAACAAAAAACAGAAGCCTAAAGACATGATTATATCCTCTTTTCTCTCTGCTTATTTACAAAGAACATACAGTATGGGATCCTGACAACACATTTCCTATTTTGTCAGTTTGATAAAAGCGTACCATGTTGATGGTTTTTAGCTTGTGATTTTTGATTGTTTTAGCACTCATCACCAATAACCTGTATGTCAGCTGACATAGCTGACACCGTTAAATCAGAAATTAGTATGCAGTCTCCTAAAATGCCAGACACGTGAACTCTTTGCATAAGAGATATAATGGAACCCACATGATACTCCCATTAAACAATGAAACATGTGACATTAACTAAAAACAGGAACACATCAGCAAATACGCCTGAGGAAGTTTATGGTATTTAACTCCTAAACATTAATTTTATTGCGGTGTATGAGGAACTAATTAACTGAGAGTTTCCCTTTTTATTGGAAACGGAAATACTGTTCAGAAAACCGATGAAGAGTAAATACAGCATATTTTAAGTTTATTAAGCTTGGCTCATCGACTTCTATTTATTTAAGCTAATCTCATGAGGCAATTAAATATTTCAATCAGTAACTTTATATGGCTATTTAGCACATATCTGAAAAGTTAATCAATGTTTTAAAATGCAGAATGAGGATGTGAATATATTTCTAGTTTTATACAGCCAAAACAGTGACTAACTACATTTTCTAAAACTCATATGATGTTTCTCAACATGAGCTCTAATAAAAGGACAAGTAAAAAACAACAACAGAAAAAGTTTAAAACTGGCCAGGCACGGTGGCTCACACCTGTAATCCCAGCACTTTGGGAGGTGGGTGGATCACGTGAGGGCAGGAGTTTGAAACCAGCCTAGGCAACGTGGCAAAATGCCATCCCTACTAAAAATACAAAAATTAGCTGGGCGTGGTGGTGCATGCCTGTAGTCCCAGCTACTTGGGAGGCTGAGGCAGGAGAATCTCTTGAACCTGGGAGGTGGAGGTTGCAGTGAGCCGAGATCATGCCACTGCACTGGGTGACAGAGTGAGACTGCCTCCAAAAAATGAAAAAAAGAAAAGAAAAAGTTTAAAACTTGGTGATTATAATAAAAACAGGTAAGGCTAAGGTTGTATTAAACCAAGCAAATGTTTTCATCAGCACTTTGCTGCTTTTCTGTAAACAGTTGTTTTCCTCAGTCAGAGGAAGCCTCATTCATGTATGGCAGAGTGAGTTTGATCCTAACTCAAAGAGAGTGAGTGATGAAATGTCATCAAATGCTAGGTGTGATTTTAAAATCCTTTTTTCCTTTCAAAACAAGATCTGTATTTTGCTCGTACTACATTATCTCAGTCTTTATCACTTGTAAATAACATAATAAGACAGGCACAATATTAGGCACCAATTCTTAGATAATCTCGTTTGATCTTTGTAACAATTCCGTAAAATGGATCATGGATCTTATTACACCATTGTGTAGATAAGGAAACTGAAGCTTAATAACTTACATTAGGACAATCGAAACATCAGAATGAGGTAAAATCTGATCCCAAGTCCAGGCTCTCTCCTTCAAAGTACCTCTCTATTTGCAGTTGCCTATTTGAGATTGCATTAATTAAATCAAAACAAATAAACCAAATATTGAATGCTTGAAATCATATTGACAAAGGAATCAATTGGTATAAACAAGTAATTGATTATCTTCATCATACTATACATAGCACTGTTAAGTGGAAAATAAATTTTGTTATAATATTCTGTTCTGTGGTTGGCAGTGTAATAGGTGAAAGACAATAACTTCCAGGTTAAAAAAAAAAAATCACAGTAATTTTTAAAACAACTCTAGGACAAAAGTTTCCAAACTTTCTTTGATTAAGGCACCATTGATGGTTCAATAATTGTTTCATGGGACTCTTAAAAACAAAGGAAATATCCAACTGCTCAATTTTATTTAGTAAAGTCCAAAGAACTTATCTATGATAGTTCACATAGTGTCCAATAGATGCCTCTGTATTTTCTCTAAAATTTTAAAATATCCTGTGCCCCTATGAATTAGCTACACCACCCTGGGAACCTTGGCACACAGTTTGAGAACCATGGCACTAGGCACATGTCAAAATGTTCTTGGTAAATATTCTCTATCTGTAGCTATATTTCATATTCAGTTTGATACTTTGAGCCACTCTTTTATGATCAAGCCAGCTCTTTTATAATTGTTTGTTTTATACTGCATATAGTAAATGGATTATTTTATCGGATTTTGCCAATCATGCGGATTTTTAAAATTTCCACATAAAATATCTTCCTGTTACAATTTGTAAACCATCTAATGGTTACAATTATATTACTGGGAACTTTATACCCATACAGAAAAGACAGGGGCAGAGGACTGCAGTCTCTAGTAATAAAACAATCATCTCTAATTTCTACCT
The DNA here is from genome assembly GCF_000001405.40 of Homo sapiens. Lineage (NCBI taxonomy): Eukaryota > Metazoa > Chordata > Mammalia > Primates > Hominidae > Homo > Homo sapiens. The sequence goes on from NC_000012.12 coordinate 23,661,330, forward strand.
CTAAAATATGTACTCTAAAGAAATAGCAATGATCCTGAACATGGGGTGCAAAGAAGCCATGTGCTGCAGGAAGAGGCCTGGAGTGTGAGTGAGACAAAGTGTTTTTGACTAACCTTATATCCATCAACCACCTTTTCTCAAATGTCGCTCTCAAGTATAAAATTTTAGGCTGACACCAACATGAACATTCAAAATTATCTTCCTTTAAAGTCAATTTTGTGTAAAGTAGGATTTGCTCTAGGATGAGCAAAAGCAGTATCTTTCCAAAAACATAAAACTGTTCTACAGGTGTCAAAGGCATTTATATTTTATTTCAAAAATATGTATCTGACACAAGCTTCACAGCTCACATGTTAAAGTCTTTGATAAATAGTTTAGGATACTACTCAGACTTTCCAGCAGGAGCAAATGGACTGTGTTCTTGGACTCTTCAACCATCCACTGTGTACTTGAACCAATTCATTTGTATACCCAGTTATTTTATTAATTTAGACTTGAAACTTTAGTTACTTAGTTGTTCAAACTTAAAGGGCTGCAATAATTATTTTCTGATCAAAATGAGCTATTATCCACAAATATAATTAAGAATTGATATTTTAAATTATCTCTTATACAGTCTGGTGTGTGTTTACGTATAACAGCTAAGTTGACAGTTTTAATAGAACTGAGAAGTTCAAAATACAGATTATTCAACTAATTTTTTTCTTTCCCTGAATGAACTTGTCTCTGAATGAAGCTGACTGATTAAACCAGTGTTTTCATGTAATTATTTTCAAGTTCTATATTTATTTTATACACACACATTATATATATACACACACACATATACATATATATATATAGAGAGAGAGAGAGAAAGGATTTGATTCAAGAACACACATCATTTTCACCTCCTCAGAAGTGAAATCCTCAAGTATTTTTAGGATTTTAATAAGTAAGGAAAGCAATAACTAGATATGGATCCATGCAGTGGTTTCATGTGTAATTCCATTCATACCGAATGCCAAACAGAATCTGGGAGGCTGCTGATACTACATCAACATCTGTGAACTGATCCACATACTCATGGAAAAGAATGGACAGCAATATTCTTCAGATTATCTTTTCTATCTGTCTAGTCAATTTTCTCTGCTGTGTCTGGCTGTGCTGCTACTAATTTACTCTTATATTGTTTAAATGATATACATTCTAGTACTCAAGAGAGGCTCAGCAACCACATTTTGTGGGTTTCCATTCCACACCATATTTCAGCTGTTATATATTTCTTAAAGAAAAAACGATCTTTATGTCCAACTAAAAGCTTCTCTTTCAGAAACAGGAGATGTTAACTCAATTTACAATGATTAGGTTCCTTAAACTGTGTTTCTATTTTTTTTCCTGTTGAGTACATTTAAAGTCTCTAGTTTAGTCCCAGAGATTTTAAAATTTATTTTATGTATTTTATGAAGACATCTAGTCGAAACAGAAACGTTTATCATCAGTATGTTCAATAAATGGATTGATGAAAAGTATCTGTATTTTTTATAACAACAAATAGTATATCTTTCATATTTGCTTAAAATTGAAGTCAAGATGGGTTGGTCAGTCTCTTTTATTGAAGACTATGTAATAAAGTGAAATAATTGGCAACCGGAAAAGTCACAAATGGTTGACAACCTTGAGGGGAATAAATCAGGAAATCCCACTGAAGAGCGGTAATGGCACAATTTCTTCTCCTACCTCTATTCCTTTCCTGAAATGTGACTAGGGAGGACATCGTCTGGACTACTTTTCACTTCCACCCAGTTCTTCATTCAAACTGAGTCAAAACGCCAGGGGTCAATGAGGGTGGCAGTTCCTTTTGCTACTGGCTTCTGCTTAGTTCTAGAGTTTGGTGTGATGCCAGTTTCAAGCTTGCCAGCAGCTGTAAAGGCTTTTTTTCTGTTTTATTTCCAAGGTTACAAAAGAAGGGGTATCATTTATAACTTTAAGCACTAAAAGTATGAATATTAAATGGTTAATATACTAACTATTTTGGAAATGGAAAAAATTCTCCACGCCACGTTACATTAACACTCAACAAATTTAGTATGCCAACTCTGTCAAATGAGAGTGAGGTGGAGGTGTTCTTGACCTTTTCCAGGCCTACGGTTATGCTATTGTTCATACTAAATGTGGTTTTCTCTTCAGCACACAATATTTGCTAATGGGACTTACTTCTGCAGTTGCTTTAAAAAACTTTTTTGTTTTATTGAAAATATAACTAGTCTATATGTATATATTACAGATGCAGTCAAAGGCAACTAATGATTTTAGAAAGTGTCTTTTTTTTGTTTTTTACTAAAAACACATCTGTGGCATGTATTTAATGTGAACAGTAATTCTTGAGAAAGTAGAAACAAAACAAAAAACCTTCATGATTTAAAAATCAGAATTTAAAAAAATCAGAATTTAGTGTAGCAATAAAAATTAAAATTCTATTCATAGAATTTATTCTTAGAATGTAAAATATTTAGAATGAATATAGTATTTAATTATTAAAAAAAGTTGGTGTGTCTGGATGAGTTGATAACCTACAAAGGTAGGACGATGCGGAAAATAATATTAGATGAATAAATTAAGAGTCCAGAGTGAGAATTCCATTTAAAACGCAGGACACCAAAGTAAAGGGAAAGATTTGCAAAAGCAGTATGAAAATCTCAAAGAGCAAAGCACCACACATATGTGAATTTGTATAGTCTTGAATGCAGACCACTTTTATCTTAACTCCAGAGTTGCAATCTTCTAATCTCAAATTGCTTTGCATATTTAAGAAATTACAACCCATTTCTTCAATACGATATAGAGAAAGATTTAAAGACGAGAAATAAATGTTGAAATCCCCAATGTGAGAATTTAAAACATCACCTAAAAGAAAATGTAGAACTGATGTGTAGTAATGTTAGAATACTAGAGTTTCTCAAATAAATTAAATACTAAAGCATAACAAGATGTTAATGGCACAATTCATTAACATATATATATATATAAGCCAAAATGCACTGGAATTTAAAAACAATATTCTGTGTAATTATCTAAAATAATATTTCACTATTTTTTTTCAGTGGTGTTCACTTTTATCAATGAAAATATTTCAATGAACTTGCTTTTACTATTTTCCTTCTGGCCATGGTAAAGATGTTCTGGAAGATATCTAGCTTAGCAATCTAGCCCCTCTTTAGAATGTGTTATTATTTTTATCTTACAGAATACAGTTGGCATTTTGACTATAATTTTTTCAAATGATGTATTTTTTCCTAAGACTAACAATGTGCAATTTATATTTGGGTAAGAAAGAGAAAAAGGCATGAAATCACAGGCATCTAAAGTTAATAAGCAATATAAACAGTTATCCTAGTATATCACGTAGCTCCAAAAATGTCTTCTATATTGCTTATGTATTCATTCATTAATTCATTCATTCAAAAACGTTGAATGGTGTATTAAAAGTTGAGATACAACAATGAGTATGACAGAATCAGCAACTGCCTTCAGAAAGTTTACAAATAAAAAGAAAATATACAGAATCCAAAGGAAGCCGGAGAAAGGGACCTAACTTAAGTCAAGTCAGGCAAGCGCTCCCTAATCTGAGCTAGAAGCACTTCACAATATGAAGGAGAGTGAATACTGATGATGCGAGTCCAGAGTCAAGAAAAAGAATGGTTCGGTCTAAGAACTAAAAAGACTGGTGAGAATTTAGGCTGTAAATATTTGGAAGAGACAAATAACAGAAGGCCAACTCATTCATGTTAGGGAATTTGGGTTTATCTCACTGTTAAAAAGGTGGTAAAAAGCATACTCCTATGTCATCTATGCAAAAAATAAAATGAACCCACAAATTACATTCATACATTAACAATACACTGTAAATCGAAGTCATGAAATTGAATTATAAAGAATATTGGCTTCAGAAGCACAGATTTAATCTAAGTCCTTTAAGTACTAACACACTTCTCCACACATTCTGTGTGTTTCCTCTTTAAAATAAAAATGCTATATGGGTGATCTCATTTCTTGGTGTGGCAGGAATATTAAATTGCCTAATTTAAAGCTTTGCCCTCCACCCACTCCCAGATGAAAAATCAACAGTACTTACTACATCCAGCCTTATAGCTGAAGCCTGGAGGGAGGAGGAATCCTTGCTGGGCAGCTGCAGCCAGTGTCCGTTGATCAGGAGGGAATACGGGAATCATTAATGGCGGCAGCTGACCTTGAACCTGCTGAACGTGATAGAGCGAATCAAAGAGAAGAAGTTTCGATGCTCCATGCTTCTTCCCACCCTCCTTATTTCATGATAAAAGAAAATCATTTATTCAATTCAAAAGACTGGCATAGAAGCTTGCTGGGATACTGGGCTTGAGGATATGCTTTGGGACTACCTTAAACAGCAGAACTAGAAAATCCTAGAGCTGAAAGGTATTATTAAGTCGACTCTCTAACACGACGAATAGTTTCCCGAAATGATATCCTTGGCAGTGACGAAAATATCACTACTTTGCATGATAAGCCTTTTTCTTATTGCACTAATGAAATGGCTAAAAAATTATCCCATAGAAGGAACTGAAATCGCCCTCTGCAAATCCTACTTGTTGGGACTAATTCTACCATCTAAAACAAAACTAACTAAACCTGTATCATTTTATATGTAAATAGCTCTTCATTATTTGAGGACAAATTCTCATGTTCACACATAATATTGAATTTTTAAATTATTGAATACAGTAATCGACCTGGAAGAAAGATTACAGAATAGCTAAAACTTTACTCTTTTTTTTTTTTTAATAGAAGAGGTAAGTAGTGCCAAAAGATAACTGACTAGCCACAGAATTAGTTAGAACTGGGTCTAGAATTCAGTCTCTTGAATCCTGCTACAGATTCCCTGTACAACATTTTTGCCTGCATCTATCCCTTTTGAAGCAACTGAAGGACTCCTTAGACCACAGGGTCTCCATTTTGGTTGTCATCTTTGGAATATACTCTAATTTGCTGGTCCCACTCTCAGAGTATGGGGTTCACATTAGTTAATAAATAATCCAGCACAATAGAATCACTATCTTGTTTGAGCCGAAAAGGAATTTTTAGAAATACAACCTAATGTGGCCATTTCTGCAGCCTTGTCACATTATTAACTAGAGATTTGTCACTAACTAAAATACTTTTTTTGAACAAATATTTAAGCAAGATCTCGCTGGTGAAAATGATTATTGGTTAGTGTTTATTGATGGATGGATATATGGATGGTAATTTGGGATCATGTTTAAAATTACCTTTCTGACAGTTTATTCTCCTCCACTAGTCTTCCCACACATTGAACAGTTATTTGTAAAATATTTAATAAATATCTACTATGTGCAAGAAACTGAGCTAGGCAGTAGAGATGCAATAGTGAACAAGAAAACTAAAATCCCACATCTATGAAGCCTTGATTATAGTAGGGATGATGGCGGTGAAAAAAGTAAAAGAAACAAATACACAAAGATAATTACATATTTATTCAGTCACTAATCCTAACAGCACCTCTGAATTGTCTTTCAGATCTGTTTTCTTGTTTTCCCAGTCGCATTACACATTCCTAGCGTTCTTACGATTCTTACAGTTCTCATCATTTCTCACTTTAAAAGCCCACCACCTTCAATTTCTCCTTTATTTAATCTTCCACAGTAAACCTCTGAGCTGTTTCTGAGATTTTGGTTGGTGAGTGTGGGGGGCAGCGAGGACTGAGAGAGGGAGAAGGGGAGGAGAGGGAGGGTGAAAGAGAAGGCAATGTGTGTGTGGTGGTGGGGGCGGCAGAGAGAGGGAGAGAGAAAAGCAATATGTGAATGGTAGATCTGTTTTCAGCAATGACACCAAATTACAAAGCATTATATAGGGAAAGTTTTATTGGCTATATTGTTAATTGGTTATTATTTGTATATAAAGCATTCTTGTTATGGTGGTTTTTATCTAGATAATTTATACTTTAATCGTTTATAATATTCTTTCAGATAAAAGTTTTAGTATTTTAAGGAATAAATTGCAATGAATTCTGGAGCTTTTATTAAATCTGTGCATTCTAAACTTCGGTCTTTTATAGATCAGATTATGAAAATGCATTTTGTTTTAGTATTATAATTTGTTTTAGTGTCTAAATTTTTCAAGATCCACTTGTAAAGAGTGACATCGAAATTTAAAGCTGAGAAAGACCCTAGAGATTATCAGCAACAACATAGCCAACATGCTAATGAGGAAATAAGACCTAGCTTGGCCCAATAAATTGTTCAAGATCCCATATTTAGCTAAAACCAAACTTACGCTGGAACTGCATCTCCTGTCTCAATCTAGTGAGGGGAAGTAGGAGATAAAGGAACTGAAAGAGGAACTACAAGGTGGAAAAAAGGGAGCTAAATGAAAAATAAACCTAATTTCACAGTCCCAGTGATTGGTTTTTATTAGACCATCATAGAACAGACTGTAGAGTACTGTACTATTAATAAAAAGAATACAGTAAACAGTAAAATAAATGTAATCCAAAATGTGTGGTTAATCTATGTGAGCGACTAAAAACACATCTCAAAATATCGTTGATCCTGATTATTCGTGGATTCTGTATTTGCAAATTTGCCTATTGGCTGAAATTTACTCGTACCCAATTTTAATAATGCCACTTTCCTGGTCATTTGCAGACGTGCACAAAGCAGGTAACAATTTTGTTGGTAATTTTTTGTTTAAAAAGCTCCCAAGCATAATGCTTAAGTGCTGTCTAGTGTTTATGAGGCAAGAGGGCTGTGGTGTGACTTACGCAGAAGACTATGTATTAGATAAGCTTTGCTCAGGCATGAGATATCCTGCTGTTGGCTGCGAATTCAATGTTAATGAATCAGTAATAAATATTAAACAAGGTATTTTTAAACAAAAACACACACAAAACAAAGTTATATATTGATTAGCTGAAGAAAAAGTTGTGACCGGAAGCTCGCAAGAATCTAACCATACTTCCTTTAAGAGCAATTGTTCAGCATTCACTAATTCAGTGTTCATAGCAACTTTATAGACCATAACACATATAAACAATGAGCAGTGACTGTATTATTCCTATATCTTGATGGATTTTCACTGCACTGATGCTGAAATTTAGCCAACATTTGGGAGAAAAGGACACACAATATCAAAACGATATGTTTTCTGGGTAGATTCTAAAACTAACTTGGTATAGGGTTAGTAATTCATTCTATATATTTTCTAGTTTTGAATATTTCCAAATCCTGATCACTATTAATTTCTTTCTTTTTCACTGAATGTATGAAATTCCCTTTAAACCACTCATTAAAGTTGAAAATGTGTGACATTTATTAAGTTTCAACAAAATACTTCTGTCATAAATTTTTAAAAGCTAGGGGGCATGTTATTCGCAGGTTAAATAATTCATAATACACATAAGAGGCTACTTCCTATATTTTAAAAACTTTTAAGAAGCCCCGTCTTAATGCTTTTTATGTGTCTACCTCAAGATACTACATAGTCTCTAAGATGTTATGAATCCAACACAAATCACTTATATTATCCCATTTATGAAGAACAAGTAAATACCTATCAATTACTCATAGTTAAATATTTTATATTTTATGTAAATGTTCTATTGTTGAAACATTCAATGGCTTCAAGAAATTAATGTATTAAGTAGATTCTTAAGATTATTTAATCGGAATTTCATTACATGTCCCTATTTATTCAATCAACATCTGCTAAGTAGAATATGCAGTCTGTGGTAACTAGGGATTAAAAGATGAATTCACATACATGGATGCTCTCTAGGAGCTCTGAATCTGGTGGGGCAAACAGACAGATAATTATAATGTACTACTGTTAATTCAATAATACAGACTTGTATAGGATACTATGGAAGTACAGAAGAGAGGCTCCTAACACAGCCAGGAGAAGTCACTAAAGGCCCTGTGAAAGCAGGAGTGGCAGGTATAGGGCCTGAATAGGTAAGGAGCAGAGACAGAGACATAAGAAAAGGAACAGGGGCAAGAAAAAAACATCATGTGAGGGAGACACTACCAGCAGCTAGGAATGGCAAAAAATATGAAGAAAGCAGTGGTGAGAGGTCTGCCTGAATCAGTCTATGCATCAGGGTAAGAAACTAGAGATTTCCCCTGTAGGCTCTGGGGAATCACGGAGGGATTAAATTAGGGTCAGTGGAATACTCTGGTGGATATGGAAAAAGACTGGAGAGACCCAGCGTAGAGACCAAGTGGGAAGTTAATATAAGGGAACAGATTATGAGGGCTAGATCAGCAGAAGAGTAATGGATGAGGAGAAAAAAAAAAGAAAAGAAATATTTAAGAAAAAAAATTGCAGTACTCATAGATGAAAAAATGATAAAATCAAAGATAATGTTTACTTGATGTCACTCTACTTATAGTGGCATCAAACAACTAAAAATTCAGAGTAGAAGTGATAATTTTCATGCAAAAGTGATGGCTACGGTTTTGGATATGACGTGGCTGAGGTGGCTGAATGATGTTGCATTGCAGTTATTTTTCCAGCAGATGGACACTCCAGTCCGAAGCTGAGGGAGGAGATCTTCAGAGGCCACGCTATGGGAAGCCAGAAGTTAATGAGAATGGCCTAGACAATCTAGAAAAGATCTGAAGGAAAAAGGGGAACAGCTTAACACCATCTGGGTTCCAACAACAGTTCAACAAAACGTGGAGGAAAGGTGCCTATCGGCAGATAAAATTAAAGTTAGACAAAAATTAATAAAATCATGAAGAGTATGGTATAACAAAAGCCAAGGGAATTTCAAGATTGAGGGAGTAAACTAATTGTGAAAAACAAACAAAACAAAAAGCAGAAAGTATTCTAGAGACAAAAATAACATCTCTGGGAATGATTAGAAGCTGAATTTATAATAACACCACTTCCATTAGAACAGAGGGTAGAAATCATATTGCAAAAGGGTGAGGACTGAATGACAGGCAACGAAAAGGAGAAAGCAAATGTAGACTATTCTTCAGAGGAAGTTGATGAGAGGTGAGGAGAGACATTAATAGCAGCTGTAGAAAGATGTAAAGTGAAGCAAAGGCTTTTTTTCAGGTAGCAGGGTTCTGAGCACATTTATTGGCTGAAAGGGGCAAATAGAAATGGAGAGTTTCAAATGTAGGAAAGAGAGAAACTAACCAAAATTCCGGAGGAGGCTAGAAGACAAGGCAGAGGTGGAGCAATCAGTTTAGAATGAGAGTGGCATCTCATCCTCTGGGCCCTGAGGAATGGAGCTATATAAATGGATGAAGGCAGATGTGCTTTATGGGTAGGGAAAGGGGAAGGTAAGGAAAATCAGGCCTGACAGAAGAAATTTTCTCAATGATAAGGCAAGCTCATATCCAGAAAATTAGAGAGATTGGAATTGAGGAAGAAAACTGGAACAAGGTTCCAGGAAGTTCTCGATGGTTATTGTGAGAAATGAAAGAGCAAGCAAAACCACAGACATTAAAAAGAGTGATAGAAGATGCCAAGACCTTAGGTGAGACCACATGAATTGTAATATTATCAGATCTCCCTTTTCTGTGATTTTTCTCAAAACGTGCCTAATCACTGTGACTGAGCATCAGAGAAGATGAACTCCAGCATTCAGGGGAAGAGAAGCAGACTGGAGGACTTCAGCAAAGACAAGTTATGAGGAAATAAAAATTGCTTTTGATGAACAATAGGCTTTGGGCTTAAAAACAGGGTGAGAGGCCTGGATGGCATCACCAGACTGGGAAAAACACAGGAATCAAAGAACTGGAAGAACTCCATGATCTAAAGGAACAGGTCTTATGAGAGTGAGTTTGTATGAAATCTCAAACAGCACAAACTTATGGTAGGATATTTGTTTAAATTACATACACAAATGTTAAAATGAAAGGCAGCTCTATGGTTTATATCAGCACAATTACAAATAAACTGTAACATCTAAAACTTTTTCAAATGTTCCTCAAGAGTTTAGTCTGATGAGTGCTACAGTGTTCAAATACACATCATCCTTAGGGATCAGTTCACCTACAGCTGAAATTCAGTCACCTTCAGTGGGGAGCATAGCAGCTGTTTAGAAGCACACAGCAACAATACACAGCAGTTTCTGAGCAAATGAAGAATAAAATATCCAAATGAGATTACAAGAGGGGTTTAGGTAGGCAGAATATAATTACCCAAACTGGAGTAACCAGGATAACAAAGTAACTTTCCACCATTAGCAAAAAGAGACATGGGATCTTCAATGACCGCTAATAGTCTGATTTTTCATTTCATATAAAAGAAAGTCAATTTGTCAGTTTATCCTACTCAATGCAATGGTCTTTAGGAAAAATTAAAAATAAAGGAGTCAATTTATCTTCCAATTAATCTACTAGGAAGACTAAAGAACATCTCATTGAGGAATATAGGCACATAAAAACATTGCTAAAATTGCAATCCCTGCCTCTAACTTCCCAACAGTCACATTGGAGTTGTATCACCTCTAATTTCATTTGATTCAAGACAAAGACAAAGTAGCCATATTCTTTTAGAACAAAAATGAACAGCCATGTGGATTTTTTACATAGTACTCTTCTTCGGCAAAAAGCCACAGAACTTTTTTTAAAAATCGTTTCCAAGGATGAAAGTGACTTTGCCAAGCAAAGTGGCTTCAAAACAGGCCTCAAAAATACTAATAGAAAGACAGATGGTTCTACTAAGAGCTTGGCTGCCAAAGTGGAAAAAAAAAGTAAAAAACAAAACAAAAAAAAAAGGAGTGATGCTATTGAAGCTGACTGCAAAGTTATCCGATGACTACAAATACTTTTGTCCCATTGCAAGTGCTAACTCTGCCTCCAGGGCTGATATAGCCAAAATACTAACTTCCCCACATCCAATCCCCCTGTATTCCTACCCCTCCTAAATGAAACCTGTCAGTGCCAAGCCCCAGAAAACAGCACAAGCATGCACTTGATTCTGACTGACTGCTCTGCAGAAGCAAAATATTGCATTGAAGAACTCCTATTTAGGAACAGACCTACAAGGAAAATTGCTTTTCTTTTCAAAACTGCCTGTCACATTTTCTTTTTCTAATTCCCCTCTTCCTCCTCCTCCCTGTCACCAAAGGGCCCCTGGGCCCTATGAGTTTATATGATACAAACTCAATTTGTATAAAGAAGGCAAGAAGCAGCACCACAGAGAGGTGAAGATAGTTTGCAAGGATAGAGAAATAATCCAGTCAAGACACAGTGCAATTTTCTCTCCAAACTACTACTACAATAATACCTCCACTTTATTTCCTTCAGGGCAACTGTCATTTCTTTTTAACCAGATTGCTACTAGATATAATAGAAACTGAAATATTATATGGTCACTGACTCTTTCTTTCAATGGCTCATTTCACTACTGCATTTTTACTTTTGCATGATGTGTTTATTGTTGGCAATATTACTAGGATACAACCACTTTCAAAGGATATAGAATTAAGACCTCTGTTACTTTAACACAATAAAATTTCATTCTTAATGCTATGCAGGTTTATCTTAAAAATTCTTGTTGTTTTATAGTAAACTTTATTTTCAAATCTGAAGCATCATGTTCTTACAAAGCATTAGTTCTTATTAATATACATTAAATTCATATCAAATTTCAAAAAATGATGACATGTATTATAAATACAATACATGCTTAAACAAAATATATTTGTTGACTTCAGGTATAATCTCCATATTAAAAGTTGCTAATCATAGAAACTTAAGGGTTGCAAAAACATGGTGTAAAATAAGAAAATGGTGAAAAGATATGGGAGAAACACAGCTATTTCATTTGCTAAAAATTGTTTTGAGCTGAATAAATGAATTCAAATGGTAATTATTAAAATATCTTAGATAATTCATTATTTAAAATTGGGTTATTATTCTAATATATAGCTATTTCTTAAAGTATTATTTTACACAGCTGGTGCTTGATCAAATCAAAATCTTTATTATACAATTCTACTTGTTTCCTAAAGCGTGTGTGACTATTTGTATTACTTATTGTAGTTCTTGACCACAATACAGCATGGTCATTTGAATGTGCTTGTCTGTTAATGTGAACAGAATCAAGATTTGCAAATACTGCTAGTACAATCTTACTTTATATCATGCATTACTACATTAATGGTCATTTACAAGAAAATGAATGAGAACATAAAATATAGTGACCAACATGAAATATAATATAGTTTTCAATTATATTTCTTAGGTATCCATGATTAGAAAACAATAAAATTCCCTATTACTTTCTAATTTGTGATGCTTTGCCCAATGGTTTCTATTAGATTATCAGTTATTTTTCCCCATGTAATATAAAATTAATAAAAATGGCAGTATTCTTATGTTGAATTTCAGTTCAACATAAGTTCTTTGAAAAAAATCTCAAAAATTACCAAATGTCGGGAGGGATGAACTGGGGACACAGGTAATGGGTATAAGGTTTCTTTTGGGAGTGATGAAAATGTTCTGGAATTAGTAGTGATGGTTGCAAACCATTGTGAATATACCAAAAAGCACTGAATTATATACTTTAAAAGGGTAAGTTTTATGGCATCTGAATTACATCTCAATTTAAAAAAAAACCATAGCAAGTAAAAAACAACTTACAAAAATATATAACTTCACTAATACCTGAAGCAGGATTGAGTGTACTTTGAAATAGGCATGTTTTGGAATAATGTTTTGCATTTTTATAAAGGGCTGTCACATACACTAGTTTATGTATACTTTATCCAGCCTCCTAGAAATCAGTAGGTCAGGTGTTATTTCCAATTTTATGAATGAGGAAAACTGATAAGAAAACAAATAGTTTTGGGAACTTACACATGATCACATAGCCACAAATTCTTTGATTATTCTGAGCAAAGTATAAATCAAAATACAGTAATTTCCTGATATAAAAATGCTGATTCAGATAAAGAGCACAGAAACACTAACGAAATTAATTCCTAAATATTTTCTTACCATAAAAAGGAATTTTTTTTTTTTTTTTTTGAGACGGAGTTTCGCTGTTGTCACCCAGGCTGGAGTGCATCAGCACGATCTCGGCTCTCTGCAACCTCCGCCTCCCGGGTTCAAGCAATTCTCCTTCCTCAGCCTCCAGAGTAGCTGGGATCACAGGCACACACCACCGCTTCCGGCTAAGTTTTGTATTTTTAGTAGAGACGGGGTTTCACCATGTTGGCCAAGCTGATCTCGAACTCTTTACCTCAGATGATCCACCCTCCTTGGCCTCCCAAAGTGCTGGGATTACAGGCATGAGCCACCGCACCCAGCCAAAAAGGAATAATTTTTGAAAGCTAAAATTCTATTATGTCTTAAGAGATTTTTATACCAAGGGTCGCATTTTTACTGATTTTAATTTTCATCTTTATATTGTGTCTTATTTTGCTTTTTGTTTTCTGCACAAAATATTTTTCAAAATTTCTCTATATATACTACTATATATACTACTATGTAATATATATACTACTATATATTACTTTAACCATCTGAAAATTGAGCAGAAAAATAGAGATGCAATAGAACGACATAGTACCTGGCATAAAATAAAAGGATATTTAACATAGTAATTGCCATTTGGTGTTAATTTCTTAATACACCCTATCCTGAAGATCTTAAATTGTTAGTCGGCTTTGCCTATTTTGGTAGAAAACAGAAAAATTTTTTTGATATTTGACTGAAGAAAGATTTATCATAAAATGTAAATGTTTCACTCCAACAGGCTAATTTTCATAAAAAGTATGTGATATTCACATTTACTTCAAAGTCTCTTGAAATCATTCCCAAATATCTTGACGTTGACTTGTTTCTTGCTGATATTTCCCACATCACTACTATGTATTCTGTGCAATGAGCTTTTGATTATTATATCTTTAACATTTTTAATATCTTGCCTATGTTGGTTTGCTCTTCCCCAAAAGACTTACAATTTTTTTCTGGCCAAGAGACCTTTTATTCTTCTATCCGTCCTCAGAGTGCAGACTGCACAGTGTAGCTGAAAACTTCACCTGACTTAGCCCAGAAATAACCCCAAGCCTACAAGGTCAACTAATTTTCAACAAAGGCACCAAGATCACACAATGTGGAAAGGATAGTCTCTTCAATAAATGGTGCTGGGAAAACTGGATAACTACATGCAAAAGACTACAATGTGACCCCAAGCCATACAAAACACACAGAGAAAGTCAACTGAAAATGGATTAAATACTTAAATGTAAGACCTGAAACAATAAAAATCCTAGAGGAAAATAGCTTCTTGAGACTGGCCTTGGCAATGATTTTTTTAATATCATACCAAAAGCTCAGGCAGCAAAAGCAAAAATAAACAAGTGGACTACTTCAAACTAAAAAGTTCTGCACAGCAAAGGAAATAATCAACAAAATGAAAAGATAGCCTATGTATTGGGAGAAAATATTTGTGAACTATGGGGTTAATGTCCAAACCATATAAGGAACCCAACTACAAAAATCAACAAAGGACCTGAACAGACATTTTCCCAAAGAAAACATAAAAATGGCCAATAGGTATGGTAATACCTATCAATCATCTGGGAAATGCAAATCAAAGCTACAATGAAATACCACGTCATATCTATTAGGATGGCTATTATCAAAAAGACAGGAGATAAATGTTGGCAAGCGTATAGAGAAAAGGGAACCCTGTATGCTATTGGCAGGAATGTAAATTAGCACAGCCATTAATGCAGGGATGGTGAAAATGGGGAGATGTAGGTCAAAGGGGACTAAATTGCAGTTATATAGGATGAACAAATCTAGAGATCTAATGTACAGCATGAGAGCGATAATTAATAAAATTATATACTGAAAATTTGCTTAAAGAGTAGATTCTAGGTGCTCTTAATACAAAAAAAAGTAATTATGTGAGGTGATGGACATGTTAATTTACTTGACTGCAATAATCATTTCACTACGTATACGTACATCAAAATATCATGTTGTATACCCTAAATATACACAAATAAAAACAGGCAAATGAATAACTGAATATTTTTTATCCATGAACCCCTAAAAAAGCTACACTTTATACTCAAGAACAAGTTTTTCCTCAAAACCCGGCTTAAGTGTCGCTGTCTTTATGAAGACTATCCAAACTCTTCAAGCAAAATACACTCATTCATTGAGCGCTCACTTGGTGCCAGGTATTGTTATAGTCTCTAGGGCTGTTGCAACGAATAAGGCAAGTGCTGTGAAACAGCGAAGCTAGGGCAGAAGAAAAGGAATACCGGGGCAGAGACTGCAAGTTTCAATGTGGAATCCACGACACAGTGACATTTGAAGACATGGAGGAAGTCAGACAATAAACCTCTGAACTATGTAGTGTAATGAACTATGTAAAGTAATGCCTTGAATTATGGCACTTTTCTCTCCGTTATTTGGGAGAGGAGATGCGGAAAAACCTAAGTTAACAGTGTTCTTACTGTGTTCAACAATGTTTCCCTCTCCTGTGTGTCCTCCATACAACTATACCATTAGGTTGACATTATTTGTGTCTGTCTCCATGGCTAAGCTGCCTGAAGAGTAAGGGCATAGCTAACTCATATTGGTATCCACAATACCTAGCTTAATGCCTCAAACATAATAAATGCTCATTATTTCTTCACTGAAGTGATTATTTAAAAAGATATTCACTATTATAAAAGTCTTATGTTTTAGCTTTAATTTCTTCTTATAGTAGCAACTAGCTTATTACAACATTCATATTATACAATGGATCTTAGGCTTTATTCCATTTTCATTCAGGATTCATGACTTTTCCTCAGAGCAATGCCTTAAACTATGGAAAATAATTGATTCAATTTCCCCCCACCCTTTCCATTCTGCTCCTCAGATCCTAGTTTCAGCCTTGACGATGCCCACAGTTAGGTTTTGTGTGTTTCATTAGATGCAGAGAAATAAAAACTTATGTGTCCTTAATGAAATAACCCAAGAACTGCATTTACGTGTTCTTTAAGATAAAAAACAAACGTTGATTACTCATATGAAATGAATGTAAGCTTATTAGCAAATCAGAAATAATTAGAAAATAAGTTCAAATTGAGACACTGTGTGCCATTAAACACATTTCAACTTTTTGCTACCTCAGTTACCAGGACAATATAAAGTAACATAACTGGAACATATAGCAATACATGAAATATGAAGCTTTAGCTGCAGACATGATCCGTATATGTGGAAACAACCCCACAAAACTAAAGCAAAACAAAACCTTTTTATTAAAAATTCAAATCAATAGCTGCATCCTTAAACTCTGTGCATTATTCTTATTTTGTTACAGAAGGTAAATGTGATTATCCTGCTTATATTTCTTTTGTTCAAATTTCCCAGTGAGTAATTTCTATTTTTTAGCTAGCAGGTGCTAGATTGGTGTGAATGGCTAGTGATTGGATATTTATTTGTTTGTAGCATGCAGAGTATACTGAGTCAGTAATGCAAAATGTTACATTAGTGGTAAGAAGCGTTCCCGCAAACAAAAACAAAGATAATATTTCAATACAGCTCCCCCAATTCAACTATATTAGGGCCAAGTTAATGACTAGTTCCATTCCTTAAGATGTGAAAAATCATGCTCTTTGAGTAATAATGGATGCTGTCTCACAGTATCTGATGGAACACAGCAATGAGATGCTTGTCTAACTATACCATAGCTAAGGACACACTAGCAGTTTGCCACTCACTAGAACACTTGTCACTGAAAATAAAACATGTGTGAAATTACCAAAAAGGCCATGGTAGATGTTTCTTGAGCTGAAAATGTGAAATATTTTTGTAATTGGACAACCCATTGAACATAGTGTCATTTATGTAATCATGAGTTTTTTAATCTTCTAGTCAAGAAGAAATATTATACAATCTACCATTGTAAATATACCCAATAATAAAGAATAGCACATTACTTGCAAAAATCTGAGCAAAGTATGGCTAATTTTACTACTTTGCTAAATTTACTTTATACTTTCCAGCACAAAGCACTGTAACCTGCCTACACATAATGACAATATTTAAATAAAGATGAATTATGTAATACCATGGGTACCTTACTAAATCTATAGACTGCTTTCTTGATTAGAAATAATTTTTCTTTGTCATCAAAATTGTGGCAATTCTAATTTTATATAGACATTTTATGGGATGAAAAGAGAACATAGACGGACAACATGAATTCTTTCCATCCACTTGCCCTCTACCAAAGGCACTTTGATGGGCAGTTGTTAATGTTAATACCTATTCTGTTTCCCTCAGCTTCTTTTATAATGCATTTTTTCTATGTTGACCTTTGCACAATTCTATCTTTACTCTTTGAAACTCACAAAAACCCTATAAGATAAATATTTTCATCACCCCTATTTTACAGATAAAGAAACAGGGAAGCCTAAAGTCAAACAGATAGCAAATAAAAGAGCTAGAATTCAAATCCAGGCCAGCCTACCTACAAACTAGGCTTTTAATCACTATACTTTGACTCAAGCAAAGGATAAAATACTTATAAATAAATCTTACGTATCAAAATAAATTATAATTATAAATTAATCCTAAGTATCAAAATAAATTATAACTTGTATAAAAAATTTTAAATGACAAAAACCTTGACACAGCATGAAAATAATTATTTCAGCATGTAAATTCTTCTAAAGTATGGATAATGATTACAACAAAACTATTAAACATTAGATATCCTAGGAATCTTTTCTGCTATAATACAAGTAGATCCTGGATGCATAATAACCAATAAACTTTTTCTATGCAGAGCCTCCAAGAAAGTTGGAGGTAGGAGAAAGAGAAATCTAGTAAATCGAAAGTAGTTTGGAAGAATGGGGTAAATGTAGACAGCACTTAGAACCTAAGATGATGCCTTGGGTCCCTCCAAACCTCAGTCTCTCACACTAACCCAGGACAATCAAAGGGGATATTCCTTTGGTGAAAGATTAGTTTAAAAAGAAAATCTGGCAATTAAGGTGAGGATACCAGGACATTTCTACAATGCTTTTGGTGGAATACCACTGACGCTGCTGCTGCTGCTGATGATGATGATTCTTTGACAAATATTTATTAATTGCCTATGATGTATCAGATATAGTTCTAACTACTTGAAATACTATAGTGAATAAAACAATAAAAGCCTTGATTTCATGAAGGCTACCTTCCATTGCAATAAAATGCTAATAAAAATAATGTACTACTATAACTCAATCACACAGACTTTACCTAACTTAGGTCTGGAGTTCAAACCAAAACTTCCTAAATGGTCAGTAAAAACTCAATCTCCAAAATTAGAAATAAGTGTTTCCTAGTTTGTACTGCCTACTAGAAACTTGTAGAATAACCCAGTTCAGTATTTAAGGAGCATCAATTTAGATACTCTGATTCCCACAGATGAAGTTCAGCCAAACATTAATACACAATTTAAATTTAACAAATATTTAATACATGAGGAATGATTCAGCTTGTGTAAAGCAAAATAAGGAAAACAGCAGATTTAGATACCCAAAGATATCAAGGTAGTGGATAATCAGATAAAAAAATAAAATAATATGCTTAAAATATTTGCTTACAAAAAGGTTGCAATAAAAATTAGTAACAAGTAAAAAAAAACTTGAAAGAAGTTCAGGAAGATTTGAAAAATAATTGAAAAGAACTTTGAGAAATGAAAAATATAATAACAGGCCGGGCATGGTGGCTCATGCCTGTAATCCCATCACTTTGGGAGGCTGAGGTGGGCACATCGCTTGAGCTCAGGAGTTCTAGAGCAGCCTGGGCAACACAGCGACAACCTGTCTCTACTAAAGATACAAAAATTAGCCAGGTGTGGTGGCATATGTCTGTAATCCCAGCTACTTGGGAGGCTGAGGCATGAGAATACCTTGAACCCAGGAGGTGGAGGCTGCAGTAAGCTGAGATCATGCCACTGCACTTCAGCCTGGGTGACAGAGTGAGACCTTGTCTCAAAAAAAAAAAAAAAAAAAAAAGAAAAATATAATAACAGAAATTTAAAACTCATCAAATAGACAGCAAGTTAGACGTGATGAGAAATGTCACTAACCATAAAAGAAATCCAAAGAAATGAACTAGATTTCAGTCCACAGAGACAGAAAGATGGAAAATATAAAAGAGAGGTTAAGTGTCATAGAGTCTAAAATAAGATGGTTTAACAAATGCTTGGTCAAAAATTTTAGGAGAAAAAAAATTTTTTTAAATGGAGGAAGGCAATATTCTAAAAATTAATGACTGATAACTTTTCTGAATTTGAAAGATATAGGCCCATAAATGTAATGGGTAAAATTTACACAAGCAGGACAAATGAGAGGAAAAGGTCAGTCAATACTCTGTTATAAAACTAAAGACTATGAAAGGCAAAGATAAACCTTAAAAGCAGTCAGCTAGAAGTCATCAACCTAGGTGTGATAATTAGTTTAACAATAAATATCACAACAGTAGTATTAGACGTCAATGGAAAAAAATAAACTGACAAAAATATGTTTCCAGTAAACACTTTCAAGAATAAATCCAAAAGAAAGGCCAGTGATTTTCCATAAAAAATAGTCTATCACAAATTCTTTCACTAAAGAAATTTCTAAAGGATGTGTTTCAGAAACAAGAAAAGGGAACCTAGAAGAAATAGGTAAGATGCAAATAGAATAGTGAGTGAAAAAACTGGTGAACATGTGACTAAATACAAATATACTTTGTATTAGCTAGTGTCTAATATTTGAAGAAAAAATGAGCTCAATTCAACAATATTAGCATGTAAAACAAGAGAGGAGTAGCCATAGCTAGGGAGTGCTATGGTTATTTTAAAACTCAGGAGGAGCAATACAGTATTCATTAATTTTAGACTCTCTGAGCATAAGTAGAAATGTTAAATTTTCAAAGAAAACCCATAAAAAATAGAAAGATAGTAGATAATACCCAAACTGATAAATAGAAAATATAAAGAATGCTAAAAATTAATACATAAAAATAAAAGAAAATAGACACAAAAGGTGATACACACAGAAAGTATGAATTAAATGACAGACCTAAGTTTAATTACAATAAATATAAGTGGAGTAAGCTCATCAGTTAAAAAACAGAGACCAAGAGATTGAATATTTTTAAAAATCCAGCTATAGTTTACAAGAGATATACTTAAATCATAATAACAAAAAAGGTTGAAAAAGATGAAAAAACATCTATCAGGCAAATATTAACCAAAAAAGTAAACAAGTCTAAAGTATGTATATTAGAATTAGACAAAATAGACTTTAACACACAAAGCATAATTGTGGATACGGAGCTTCTATTATAAGTTATAACTTAAGAATTATTATGTCTTTCTGTTAATTCAAACTTTAGTGTTATAGAAATAATATAAAGTTATTACTGCTTCAGCACTTTTCAAAAGAATCCAAATATGCATAACAAAGGCAAAAATTATAATTGTATATTTTAATGTATTTTAAAACATTTATATGAACATGAAATAGTTTATAATGAACTAACACTAAAGTTTCAATTAACAGGAAGACATAATAATTTTTGTTATATCCATCCAGTAAAATAGCCTCACAATTTATGATGAAAAATTTAGAGAACTACAAGGAGAAATTAGCAATCCCCCATTATAATGGAACATTTTAGCACAACTTTCTTAATTACTGATAGCTCAAAAAAAAAAAATTTAGGTGATATAGGCAATTTCTACAACATAATTAGCAAGCTTACTCTAATGGATATATGTAGAATTCTGCATCCAATAATTACAGAATACAAATTCTTTTCAAAACCCACAGAACATTTATAAAAATTGTTCACACACTAAGCCATAAAGCAAGATCGAACAGATTTCAGAGATTTAGTGCTGTACAAAAATATGATGATAGTATTTAGTCTTAGATGAAAAGGGAAATCTTCATATTTTAAAATGAACCAAAATGAACAATTTCATTTTCTGAATAAGTGGTTTTGCCTTTAACTTTAGGTTTATGAGGTATATTTTAGAAGAGGCTGAAACATTTACTTGTGAATTGAGTCTAAGTTTCCATTAAAAATACAATTTGATTATTGAAATATGATCCTTTGTTTCTAAATATGCTTTACCATTGACAAGTGGGATCATTAAAATTGCTGTGTTTGTTCTCATTAATGTGTGGGTGGTTGGCAGGAATTAGAGGTTATTTAATATCATGTAGTGGTTAGCAATTCAAAACCTGTACAGTTTGAAGATTGCACTATTGGGAAAAACAATCAAGAATAAATTTGAAGCCACTATGTTTTTTAAAAAAATTAACATCACACACAAAGCTTTTAAATTCTCAACATAAATCTTAAGCTCTTTGTATAATATCTTCTTCATTGAAATAACAAAGAAAAGAATTCAAAATATTACATGTTTGAAAAAATACATACATGTATAAAAATGTTTTTCAAAAATTGAAAATAAAACAGCAATGAAATTGATATTAGCAGGAAATAAGATGAAAGCTGACTCCATCTTGTAAAATAAAGAAAAAGCTACTTAAGTAGTTGAATATAATTTTGATAAAACCAACATCTCTAACGTTTTCAGTTCCCATTTGTCACCTGACTTCTTGAGCACTTTTGAAAGGAATGTAAATATGTATCATAAAGGCAAAAATTATTGCATATTTTAATGTATATTAAAACCACATTTATATCAACACAAAATAGTTTGTAATGACTAGCTTTTTTACAATTATTGTGATAGCATTTACACAAATTTATAAAGGGAGTAAGATCTCCAATGTGATATGCAAGTAATTAATGTGATAAGCAAGTAACTAAGCCCTAATGATGGTGTAAATCTGAGTGTTAAACATATTTCTAAATCCAGAAGAAGGAAATACATAATAGAGATTTCTTAGCTTTTTAGTTATTCTGCTTGTGTCTGATTGTCCACACTGCCAGTGGGATTATTCTTCAGTACATTCCATTTTATATTTTTTAAAAAATGAAATGGAATGCATCAGAATTTCAAAAAGAAAACTGGTGAAAACTTCGGTTCATGTTCTTGAATTAATGCTATCTCATAGTTCATAACTGATCTGGAAAAATGTCAGTGTATCACTCATTCTTACTGGATCATTCATCTTTTAAAACTACTGTTTTTCATTTATTAATCTAAAACATGATTAATATTGCATACATAGCTACTACTCCTAAAGGTCACATGTGGTTCTCAATACCACACATGAATTTAGGAAGACCTGATCCTCATCACAGGAAACCTTTAGTATGTAAATGGTTCACCTGCAAAGATTTAACAGGAGAAAAAACTCAACGTTTCAATTTACACATTGATCAGCAATAGAAAGCTATTTCAAAATGTGAGGAAATAATAGTATTTTAATTTTATTAGCAAATAGTGTTTACTTGACATTTTGTATGCATCTGCTGACAGTTTTCTTAATCAATCATCCTCTGCACTAACCCTAACACCCCATTGGTTGATAAAATCTTTTCACCACATAATTTTGAGTAGAATGGAAAAAAATAAATAAAGAAAAAGTTTTCAGACAAGCCCATAGAGTTAAAAATATTGAAGTTAACAAAGGAAGTTAGAAAAGATGAGACTGGGGATGGGAGAAAGGGGAAAGACAGATGTCGAGAGACACATACATGATTGAGACTATGAGTAGGGTAGAGAAGGGAAAAACCTAAAGATAATGCATTTTAGCATCTTCCTCATTTCAGTATCACATTAAATATACAATAAAGATTTCCAGGTTTCTCTCTTTTAACTAGAAATGTGCTCTACTCTTAGTTCCATTTCTAAGCCACTATAGGTATTAAACAGCAATTTACATGTGATTTGCATATTTTTTTGTACTTGTGGTTTTGGTAAGTCTTCCAAACCTAATGACGGTTCCTTTGGCCAGCAACATAAATGCTATAATCACACAATTATTGTGCTGGGAACAGTTTAATTCAGCATTTTGTTCTCAACCACAGAACAATTTCTCAACAATTTTGGTTAACCAGACTAGCTAGCTGCCTGGAGAGAAAGAGAAATATTCACAAGATCTATTGTCTTACATAAAGGCAGCTACTAGATCTGCTGGAACTTCCTAGTATTGCTTTGCTCACTTCTCTTTAGGATCTCTCACATATCTGTCCTACAAAAAAATGACAAACTGCAGGTTTTCCTTTAAGGACTTGCTATTTGTTCAGTTCTTTTAATTACACATTTCCATACTTTTTAAAGAACATGAGGTTTTGGTGTGTCTGGAAATATAGGCCTATAGAAAAATGTACTTTAAAAACATTTAATAAATGATCCTGATACAAAGAACTGCAAATTCAAAAGTGTAAGTTCAAAACTCTTCCTTACAGCTATCCTGTAGTGCTTAAAGTGATGGTAAAGGCTTCCCAACTGCGGGTGATCTCATCTGTCATTTAAATTACATGACTTCCTAACTGTGCAACTGGCTTAATGTCAACCTTCATTCTATATTTTTAATTTTGAAAATAGAAATGAAAGCATTTACCATAAGCATGGCTGCTAAATGTTCTTTTTGCATTGTTATTTTAATATTAATTTATCAGAATGGAAAAGTGTGGGCTGAGCATATTGCTATAAAAATACTTAGAGATGCAGTATCAAATAATTTATGTACTTGTGTAAAATATGTATTGAAATTATCATCTTCCTTGACTATTTCTCATAGTAAAGACAACCATTAACTTAGCATCATGTCACACTTCATAGGTCTTGAAGCTACTCAAAGTTGTCTATAGTGAACTGAGTCAGTGAGTAGTCAAAGGTTGTAGTGACAGAAAATAGGCAACCCTAAAAGAAGGCCTTCTTTTCTCTCCTGCTGTTTTTTTCTTCTACTCCCTTTCTTTGTTTTCTTCTGTTTCTTCTTTCTATTCTCCTGCTTTAACTTTAGAAGACAGAGAAAAGGGTAGAGAAATTATAATCTCACGGTTAGAGAAATCCTAAGTATAGTAAACAGCAAAGTTCTGGTTTTTCCACATAAAGATACTCTCTGAAAACCAGAAAAGAGCTCAAACATAAAGATAACCCCTTAAATCAACAGGTGAAGACAAAATAGGACCTGAGAATTCTGGCAACTTAAAATTTTAATTGTGTGTCTCTATACATTTGAATAAGCAAGTAAAAATAATGTAGTGAAATACATTATCCAAAGGTTCTAAATGCCCAGATTATTCACTTCTTAAAGTATGTTAGTCTAGTAAGAACCTTACATGGTTTCTCATATTTTTTCTAGCTCTAAAAATCCTTTTTGTCCCCCCCCCCAAAAATCTAATACAGAACCCTAATTATGAAAGCTTAGCACGGGAAGCTCAGGTCATCCACAATGACCTGGTTCTCCTTCTCAATACCATGATCCCATCCCAGCAGCCCCCTGGAGGGACTCCATGGACCCCATGAGGTATTATCAAAATAATTTGAAACTACTGATTTACCATGTGACTTCATTGTAATTATTCAATACCAACATCTGATATAGTTGATAAAGTAGGAGATATTGTGTCTAATTAACACAATCAAGTATTCACTTATTGACTATCAGCTGCAGTAATGCACGAGCCTATTCCAACTTAGAGTCTTCATGTCTCCTAAATAAAAATTCAATAAAACACAACAATCTTCCATACAACAGGCACAGAATTAATTTCCCTTTAAGCATGAAATTCATTTACCATATTGTATAAGTCCCTGGTATAATTTCTAATTCTTTAATCCAGGTAATGAAGTGAGCTATAATTAGAGAGCAAACATTTGTAGAACAGAGCAGTCTATAAAAAGAGAATGCTGAAATAGTATCAGGTTCTTTTGAATGAATATAACTCAATTTACTGCAAAATTTATGCTAAAGAATGAGCCAGATATTAAATTCAGAATGAAAAAAAATTGTCTATATCCTTGCCACTTCCTGGTTAATTTGGCTGAGGGCCAATTTTCCAATGTTATGACCATCCTGTAGCCCCAGTAAGTGTTTTATTTATTTATTTTTGTATTGCATAAAAATATCAGCTTAAGAAGGGAAATGTGAAATGGATGACATATTTTAGAACAGCTTCTCCCAGAATACAAAAATATTCCCCAACTAAAAACTGAAACAAATAGTAGAACTACCAAGCAATGCCAATTGGCGACTCTCTAATGCCATTCAAACTTCACAAATACTGGGCTCTCAAACTGATTTTAATTATTCAAAAGAAAACTAGGAAATGGTTCAAATATCAATTGCTTTCACAGAAATACAAATTCTCTTTTAAGAAAAGCATATGACATATCCTTTCTATATCCTATTACATTGCAGTAATTACCTGTTCAGTTGTTTATGAACAGGGCCATAGCAAAAAAGGAAATTCTTTTTCCTTTTTTGGAAATTCTGATAGCAATCATCAAGACTATGCCTCTTGAAAGTTATTATTGATATAGGATGTAAAATATGTGAAAATAGATATATTTTCCATTGAAAACTGGAGGAGACAACAACAGTAAATAAAACATGGTTCACTACGTCCAGGTACGTTTCCAATAGAACAAATTCCAGGGATAATTTAAAAAAGGTTTCTGTTGACAGGCAGTCTTTATTTAAGAAAAACAGCCTCTGGTGTGGTGTAGTGTCAAGTTATACATGGATTATTGTAAACTCAGTTTGCTACTAAAGATTTATTTTACTATTTGGCATAGGGTTTATGTTAAGAGATTCTGTATATTTTGTACTGAGATTCAATGATACAGCACTATGCCATCTAAATGGCTTCCTACGTATTATAAATATGCACTAGTCACAGTAATACCACTTAACATCAAAAAAATTGAATGGGCCTACATGTGTCGTCACTAAGGAGCAAAACTTGTATTTTCAAGGCAGAATTTTGTGAACATAAAGCAAAATAATTTATGATTAAAATTACTGGAGCTCCTGAAATGCACGCTGATGTCCAACCTTTGGAAGTTTGTGTATATATACAGGCATGAAAGCATATATATAAATATATGTGTATACGGTGTCATATAGTATGATACACACGCACGATATTATACTAAATAAAGAAAAGAAACAACAGCATTGCGTTTTTTAAAAAGCACTTTTCGGATAAGCTGATCCTAAAAGAAAACAATGTTTTCAATGACTTAATAAACCCTACAGCACTTTCAATAAGCAAGGGACTCACAGAATTTTAAATATATCTAAACCCTTAAATAATAAATCTGAACCTATATTTTCAGAATCTGGTTTTCAACATGAGTCATTCATTCCCAGAAATCCTGGGTCCTATGGTTGGCTGATGGTAGCACTCTAAATTAGTAGCTACACAATGGAGAGCTTATATGATTGCAATGGTCCATATCCAGTAAAACTACCTAAACACACTGAATAATGAGCTCAATCTATAATAATTGAAAAAGAACCATTTACAGCTGCATACCACATATGACCATCTCTACAATGGCTGCAACGAAGCACTGGGGACTATTTTCTCTGAATCAGTGTGTTATTGGGTAGTGCCAGTTCACTTTTTTTTTTTCATTTTAACAAAAAGGTTTTGTTTGGTGTTTCAATCAGCCTGCCACTGATCACCTTTCACATATTAGCCTCTCCCCTAGAATACTCTAGACAATAGTATTGGTTCCATCTGTGCTTCCCATTAAATCCTGATAATCCTTTAAGAAACAGCTGGACCTTTGGGTCCCAAACACAAACTCTTTCTGTAGATCTATTTGGCTACAATTATGCTGATGCTGTACTTACATCTTGCTTGCAAATGCCTTTTATATGGTCCCTTGGGGCTGTGAAATAGAATGGCCTGACATCACCAATTCAGCAATACAATGATATAGTTCTCATCTCAATTATAATGTGATATTTAGTCACCTCTAATACCGAGCTGCACTTGGAAAATTATTTTTTAGACATGTGACAACATTAATGACAAGTTTCCAACTACACTGTATTATTAAATAATCAGGAAGTAACATCTTCACTTAATCAAATGGTTCTGATACACTCTCAGTATTGGAAACACTGAAATTTTACGTTTTACTCAAGCAATTACAGTGAGCAGTGAGAATAGTAACTTGTTCTTCCAGTGTAAAATAATTTCATTAGATTCACCTGACTGCATAGCAATAATAAAAATTAATGGCAAAATAGGAATGGTTGTAAAGTTATATGAGTGGCCTAACCAGTATCTGCAACTAGTGGTTTCCTATGCCTCACTTACATTCTATACCTCTCTCTATCCCTTATTTATTTTCCAATAGTTTAGCAAATTATCAGAGATCCTTTGCTAAGGACACACTGCCCAAGTAATTGCTACGAATTGGGCCTCAATTTTGCCATTTTTGTAGGAATCATTCTATCATTAACTAGAAAAATGGATCTTAATATGTCCACAATAATGTAAATATCACATACATGTACTAGACCTTGAGATTTATGAGGTCAGGAATTCTTTCTTGTGTGCAGTATTATCTTTTCCATTTCAAAAAGTATCTGAAAGTGTAGGCGTGTTCAATAAATGTCTGCTGAATGAACAACCAAATAGATGAGAGTATATCCTTTCTAAAAAAAGATCAGGAATTTTTGTACAACTTTTCCCATCAATTCCAATATTTCACAAGCATCTCTTTCAGAAAATTATTATCTGACAGAAATCCCCAAGCTAGTGTAAGCTCATTTGTTTTTGTTTTACCTTCCAGGTATACTGAAATAGCTCTTTCACATATCTAACGGTCACTACTAAGTCAATATCAATTTTTTTAGGCCATTTAGAGCTAATCTGTTTAGCCCTTCTTAATGCTTAAGTCGTCTTTGTTTTCTCCTCCCCAACCATTTGGCTACAGCATTATCCTACGGGTATAGTTAAATTCTTACTTAGGAGCTACTTTCTGATATCCAAATTGTATATTCTTAATTAGATTTTTTTGTTGTTGTTGTTGCATATGCTGTCAAAACCAACTTTTTAAAAGCTTGGCAAATGTGATAGCTGCCCGCTGCTGAGCTTTTAATCTTCTGTGACTCAGGGCTGCTGCTTCTGTCCTCATTCATAGCCCAATATTCAAATACTGTTTATTTACTTTTTCCCCTGTATGTGCACTGCCATATACTACTTTTATTATTGACTATGCTTCTTCAATTTACTTAAGTCATTGTTAATTCTAATTAATCTCTGGAGTTCTGATCACCTCTTCTCATCTATTTTTATGCTTTTATTGTCAGATTAAACTTAATTAGTGCATTCTCTATCATGTCATTCCAGTTGTAAGTCTTTTTCCTATCTCCCAAAAATACATGCCATATACATCACCTCATCTGCTGTTTGAGCTTTGTCATGATACGAAGATGAGGAAAATGTAGAAAAATAAAAATACATTGTTAAGGAAAGATACAAGGAGAAAGAAACATGAGAGAAGAGAATAAGGAATGAAGGATTTGGAAGTATGTCCTAGAGTCCGGTGAATAAATAAATTCTCACAGTGAGAGATATGTTTAATTCAGAAAAAATACATTTAAGACGCATTGCTGGCACTGAGGCTACCTGGAGGAAATGCTTTTTCAGATTCGCATATATACATCCAATTTCTTGTTGATATTGTTTATTTCACAATGACTTTACATTCAACATGAATAAAACTGAGCCCTTTTCCATATGGAATCTGCTTCTAATGCATATAATCACTACCTCAAGTTGGGTCAGTCACTTCATCAATAGAGTAATTTCACTAATTCCTATTCAACATTCAGTTCAGGCCTCACTTTCTCCAGCAAGCGGTCCCTGAGTCCTTATTCATGCCCCTTGTCTCTTCCCAATTGGGAGGGGGAAGTATATTGGCATTATTTCATTCATCACATTAAATTATAATTAAAAGATCTGGTTACAAGACATGTCATATCACAGAATATAGAATAAACTCATCTTTGGCTATATGCCAGAAACGGCCATAAGTGGCAGTGAAATTCTATTCCTTCACCTTTCCATGTAACACATAGAAAGACATATTCATTTATTCACACAATAGTACAACCAATGATTTATTTTGTGGACTCTTACACGCCAGACATTGTTAGACACACATTACAAAGACATGGTCTAATCAATTAACAAGTTGATAAATATTTATTGAATAAATCCTCTACTCTTCATGCCTACTTATTTCCAATGTTGTAAATGGAAATGAGTATCCTCTTTATCTTTTCCTCTCACTATTCATAAAATTTATAACTTTTTTCACTCAGCCACCAGGTGTATCTAAAATGCAAATCTATCTTAAAACTTCTCAGCAACATCCTATCCAGAGTATGTAGCACTGATTTCTCAACCTGTCGAATGGCCTTGACCTAACTCCCTCTGACCTTATCTCCTGGCCTGGCCACTTTTGTGCCTTTCTAACAACTGAAGATTCACATTTCCTTACACACACCAGCTTGACAGGATCTCAATGGCTTTCTCATTTTAGTCACTGTACCTGCAATTTACCTTTTCCCACTTAATTAGCTCACTCCACTTATCTTTTAACATTCAGCTCTGGTTGACTTGTTCCAGTAAGCCTTCCTTAGCTCCTGAATCCTGATTCTTGTCTTCCTCCCTGACTTTCCAGACTGGGAAGGGAGCACACCTTCACCCTGAATGATAATTACTCATTTTCTCAGTCTTCAAGCTGGACTATCTTGAGGGCAGAGCTCTCACAAGAGAGAGTTGGTGAAAGGTTTTAAGCATGGTAGAGGCTCTTCCTTCTAGAAAGACCAAAATTGGAAGCAGTGAGAAGGGAAATTTAGAGTGGCAGCCAGGCCAAAGGCAAGGAGGCCAGATAGAAGGGTACTGAAATGACTATGTGAGGGAGAATATGGGTGTGAAACAAGGCAGCAGCAATGAGTACCACAAGATTCCTAAATTATTTCTTACGTCACACTATTATTTTCTGTCTTCTTTAGATTATCACAATTCTAGCCTTTAAATTGATATGCAGAATATATGTATTTTTCTTGAAACCTCAACTAGCTTTAGTTAAGACTATGTTAATTCACAGAATAAATTAGAAGTTATTCTCTCTTTTCCTACTATCTGGAAGAGTATGTGATCAGAACAATCTATTCTTCAAATATCTAGTACAACTGATCTTTAGAAACTAAAATTTCCTGGACCTAGTGTTTCTTTGTGGGAAGATTTTAAACCACTAAGTCAATTTATTTAATGATTATAAGACTATTAAGTCTTCCACTTTTCTAATTGAACAGTTTCTATGAATTTAATTTTTTCCTAATAATTTGTCTACTTATTTTTTTAAATTAGTAGCAAAAGGTATTTTCAGTTCTATCATATTTTAAATGTTTGCTATAGCTGAATTTATGTCTTCTTTTTTATTCTTTGTATTATGTGTGTCTTTATTAGTGGCAAATCTCACAAAAGATCTGTCTATTTTAAATGAGTCTTTTCAAATTAAAAAATATCCTTTGGCTCCAATAAGCTTGTGTACTATATATTTGCCTCTTAGTTCATTAATTCCTCTAGTGCTTATTATACCTTCTTCCTAGTTTTTTGTTGTTGTTGTCGTTCACCTCATCTATTATTATTTCCTTAATTTCTTGAGTGGACAGTGACTCATTAATTTTCTTTATTTACTGAGATATAAGAATTTGATATTAATAGAAAGTACTATTTCAGCAATATACCAAAATTTTTCACATTAGTTCTTAATAAGAAGTTCTAAGAACTCTTAAACTTCCTTTTATAAATTTCCTGCCTCCTAAAATTCTTGCTTTGTCTACTGATTATTTAAAAATGATTTATGGCTGGGCACGGTGGCTCACGCCTGTAATCTCAGCACCTTGGGAGGCCGAGACAGGCGGATCACCTGAGGTCAGGAGTTAGAGACCAGCACGGCCAACATAGTGAGACTCCATCTCTAATAAAAATTAAAAAAAAAATTAGACAGGCATGGCAGCCGGCGCCTGTAATCCCAGCTACTCGGGAGGCTGAGGCAGGAGAATCACTTGATCCCAGGAGGTGGAGGTTGCATTGAGCTGAGATTGCACCACTGCACTTCAGCCTGGGCGACAGAGTGAGACTACGCCTCAGGAAAAAAAAAAAAAAAGATTTATATTTTCCAAATATATTTTGATTAACTACTAATTACATTATTTGCAGTAAGCACTGTATAGTACCACATTCTACAACAGTTCCTGAGACATGGTTTATGACTTAAAATATAACCAGTATTTTAAAATTATATTCTGTATGTGTGTGTGAAAAGAATATTTCGTTTCTAAATACTTATCTTCTAAATACTCAGTGCAGAGTTAGGTAGAGCTTTTCACAATTCTTTTCAAATATTCGGTATTTTTAATAACCTTCTACCTACTTGACCTTACAATTGAGAGGGGCACGGTAAATTTTTCCACAACAGTGGCTGTTTCACAATTTCTCGCTGTGGTTATGTCACTATCTCTCTGAGGTTCTCTCAAGCTGACATATAATCTGAGGATATTTTATTGTATTCTTGTTTAGAACAGTAATATCTTCCTGGGAAATTAAATAGTTTAGCATTACGTAGAAGCCCTATTTATCCCTAGTAATGCATTTTGGCTTAAAGTCTATTTTTTCCAAATATCAATATAACTCCTTAGCTTTGTTTAGATTGGTATTTGACTATTATGTCTTTTTGTCATTCTTTGATCTTCAAGCTTTCTATTTCCTTGTGCTTCCTTGTATTTTATATTTCCCTCAACAATAGCATACAGTTGTATTTTTAATTATTTTATTATTGTTGTTGTTGTTGTTGAGACAGAGTCTCACTGTGTTGCCCAGGCTGGAGTGCAAGTGGCACGATCTCGGCTCACTGCAGTCTCTACCTCCTGAGTTCAAGCAATTTTCGTGCCTCAGCCTCTCAAGTAGCTGGGATTACAAGTGTGTCCTACCATACCTGGCTAATTTATGGATTTGTAGTAGAGGTGGGTTTTCACCATGTTGGTCAGGCTGGTCTTGAACTCCTTCCCTCAAGTGATCCACCTGCCTCAGCCTCCCAAAGTGCTGGGATTACAGGGGTGAGCCACTGCACCCAGCCCTGGTTTTATTTTTAATTAAATTTGATAAAACTGTTTCAAGCTATAAATAGTTACATCAAGTACTTACATATTTTGAACTTGTTTCTACCCACTTACTTTGTGTTATTCATTTTCCCAGATATTTAAAATGCTTTTTTCTTACTCTGTCTTGATATTTATTAACATTATTATGAAGTTTTGGAGTTGCTGTGTTTTGTTTTCTCTCCTGCCAGTGCTTTAGAGGTTTTGTTTTAGCAGTTAACCTTGATGATTTAACATAAAGTTAGCTTAAAAAATCTGAATAGCTTGTATTACTCTCAACCAAATACAAGGACATGTTACTTCTGTTCTAATCATTTATTCTTGCCTCATATAGTTTTTATTCTCTTTTATTTTCAATCATAAAATTATAAACTATGCTTATTTTTCACAGAGACTTAGAATTATTAAAACGTTTTTAATTTCTTTGCTTTCCATTCAAACTTCAACCTCTACTTTCCCTTTCCTTCTTCTGAAGTATATCTTTTAGACAATTATTTAAGTAAAGATATCCGTAAAGTTGTTATTTTGGCAGTAAGCTAGTTATTTTAGCCTTTACAAAAACATACTGCTTTGCTCTGAAAGATAAATTCACTGAGGTATGCAATTTTAGGCTAATAGTTACTTTTTCTTATTTTACAGACTTTTGCTCCCATGATTATGTTTGAGACGTCTATTTTTAGTCTACTTGTGAGATTTTATAAATGATTTGCCTTTTCATGACTGTTTTTAAGATCATGTCCTTTGGTATTCTGCATCTTTAAACAACCTGTCTATGAATGAATTTCTTTTTATGTATACTCCTTGATAATACTTTGCTTCACATATCTAGACTCATGTCTTTTATCAATTATGGAACAGTCTCAGCTACTTCCCTTTAAATATTAACTCATTTATTGTCTCTATTCTTGCATTCTAGGGCTCCAATTATATATATGTTAGAACTTGTCTATCTTCTGCCTCTTTTAACCTCATTTTCATATTTCTCATCTGTGTCTCTCTGCAACCTAGTGAATTTCTTCACATTTCTCATCTAGTTGATGAATTCTCTCTTTACCTGTGTCTAATCAGGGGCTTAACCCATTAATCAAAATAAAATTTTTTGGAGTCAGCTTTACAGAGGTATAATTTACATACAATAAATACAATAATGTAATTTATGTGAAAAATGCAGAAAACCACCAACAACACAATCACAACATAGAATAATTCTATCACCACAAACACCCTGTACTCATTTTGAAGTAATTCCCTTCTACTTATTCCACAACAACAATGAATAAGCTTTTTATCACTATAGTTTTGCATTTTATAAAGGCAAATGGAAAAATATCGTATATGATATTTTTTCTCTGGCTTATTTCACTTTGTATAATGCTTTTGAGATGCACTCATACCAGGCACAGTGGCTCATGCCTGTAATCCCAGCACTTTGGGAGGCCAAGGCAGAAAGATCACCTGAGCTCAGGAGTTTCAAACCAGGCTGGGCAACATGGTGAAACCCTATCTCTACAAAAAATTTTAAAAATTAGCTGGGCATGGTGGTGCATACCTGTAGTCCTAGCTACTTGCAAGGCTGAGGTGGGAGAATCACCAGAGCCTGGGAAGTCGGGGCTGCAGTGAGCCGTGACTGTGTCACTCTACTCCAGCTTGGGTGACAAGGGAAACCTTGTCTCAAAAAAAAAAAAAAATCAATTGAACATACATTTGTGTGTGTATATTTCTGAACTCTGTTCTGTTCCACTGATCTGTACATTTGTCATTATGCCAAAACCACACTGTACTGATTAGCATAGCTTGAAATAAGCCAAAATCAGAAAGTGTAAATTCTCCAACTTGCTCATCATTTTCAAAAATGCTTTGAAATTCCATAAAAATTTTGGAATTGGCTTGTCAATTACAAAGTACAATGATGAATAAAAATTTTAAGAGTATGAGCAACCTTATGAGGAATATGTTCAATTCAACATTAAACAGGAGGATAGTTCTAAGTTCTGTGTAGAAATTCTTTATTGAGAAAAGTTTCTAATCCTAGTTTGCTGAGATGATTTTATCTTAAATAAGTATTGAGTTTTGTCAAATGCTTTTTCTGCTTCTATTAGGATAATGATTCTATTGATAATGAATTTGTAGTAGAAAATTATTTTATTAATCTAGTCAATTAGCTATACTTACTTTTGGATGATACAGCAACCATGCATACACAATAAAAATATGGGCCGGGCGCAGTGGCTCACGCCTGTAATCCCAGCACTTTGGGAGGCCAAGGCGAGTGGATCACGAGGTCAGGAGATCGAGACCATCCTGGCTAACACGGTGAAACCCCGTCTCTACTAAAAATACAAAAAATTAGCTGGGCCCGGTGGCGGGCGCCTATAGTTCCAGCTACTCGAGAGGCTGAGGCAGGAGAATGGCGTGAACCTGGGAGGCAGAGCTTGCAGTGAGCCGAGATTGCGCCACTGCACTCCAGCTTGGGTGACAGAGCGAGACTCTGTCTCAAAAAAAAAAAAAAAAAAAAAAAAAAAAGAACACAACAAAAAACAAAACAAAAAAACAAAAAATATGACATATTCATAATATATTATCCTTCTTATATATTGCTGGACTTAGTTTGCTAACATTGTAAAAAATTTTGCACCTATCTTTGTGAAGAATACTGGCCTATAAATTTATTTCCTTGACATACCTTCATGTGGTTTTGGGAAGTATTCATTAGTATTCATTCTTCTTCTACATTCTGAAAGTTTGTATAAAATTGGCATTTTTTTTTCTTAAATATTTTTACAATTCACCAATGAAACCATCTGGGCCTGGAATCTTATTGTGGGATGATTTTTAACTGAAAATTGTATTTCTTTAGTAGTGTAGAGGTATTCAGGGCATGCATTTCTCCTTGAGCGAGCTTTGGTAGTCTGCCTTTCAGAGGGTTATCTGTTATATATAAGTTGCCAAATTTATGGGTATAAAGTTTTTCATAACAGCCCCTGGTTTTATGGTCTGTAAAATCTTCAGTGATGTCCTTTTTCTCATTTCTACAATTTCAAATTTGTGTCTACTCTGTTTTATTTCCTGAATTGTCTAGCTAGAGGTTTATCGATTTTATTAATACCAGAGAATAAACTTTTCAATACACTTTTTTCTCTTATTTTACATTTCTATTTTTACTACTCTTAATTTTTACCTTTGGGTTTAACCTTCTATGCTGCTCTCTTTCTAGTTTTTCAAGGGGAAAGCTTAGGTAATTAATTTTAAACCTTTCCACTTTTCCAATATATATACTTAATGCTATACATTCCCTTCTAAATACTGCTTTAGTTCCGTATCACAAATTTGGAATATGTTACGTTGTCAATTTTCATTCAGTTCAAAATATTTTCTCATTTTCCTTATGGCTTCTTCTTTGACCCATGAGTTATTTTAGAGGTATTTTATTTAGTTTCCAAATAAACTGAAATTTTCCAGATATTGTTTGCTTACTAATTTTTAATTTAATTCCATTTTGATCACAAAACATGGTTTAAATTATTTCAGTCCTTTAAAATGTATTAAGACCTTTAATGGCCCAGAGTGTAATCTGCTTGCTAAATATTCTGTGTGCACTTTAAAAGAATTATTCTTCTGTTGTTGGGTTCTATAAATGTAAATAAGGTCAGAGTAATGAATAGTGTCATTCAATTCTTAGTAATTTTCTAACTTCTTGTTCAATCAATAATTGAAAGAGGATTATTGAAATATCCAACTGTAATTGTAGACTTCTCATGTTAATTTTATTAATTTTTATTTTCTGTAATTTGAAGCTCTACTATTAGTTACATATGCATTCAGCATTTTTAAGGTCTCTTGATGAACTGCCCAAGTTAAAATTGTAAAATGACTCTTGGTATCCTTGATAATATTCCTAGCTCTGAAATCTATTTGACACTTTTATAGCTATTCCAGTTTTCTTTTGATTAGTGTTAACTTGGTATATCTTTTTGCATTAACCTGTTTCTTTATACTGAAAGTGGTTTCCTGCAGACAACATACAGGTGTGTCTTCCTTCTTTTTTGTTAACTTGACAATCTCTGATTTTAATTAGTTTGTTTAGATAATTTACATTTATTTATCATGATTATTTATTTTTTTAAAGGCAGGTTCTCACTCCGCCACCCAGGCTGGAGTGCTGTGGTGCTATGGCAGCTCACAGCAACCTCTGCCTCCCAGATTCAAGAGATTCTCATGCCTCAGCCTCACGAGCAGCTGGGATTACCAGCATTCGGCACCATGTTTGGCTAATTTTTATAGTTTTAGTAGAGAGGGGGTTTCATCACATTGCCCAGGCTGGCCTTGAACTCCTGACCTCAAGAGATCTGCCTGCCTTGGCCTCCCAAAGTGCTGGGATTACAGGGGTGAGTCACTGTATCCACCTGATAATTTACATTTAATAAAATTAATGACACAATCAGGAATCAATCTACAATCTTGCTATTTGTTTTCTATTTATCTCTTTTGTTATTTGTTCTCTTTTAATCTCTTCACTCCTTTTTTGTATTAAGTATTTTATAGTAACATTTTATTTCCATTATTGACTTCTTAGGTATTTATTTTTGTTTTATTTTATTGGATACTCCATGATTTACAGTACAACTGTTAAACTTATCACAGTCTACTGCAAATGATGTTATAACTTTTCATGTAGAGTCTAAGAAGAACCTTACAACAATTTACTTTCTCTGTATAGATGGTTTTTTTAATCTCTGGCAGCTTTTAAGCTTTCTGTTCATTGCTTCTTTTCACAATCTGACCATGTTTCTTCTGTTTAGGGTTCTTTGAGGTTCTTAGATATATGAATTTATAGTTAATGAAATATTTTGAAAATTCTGGGACACAATTTCCTTAATGAATTTTGTCTGTCTCCTTCTTCCTTCACCCCACTTCACTGACATTCTGGTTTCATTGGTCTTTTTTCTGTTTTTATTTCTGAATAGTTTTAATTGCTATATCTTCAAATGCACATCTTATCTTTTGCAATTTCTGATCCCATCCAGTATTTTCAGATCTCTGATATTGTACATTTTACCTCTGAAAGCTCAATCTAGGACACTGTTATAGCTTCCAATCATCTCCTTATCATGCTCTTGAACATAGTGAATATATTTTTAATAGCTGTTTCAACATCTTTGTCTACTTATTCTAACATCTATGCCACTTTTGATTATTTTTTCTTCTGATTGTGTGATTTCTTGCTTCTTTCTATGCATGCTATTTTTTGATCGAGTGATAAAACATTTTGAATTTCATCTTACTTTTTGTAATCTATTTGGGGGGTTGTTCTGGGGTTCACTGAATTTATCTGGAAACAATTTCATCCTTTCAAGTCTTACTTTATACCTGTTTTTAAGGTCTGGTCTGGAATAGCTATTAGACTAAAATTAACTTGGTTCCACAACTGAAGCAATACTCTTCCTGAAGATACAACCCTACCCTCTACATGTTACGAGTTCCTCCATTCTGCCTTGTGAAAACAGAAAGTATTTCTAGCACAGGTGAGAACTGAGGATTATTGTTCCTGTTAGCTCTTTTCCAAAGGTTCCTTACCTGGCTTTGGTAGTTTACATACATATGCACTGATTAGTATTCAGAAAAGACCTGATGAACACAATCTGCAGATTTCTAGTGAAAAAGAGTTAGTTTTTCTCTCTGTCTGTCTGTCTCTCCCTCTGAAAAGCTATTCTTTCCAGTGCTGCAAATATATTTACCTGCCTTGGCATCCCTGAACCTTGATGTTTGTTTCTTTAACTCAGAGAGACTGCCAAGTTCTGCCTGAGTTCTTTGTCTCACCAGATAGTGAGCTGTGGACAGTCACTGTGGGCTCTCCTCATTTGTCCAATGTTTGAACACCTTTGTCTCATATATTTTCTCTGGCTTTCTAGTTGTTTATGAGGCATGGTTAATCTGGTTCCTATATCTCTAACCTAGTTGGAAGAAGAAGACAGAAAACATCCATTGACTGAATTTGTGATTGCAGCTACTATAGTTTTTCTTTCCATTTAGTTATCTTTCAAATATTTGTTTATTTTTGAAAGTTTTTTATGTTTATTTTTTGTGTGGTTTCATTGTTTCCTTAGCATTCTATGCATATTTATTTTATATTGTCTATATGATACTTCTAATAGTTGAAGATCTTAGAGTGGTAGTGCTAAATACTTCAGTATTTATGTGTACTCTTATTTTTTATGCACTGCTCCTTTGTGTGTTTTGCAATTTTTAATTTTGAGTATATGTTTCCTTAAGTGGAAGTCTTGGGAAATGAAATTAGAGATACTTTCTTTCAGAGAGGGTTGGTTTGGATGCTACCAGGTTTTCAGGAGCTCTACTGAACTTGAACACCTATTGTGATAGAGTTTACTTTTAAAATAAGGGGAAGCAGTGTAGCCTAGTGGTTAAGAGAGTTTACTTTTAAAATAGTTGATGCCCTACTTTACAGGGTCCCTCTAGAAGGATTTTTCTTCCCACACTACTGATGCCAGACTTGGCCATGTGACTTGCTCTGTTTTATAAAAAAACATGGGAAGAAATGATGGGTGCAATTTCTGAGAAAAAATTTTAAGAGTCATTGCATATTTCCGCTATACCTGTTCTCTCTCTGCTGTCAAATTATCATGTCCCAGACCAGAACTGCTCTGTAAGCCTTGATCTTGGATTGAAAAGAATGTAGAGCAAAGCTGCTGCTGACACACAACAAATTTAATACGAGTGGAATTTATATCTCTAACTTTTTTTTTTCTTCTGTTTTTTAACTTAGTCTAAGCTTAATGAGACAGTCTCAGGTTAAGCTCCACCATCTTTTGGATTATCCAAAGCTTATTCTCTGATCCTAATGTTGCTGTAAGAATTTGACTGCAGGGTAGCCCAGCTTTTGTGTTAGCTTACAGTGTCGTAGTCTGTGTTCTAGACCCATCTTAAACTTCTCATTTTTCTCTCTTGAGACTTTTCATTTAATTCTCGTAAGAGCAGAAATATATTATAAAGCACTTTTAACCAAAAACTAGTTGATTCAACAAGCTCAAAGTGCCTTTGAGCACTTGTTCCTTCACAATGCCACAAGTAAAGGCCTCACAATTTGGGGTATGGGAAGCAAAAGCTGACCATACTCTCCTGGTCGTGACTCTCAAAAACTCTTTCCCTTGAATGGTGGCCACTACAATTTTAAATGTCAAAGTATGGCAGAGAGGGTAGGAATAATGAAAACTTTCCCTTTATAAAGTAGAGAATGGGTTAATAGTTTTCATAAATATGTAGAGAAGAATTAAGGTGACAGAAATTATTCAAGCCAAATAAAAAAGTATGAAACTAGATTACTCAGAAGACAGAGAACAGCCCAAATGAGTTCTTCCTTAGTGTACTGTATTTTGGTGTCATTAAATATTTTTATTATATTGATAGCTAATAAAAGTTCTAAAAGCCTCAAATAGAAATATATGTATGTGTATATATATACACATATACATATATACATGTATAAATATATATGTGTGTATATATATACAAACACACACATATATCTCAGTCTTAATTTCATATGGAGTATTTAAAAGCTTACAAATTAAAATTTACTATTGTCTTTGTACTGTTTTCACTTGTTTTAATCTGTAATTTCATCCTGAACCAATAGATTTTTGAATTACCTCAGGAAATTTGAGTTGGCTTATTTCGACTTCTTAGTTATAACCCTTAATTACTGCAATTATTAATTTTATTTTATTTTGGTTTAACTTTCCAACCACTCTGAAGAAAACTGTGGTAGTGCTCAGTGTGTGCCAATATCTATGGCACAGCAACCACATTTTGTTATCTCCAACAGAACTAGTTTA
This sequence comes from Homo sapiens, assembly GCF_000001405.40. Lineage (NCBI taxonomy): Eukaryota > Metazoa > Chordata > Mammalia > Primates > Hominidae > Homo > Homo sapiens. The sequence continues at coordinate 23,701,296 of NC_000012.12, forward strand.
TCAAGAAATCATACACAAGCTTTTCTTAAGAGAAATTGGAATTCTGAGGTTTCTTGAAATTTTTTTTTTAATAAAAAGGATCCTTTTCTTAAGTTGCAGCTAGATTTTGTTATTTTTAGAAATTGTTTATCCCTCTCTGCAAAATCCTTTTCTCTCTTCACCATAAACATAATAATGGATAACTCACATATCAAAAACTTTAACACATGAATCTTTATAAACATATCATTAAGGTCAAAGACAGTCTTTATTTCCCAACTTGAGTAAGTATTTAGAACTATAATTAATTATGAATTCCCTCAACATTTGCTATCTGTTTCTCATCAGAGAGTCATATTATTGTATAGTTACTTAAAATGTAAACAGGATCGTTACTAGAGGTGATTTTTCAGTGGTAACATTTTTTGGTCCCCCAGCAAGAATAGATTTGTAGTGACATAAGACCCCTCCCTCAACATCCTGGTAGTTTGTGCCAGATCCCACCAAACATTGTCACGGATCAAGGGGAGCTCCTGGTAGGTAGAAACCAAAAGATTTTTACATTCTCCTCCATTTCTCTTCTATTTCTCTTTGTTATCACATACCCTTTCTTTACCTCCAAAGATATACCAAATTATGCCAATCCTTAAAAACACTAGAAGTTGTTATTTGGCATTCCATAGGCTAAAATGAACACTACCCATGAGTATTCTAGTAGCAAAATGTCGATGCTAGGGCTAAAATATGAAGAAAGATTTACCTCATAGAATACAGAGCTGAAAGTCTAACTCAAGTCTCTTATTTTGCCTGTGGTTGAAACAGATTCATATCTCTTATACGCTGTTTTAAGCGTAATAATATATGTCTCTAACCATTTTTTATTAAATACCTATATGTCTCAAGATTCCCATGTTTAATATCTACACTGCAATATTAAATAATTTAAAGGACTAATTACAACTAAGGTGAAGATGAGAAGGTTGACTCTTGCAGAAGTCATCTGTTTAAGATAAAAACTAATTTTAAACAGTTTATGCCTAAGTATATATTCATTTCTAGGTCTCCAAATTTCCCCCAAAATTATCAGCTAAAAGGTCAAATCCATTTTGATTCATACTCATCAAAGTTGGGTATTTAACTGAGTGGTAGTAGTTACTAATTATATTTGGACGTGAACCAAATGAAGCTATTTGTTCATTAAAACTAGAGAAACCATATTTTACTTTGACTGAAAACAACACTTAAATATTAACTCCTGCTGATATCAATGGGAATCCTGAATAGAGTTCAAGCACAGTCTCTGGCCCTGGCATTGATTCTGTTTCTTGAAATGATAAGAAAAAGAAAAAACTTTAGAAAGGATGTTACACAAACAGTAAAATTCCAGATTCTGTATCACTTTGGTATGAATAAATTAAATACCACCAGTGAGCTAATCTTATGCTGAAGAGAAATGAACCAAAAAGAGAAACAGAGAGTGTGTGTGTGTGTGTGTGTGCACGTACACATGCATGTATATATGTGTATAGAATAATCAAATAGATAAAGTGGCCATATAGTTTAGATGGAAAAGGATTCACTCATCTTTTCTTATCTAACAGAAAAGGCCACAATGAGTGCAAGCTTATAGAATTTCTCACAGAAACCAAAACCTTCTTATTATAATCTGCAATTGTCCATGGGTAACTGCACATTCATTTGAATTCCTGAAAGACTGAATCTTGTAAAGAGAACAAGATGGGCCCATATTAAAACTTTTAATGACTTTAGTAAAAAAAGGTGGAACTTTGCAGCCAGCTGGCTCCATACCGAAAGCCAGGCTGCACAGCTTGAACTTAAAGCTATCTTAACATAATGAATAAGTGCCAATAATTAGCATATGTAGTGTGAACAGGTTTGCTGGCACAAGCAAGTGAAAAACTCCAAGGTAAAGTTATTATTAGGGAGTAATTAGCTCTGTGAAGTAAATGAGTGAAACAATAGCTGCCAGCACTGACAATATGGCTAACATCTGACTATGTGGAAGATAACATTGTAAAGTATTGCTCCCTGAGCTAGAATCTGTTAATAACCATATGTTAGTGTAATTAATGCAGAGTCTTTCTGACCTGTTGTCACATAAGAACAATACTTTCTTGGAAACATTCAAACAGGCAGGCCCACACTCTGGGTAAGAAATAATTGTGAAAGTTGCTTACAAACAACTCTTACATCTTTTTTTAAAGGAAAAAAATCAGCGAGTGAAAAAGCTGAAGGACAGAGAATGAAATAAGGTAAAATTGTTTCCCATCTGACATCCCAGACACTAAGAAGTCAACTGCAGTGGAATGGATCCTTCAAGGTGACTGAAATTCAGTACATATTTGGACAGAATAAATTAGGGATAGACAAAATATTTCTTGTATGAAATTTTCAAGCTACATATCAAAAGCTTCCTCTTCATTTCTCAGGGGACACACACACACACACACACACACAAACACCATGATATAGTTTGAGAAATACATCAAAAAAGTTTCAGTTCCAATACTCTTAAGCACCTATTGCCCATAAATCTAAGCTTCTCAGGAACGATGACTCCATCTTACTCATCTTTTTATTGTCTGTGAATGTTAAGAGCAAACTGCACATACTATGTTCAGTAAGTATTAGTTTAATGTATAGATACTCCTGCATTCTCAGTGACTTTGGCAATGCAGTTAGAAATAGATTGGGCACATGGGTGAGATGATTAATATAATACGATTTCTAAAAGTCAGTCTTAGATAATACTATAACAGCAGTAGACAGAACTACATGGTTTTTTCCATAACATAATTAATTATCATTACCCTTCCTTTTCTGATTCCTGTTTTCCTCTTCTACTTCCTCCAATGACTCCTCCCCATCTTCTAACGCTTGTGTGTGTGTGTAAAGTTTTTATTATCTTAAAGATGCTTTCATTTACATTATTTCATAATTATTATCTATGCTCACAAGTTCTTTAATAATCATCTTTCTATTAGTGGTGATAAGACTGACAGCCATATCTTGTTTAACCCGAATTTAAAATTAAAAGAATTGAAAAATCACCATTATAAAGTGCAAAATATGCAAAATCAATTCTTCTCCCTTATTTTGTCAATTATGTATAAATGTTTTTCTAAGAATTTACAAGGAAATTATTATAAAGCCATAGCCTTATGGCATTAAAATGCCAAGCCCTGTAGAATATTTCTTTCTACTACCTTGTATGACTCTACAAACAATAAGGTGAGGGTGACGTATAACGACACCTAGGAAAGTTGTTACCACCAGTAAGACATATTAATCCAACTGACAGAAATCTCAGGTCTGCATTCCCCTGTGATATAATGAAATAAAAACATAATTGATGACACCAAGTATTTAGTTCTGGGCATATATATGCATGCATATATATATATATATATATATATATATACACACACACACACACATACACACATACATGCAGACAGATACCTACTGTATACATTTTATTTCTTGTCAAAGAAAGTAATAGAAGACATTCATAACATTTATTCGTTATACACACTTGTAAAGAATTAATAGTGATAATACAATTCACTATGGAAATTCTGTTAAATTTTTTTTTGTATTTTCATAATCATGAATTATTTCATCCAATATTATTCTAAAATTGTATATTACAAATATAAAAGACAGATGTTACTTGAATATTTCTGGGTTTTAGCTACATTTAATTTACCTTAAACGTTCTATCTATGTTAACTAAACTTTTCAAATATGAGGCAGAAACACTCATAAACTAATTAACAAGCATTTCATACACTATAAGATAAAGTATGGTCATGTTCACCAATTCCTGCAGAAAGTTTGGTAACTTTCAAATCTCAGCTGTGCTAAATCTTGATAATAAAAGAAAGGCTGAGATTTAATGGAAGCTTGTTAGTAACTTTTTCACCCCTTTTAAAGGAGTAGGTTTCTTTAGCAACGTTTAATACTTCACAGACTAAAGTGGCCAAGTAAAAGAGCGCTGCATGTTTGAGATCTCACACATTCATCTTCTCACTAAACATCTGTTTAAGGTCTGTGTGATCTACCTGTCAGCACTAGTGATCCATAAAGTGTTTGAACCTCCTGTCACAAACCTCTGAGCTGGTTTGATCAGAGGCTTTGTGCACACTAATCACACCCTTTATCTTTCTAATGTTGAGGGGGAAAACACACACATACACACACACACATACACAGTAAGGCTGTCTTCTCAACCTGACTGTAATTAATCTTTCTGAGGAGGGACCTGCCTGGTTTGAAAAGGAAAGATCTGATGGGCTGCTGCTCTTTTTGTATAAAGGCCTTATTTTCCTACCAGGCATCTTTATACTTGGGTGGTACCCTTTACAAACCACCTTAACTGTGGCTCAGTGACAGTGAAACAACCTTCAAGATCACCTTATGAATGAACCTGTTGGTAACTTTACGTAAGAAAAGAAACCAATAAAAGGGGGTTCTACAGGAGCTCGTTTAAATGATTCTCTCTTTTTAACTGCATGCAGGAAGAAAGGAGCCAGAATGTGAAGCGGTCCCCTTTTGATGTTCCTTGTAAGCTTCTCTCTCCACTAACAATCCCACTGCTACTTTTCTCTTGCTCAGTTGCACACAAATGTATTGAGAGCTGCAGGAGCTCCTAGAGAGGGAACATTTAACATCTTTTTTTTTTTTAACTGTTTAAAGTAATGCTTTATGCATCTTGCTTCTCACCACTATTTGCTTTTTATTGCTTTAAGTGAGATTAATGACATGGTTGAAATAACTTGGAATAGCACTGATATTCAAAATGTAACGGACCATTCCCAAGGGACATAATCCCTTGTGTAACTGTTTAAAAACAATTTGGAATATAGTAAACAAATGGCAAAGAGGGGGGAGAAAACAATATGAGTCAGCCATAAAAGTAGATAAAAGAGTACAAATTATAGTTATCTGATGATATTCTCTAATAACTGGTCCTGGTATGAAATATTATATTTAGTATTTATACACACTATTGGAACTAAGAACCAAATGTTATTAGAATGCACATAAATCCAACAAATAAGATATTCAGTCAATTGCTGGATAAATTCTATCTAGTTATGCAGATAAATTCTTACAGGATTGGGTAGCATAAACTAACCTAAATGAAAGCATGTCAAATACATGGTCTCATGAAGTTTACAACAAAACTCCTAGCTGTAATTAAAAGTTGGAAAGTCTAGAACTATAGAGGGACAAAATATACCACATTTTATAATAACTCCAGCTAGGTAAAAAAACATTAAAATATGGAATGAAAAATCATGGTGAATATTTTTAGTACAGAAAAGTACATTTATTCAAAATAGGGCTAAAATTTTAAGTTAAAACACATAAGTCAATATAAAGAGATTCAAATAAATAGTATTTTAATGTATCCTGCTTGTTAAAAATTCTCTATTTTAAAACCTTAAAATATTAACCATAGAGAACTTTGACATAAAGTGTTATAGTGGCATTTTCATGTCACTATAAACTACTTATTTCTCTGTGGATGTTATATTTTAGTGCTAATCCAACGTTATTATAAACAAATTTGGAATTGTTGCAGAATGAGATAGAGGATATACCTATATCTATCTATATCTAGGCAGTCTACAACTAATATGTTTATAAACCTCACTTCAGACTATATATACATTCTCAAAATACATATATTTTAAGACACTTTAACTCATGGCTTAAGACAATTCTCTATGATGTCCAAATGATCAATAATAATAAACTAGATTTCCTATTAGTGCAGTTATGAAATAAAGTATTAAATAATTAACTTATATAGAGTTACAGGACCAGGTTTAAGTTTTATTCTATTGAAGGTATGGCTGTAGTCACCTTGCATGTGCCTTCTGCTCCATCCTAATGAAAAGCCTATTCATTGCATTGCCATTCATGGCTGATTGGGAGATTTCTTTTGTTTTTAGGCTGGTTCTTTAGGTCATCCAATCGTTAGCAGGTAGCAACATCAAGAGAGGCCTGGCATAGGATTGGATTTTTAAGAGTACTTCTAAATCAAAGCAAACTACAGAAATTCCTATCTGTCGAGCCCCTTAGTCTTGGCCATCCTGAGTGAATTAGTCTGAGTTTCAGGGAACATGAGTCAGACTGAATGTGTATGGCATTCACTTGGCTTCAAAAAGGATACAGTCCCAGGAAACTCTGCATTCTGATATAGGCCAGGGCGTACTACATTAGAGATAAGAGTAGAATATACAGAGAGCAACGATTATGTGCTACAATTTAACTATGTATTTAAAAATATCATAATTTATAGGATCATTTCACTTTCATGGTCTCGATTTTAGTTTTGGACTTCTTTTATAAACCTAAAATTAAAGTAATAAAGCGTTTATTCATTCATTTTAAGGTTACATTTTCCTTTCAGGAACTTTTTATTTTTTAACATAATGTGACTAGGGTTTCAAAATAGGCACCTCTTTCATAAAGAACTAAGAAGTTAATTTGCACTTCCACACATTTTCATTAAAACAATCTGAAAATGTGGCTGATTGTAAAGACTCCTGATTTGATTAAAACATTATTTTCAGAGGGTGGATTTGTTCTCTATATTAACCTTTTCTAGGTCGGAAAGCTGAGGATTTTTAATTCTTTTCAACTGATGCCTTTATGGAGCAATTAACACACTTCTCGTAAGAGACTCAAATATATGGTGCGAAAACAAAAAAATAAATACTATCTAGATTCTCCTCTCAATGAGAGAAGATAGAAAATGGCTTAAGTAAGTGTAATACAAGGTACAAAGTAGTAGGACCATAAAAGAAGCATAGAATGGTAAATACTATAGAGGTTCAGAAGAATTTTTTTGTTCTAGGAAAATCTGGGAACTATTTTTTTTTTTTCTTGGAAAATTTGGGAACTATTTATAGATAAGAAATCAGGCCAGTTTGGCCTTACTGAATGTGACTACATTTGACATGGAGAGAGGTAGTAGAGAATACTATTCCAGGAAAAGGAATCCATATAAAAAAAAAAACAAACACAGAGGCTAGAAAGTCTGAAAAGTGTGGAGAACAGAAGAACGATTAAGTTTGGCTGAATCATCAATTTGTAAAAGGAAATAATAGAAAATAAATTCAGAAAAGTCAACTAGCACCAAATTGAAGAGGGTCTTCAGTGACAGGCAAAAACCAAACATTTAATTTTGTAGAGAGTCAGTAGCTGTCAAAGATTTTTGAGTCAACGATAAACATTAGGAGAGTTTTTCTTTCAGAACATTGATCTGACAGCAATGCACAGAGCTGACAGGAGAGCGAAGCTACTGGCATCAGAACAGTTAGGTAGCTGTTGCAGAGATGAGTGATAATGAGAATTTGAACATGTGGCAGGAAAGTGGAAACAGAAAAAGACATAAGGAATATCATAAAGGCAAAATCAATACACGCACAACGTTATAGAAAACAAAATGTGCGGTGGAAGGCATCAAAAATGAACTCAAAGTTTTGAAGTTAGATGATTGGGAGACTGGTGATAATATCATTAGTCATTTGTAGCCCACAAATTCACAAGATTAGGACTTCCTCATAGAATACGTGGCTGGTATTTCAGCGACTGAATGTTAATACAAGGTACCTCTATACTACACTTCACATTACATTTAAACATACAAGATCATCATGAAAACCATTTCATAGAGCTGGAAAATTGTTGTATTGACTAAGAATCATTTCCTCACTGCTCAGAACTATTTGCCACAGAGTAGAAGGTTAGGGACAAACAAAATGGGTTCAGGGAATCTTTTATTTTTAAATTTTATTTATTTATTTTGAGATAGGGTCTTGCTCTGGTGCCCAGGCTGGAGTGCAGTGACGTGATCAGAGCTCACTTCAGCCTCTAACTCCTCAGCTCAAGGGAACCTCCCACCTCAGCCTCCAGAGTAGTTGGGATTATGGGTGAGTGCCATCATCCCCAGCTAATATTTTTAATTTTTTTGTGGAGATGGGGATCTCCCTGTGCTGCCCAGACTGGTCTCACACTCCTGGGCTCAAGCAATCCTCCAACCTCACCCTCCCAGTGTGTTGGGATTACAGGCGTGAGCTACAATGCCCAGACAAGGGCTCCTTTAGAAAGCCTAAATACAGAAGCATCCTCTAGTATACCCAGACCCTTGGGGTTTTATAAAAAAGGAAATGAAAAAATGTACTCAAAGGGCAATATTCTCACAATTCAGATGTATTAACAAGTACCCTCAGAGAAACCAAAATCCTACGAGAGCCGCTTTAATTCTACTCCAATAGGAGCAAATATAGAAAGTACAGGGATTAAAGAATAAGGGTTTTATTATAGTAATAATTGTTATGTCACCAATTTAAACAGTATTTTTAATGTAATGACAGTTCTCCTACTGGTTAGGAGGTTGTGTATGGTATGTGTTTGTGTTTCTGTTCATGTCTGTTTGACTTACATACTGAAAATACTACATCAGGATAGGAAATGTTAAATCATACTAGTATCAACGTAACTTTGAAGTAATATTTTAGCTTTAAGGTTGACATATGAAACTGGATGAATTTTGAACATTTAATTACAGCATATTAATTCTAGTGTTATTAGTACTAAATAATTTTAAATGGAACTTCTGCCCAGTCCAATATTTCAGCAGCTTGAAGTGAAAAGGAATGGACTGTTTTGGCATTTTCCTCTTATCACATCAAGACCTATTTTTACTGAAAAGTATTATTTGTATGCTATTCCAACGGAAAAAGTCACATATTAGAAAAACATATGGCTTTATTATGGGATAATAGGTTACATACAGACACACACCACACGCACACACTCAAAGACACACACGGTAAGAAAGAGAAAGTTCTTTGTTGGATTAAACAGACAGCTTGTTATATGTGGTACATAATTTGGCCTGGAATATTTTCAGTGCAATATATGATATATATTTTTTTTATTATACTTTAAGTTCTAGGGTACATGTGCACAACGTGCAGGTTTGTTACATATGTATACATGTGCCATGTTGGTGTGCTGCACCCATTAACTTGTCATTTACATTAGGTATATCTCCTAATGCTTTCCCTCCCCGCTTCCCCTACCCCACAACAGGCCCCGGTGTGTGATGTTCCCCTTCCTGTGTCCAAGTATTCTTGTTGTTCACTTCCCACCTATGAGTGAGAACATGTGGTGTCTGGTTTTTTGTTCTTGTGATAGTTGGCTGAGAATGATGGTTTCCAGCTTCATCCATGTCCCCACAAAGGACATGAACTCATCCTTTTTTATGGCTGCATAGTATTCCATGGTGTATATGTGCCACATTTTCTTAATCCAGTCTATCATTGTTGGACATTTGGGTTGGTTCCAAGTCTTTGCTATTGTGAATAGTGCCACAATAAACAAACGTGTGCATGTGCCTTTATAGCAGCATGATTTATAATCGTTTGGGTATATACCCAGTAATGGGATGGCTGGGTCAAATGGTATTTCTAGTTCTAGATCCTTGAGGAATCGCCACACTGTCTTCCACAATGGTTGAACTAGTTTACAGTCCCACCAACAGGGTTAAAGTGTTCCTATTTCTCAACATCCTCTCCAGCACCTGTTGTTTCCTGACTTTTTAATGATCACCATTCTAACTGGTGTGAGATGGTATCTAATTGTGGTTTTGATTTAGTGCTATATATGACTTTAAAAACATCACCTTCAATATAGATCCATCAGTTCAAGGAGTGCCTTGAAATTAGAAATGAAAAAAATGTATTGTTCCATTTACCCTTAATTACAAATATACTCATCTCATAATAAAAACAAAAGAGGTACCTTATTTTCAAAAAGAGTCTATTTCTATGTTGCCTTTTTTTCTGTTTACATCGGCAATGTGGCATATTAGTTTGTCACTTTAAGAAAGCTCTGTTACTTGATGAAGCCTTATTATCTCCCATGTGAAATAAAACTAAGAAAATAATTCACATTACACCATAGGGTTGGATAGTCTTCACTTCTTAATTTTTAAACTTAGCACCGTCAATTAACATTTATCAAATATACCCTGTGGTTTTATTTTTGGCATAATTTTTGTCAAAGCTATAAAATACAGGCAAAGCAGTGTATGTGTCTATATGCATAGGAAATAATTGTGCATTTAAATATATATTTATGCCAAATCAACAATGTTGCTACACACATGCTGTATATCTTTGAAGCAAAAATGTATTATTAATAACATTTGAGATTAATAGCCTGTTTCTAGTATCTTCTAATACATTATTTTTTTCTGTTTCAATGTGTCTTATGAAAAGATATGCTGATAAACTTGATATAGCTTATAAAACACATGATGAAATATTTGTTATACGTAAGCAAAACTAAACAGAAAACGTTAACAGAAAGAATCTGAAGTAATTACAATTGGAAAATGGAACTAGAAAGCTTAAAAATATTATATTGATAAAGTAATTATCCTAACACAATATAACAAGTCCTGGCACTTACCTCAAAAAGAAATGAAACAAATCATTTCATTGTAAATTCTATTTCTGAATCATGATCATCACCACAAAGATGCTATTAATATTTTCTTTTTAACCACCATTTACCAAGTACCCTCTTTTAGCTGGGCACCATCTTGGTGCTCTAATTTATTTCTAATGACTATAACAAACTTGAAACAAAGATATATTATCTGTATCTTAGAAATGAGGAGAATGAGTAAATTGCTCAGGTCATACAGGTAGTGAGTAGCTGAGCAGCCATTTAAACTTTGTTTTGTCTGACTGGTGAGAATCGTGCTATTTTCACTGCACCTCTCACATGAGAACCATGTGAGAACAATGCCAATACATCAGCCACAACTCTTAAATCAATAAAAACCAGTCGATCATGATCACTTGTTTAAAAATTTGACTGAATTCATCAAATATTTTGGTATCATATTAGACCCTACCCAAGAGGGATACGTAATTTCCCATTCACATGGTCAGGAGTCTAGAGTATGGTGGTAGTAAGAGTAATGGAAAACATGTAAACCTGGTATATTAAAATTTCTTAGTGATGAAGGCAATTTGTACAGATTTCCTCCACTGAACTGATATGGATTAGGTACAAACGAGTCTTAGGCTAGGTCCACACACTCAGCAATAGAGCTGTTAAGAGACTTCTATTGATTGTAACTTCAGGACAAACCCAGCAGCCAGGTTTATCTGGAGAAAACATATGGTTATAGTCACCATCTTAATGAACTTTTCACATGTTAGTATTATTAGCTAGAATTTACAAATGAAGAAAGTAGACCTCAGAAAGATTAAGTAACATCTAAGTGTATGCAACTAAGTGTGATGGGCCAAGATTTAAACAAAGTCCTTTGACACTAAGTTCAGAGTGCTATAGACTATATCATTCAATAATAATACTGTGTCTTTATAAACCACAGCTACACTGAAAAACAACTATGAAATGTGACTAAAAGTTAAAATGAAATTATATCTAAAATAATAAAGCAACTTTGTACATTCACAGTGTTCCTGAAAGCCATACACTCATCCTTCTCTCTACTCATTCTTTTTTAGTAGCAATACTTTCTCACAGACACAAGATACCCAATAAATAATTGCCATATAAGGTATAAATAATTTTAATAGCTGTAGTAGGTTGAACTGTGTTCCCCCAAAAGATATGTCCAAGTCCCAACTCTTGGTACTTGTGAACATGATCTTATTTGAAAATAGAGTCTTTGTGGATGTATGAAAGAATGAGATAATCTTGGATTTGGATTGGGCCCTAAATCAAAGAGTAGTTTCCTTATAAGAGAATGGAGAAGCATATTTAAGACACACAGACATAGGGGAGAAAACAGTGTAGGGACAGAGGCAGAGACTAGAGTCACGCATCTACAAGCCAAGCATCCCAAGGATGGCCAGGCGGCTGGCTGGCCACCAGAAGCTAGGGAGAGGCATGCTACAGATGCTTCCTCAGAGCCTCCAGAAGGAATAAACCCTATCAACAACTTGATTTCAGACTCTGACCTCCATAATTGTGAGGGAATAAATTTCACTTGTTGTAAGCCACCAAGTTTGTGGGTAATTTATTACAGCAGGCCTACAGCACTAATAACATAACAGTTCTAAAACTAGCACATGAAAACTTTACTCTCCCAATATATGGTAGTGAAGTGTGTAGAATTTCCTGCAGTTCTGGATGATACAGATAATCTACATCATTAATTCAGCCCTAGGGAATTTGTGGGATGTTGATTCTGTTAGAATTATCTGAATCATTAATACTGTGGCATTATTTAGTTCTTTCATGTTCCACTATTAATATAAGGGAAATATATATTCTCCAGTGTCTCTGTGTGTGTGTGTGTGTATGTGTGAATGTGTGTATTGAAATTATCTGGAATATATATAAATATATATATATATCTTTTATATATATAATATACATATATATGCGTGTGTGTATATATATAATCTATGACTAGCATTATTTAATAATATATGTAGATTATTATTGGCTGGGCATGGTGGCTCACACTGTAATCCCAGCACTTTGAGAGGCCAAAGCGGGTGGATCACTTGAAGTCAGGAGTTCAAGACCAGCCTGGCCAACATGGCGAAACCCCTTCTTTACTAAAAATTCAAAAATTAGTTGGGTGTGGCGGTGCACACCTGCAATCCCAGCTACTCGCAAAGCTGAGGCAGGATAATTGCTTGAACCTAGGGGGCAGAGGTTGCAGTGAGCCGAGATCATGAAACTGCACCCAGACTAGGTGACAAAGCAAGACTCCGCCTCAAAAAAAAAAAAAAAGAAAAGATTATTGGTCATGTTTCCTTGTTGGTACATTTGCTCTTTCTTAACTGTTTGGTATCTGTATGATATTCCATGGTATGAATGTACAGAATAATTTTTCTTCTAAATAGTTATCTAAAATTTATCTTCTAAATACTAATGTAAATGATATAAAGGCAATGGCAATAGACTAATTTTAGAACTACAGTTATAAATATTTAAAGTCATTTTTAACAGTATGTCTACACTTGTAGGCTGGGCGCAGTGTCTAGGCCTATAATTCTAGCACTTTGGGAGGCCGAGGCAGGTGGATAACTTGAGGTCAGGAGTTTAAGACCAGCGTGGCCAACATGGCGAAACCCTGTCTCTATTAAAAATACAAAACTTCTCCAGGCATGGTGGTGTGCGCCTGTAATCCCAGCTATTAGGGAAGCTGAGGAACAGAATCGCTTGAACCCGGGAGGCGGAGGTTGCGGTGAGCCGAGATCGCGCCACTGTACTCCAGTGCGGGTGACAGAGTGAAAGTGTGTCTCAAAAAACAAGCAAACAACAAAAAAAACCCACAACAGTATGTCTACACTTGTAATCATTTTCTATGTTAAGTATGCCATGCTTTGAGATAACTTGATTTAATATACATAAAAAGCCAATGTAAAAAAAAGTAAGCTATTATCTATAGATGAAAACAAATACTTGCTTTTCAAATGAATAAATCAATGCAAGATTCTTAGAAATGTGCTGCTTGAATTTTAGTCATACTTTGTAAAATTTATTTATAAAGTTTGATCAAATTTCTATGCATATAGTAAGGTACACCTATGCATATAGTAAGGTACACCAGTAAGAAGAAATCTATATTAATTTTACATAAGTAATTAATAGATAGTGAAATTGCATGGTATTGGTTACAGTTAATAACTATCTTTGAGAAGCATAGAGTTTCCTATGTTTTAAAAAAATGCATCCTTTTGGGAGGCCGAGGCGGGCGGATCACGAGGTCAGGAGATCAAGACCATCCTGGCTAACACTGTGAAACCCCGTCTCTACTAAAAATGCAAAAAATTAGCCGGGTGCGATGGCGGGCGCCTGTAGTCCCAGCTACTAGGGAGGCTGAGGTAGGAGAATGGCGTGAACCCAGGAGGCGAAGCTTGCAGTGAGCCGAGATAGTGCCACTGCAGTCCAGCCTGGGGGAAAGACTCCATCTCAAAATAAAATAAAATAAAATAAAATAAATGCATTCTATGATGGTACTGGTAGACTCACTTTCTTTGTTATTATACCTAAGTATGAGTTTCATCATTTCACACCACCTTATTAATGACTCAGTATGCAGTAAATGCTAACAAATAGAGAAACTTAATGTTTAAAATGAAAATAGTTAAAACTTGCACAGATTTTAATTTGTATGATAGATCAGTAACATTTAAAAGTTCATACAGAAATTATATACTTACTTCTACTCCTCAGAGAGCCCATTATTACTCTAAGTACCTTAACAACTTTTATGACCAATAACAACATTAGTAGTTATCCACTAAATACAGCTATGCCAGATTATTGGAAGCAGCTGGAGGCAAGACGCCAGTTGTGGCGAAGCAATCAACGGCTCCCATATGCTCCTTTAAAGCATGAATTCCATACAGAAATATGAGTGGTAACACATGCAGCAACTTAGCAGAGAGGTCAATAAATGATGTTCTAAGGAAAGAGTAGTAATTTCCCAAAAAAAAAAAAAAAAAAAAAAAACTTGGCCTCAAAGGATAGCTAACAAATCAGTTAACAATTAAACAACCTTAATCTCACTATCTATTATCCAAACATGACTATCATTAGTAATAAATCTTATTAAATTTGGGCTCAGATTAAATATTTCCTGGTCTCTAGCTAAAATTTCCATAAGTAAAAACTGATTTAAGTTTGTTGTGTGGATGATTCTAGGGTTTTCTTGAAGCTTACCAAAAATTTGATTCCAAAGATATGGAGGCACCTTAAGTTATGCAACACACGGGAAGTGTTGTGATGCATGATGAAAAGAAATTTTTGGTAAATCGTGTAACTTAGTGTGCTTATATGCAACTTAATTAATGTAAAGGTTTATAAAGTAGGCTAATACCAAAATTCAATTTGACTAAGGTCAAAATTAATTCAGAGATGAAGTCGGTAAAGATACTGAAAGCTAGCATTCATTATTAACAGAGGAAAAGAAAAAAAGAGAACTTTGGCATAGTTAATGATTTTGTCAGAAAACAGGCTTATCCATTGTTCTTATAAACACATGTCTTATTTCATATGTATGATAATGAAATGTGTTGTAAGGCATAATACTGGGACAGTCGATTATGATCAAGCAAACTCTTTTAGACACTACACTAATATGTATGCCACTAATTAAAGCTATGAAGTAAATTCATAATTCTTTAGCTATTTTCTCTCTGGCTCTTTCTTCTTGGGGAAAAAGAAACACCAACAAGAAATTTTTAAAAAAGCCTTTCTGGGATGTTGATCACTAAAATTTCAAGTTCAGAGTGCTAAGAGGAAGCACAAGAGGAAAAAATAGATTTGCAAAAACATCATTCGTATGTTCTGGTTCTCTTATAAGGCCCTCTTATATCACTGTATTTAATTTTTTATCTTAACAGCTACGTGAGAGATACTAAAATGTCTAGTCTATTTCTGAAGAGGCTGAGAATCAATGACATTAAGTGACTTGTACAAAGTTATATAATTAAAAAATAGTAAAGTCTGCTGTTTCTAAATCCCACAATCTGTGTACAACCCAAAAAGCTTTTAAAGGAAAATACCATCATTCTTCCCATGTGCCCTCTCTCAAGGTACCCTTAAAGATACAGCCACCATCCACACACAAAGGAATGCCTCTGTGCTCCTGTGCTTGGCTCTTCCAAGTCCTATGCCCTTTTTGTGGCCTTTTAGCTGATGCT
Source organism: Homo sapiens (assembly GCF_000001405.40). Taxonomy (NCBI): domain Eukaryota; kingdom Metazoa; phylum Chordata; class Mammalia; order Primates; family Hominidae; genus Homo; species Homo sapiens. Next base: position 23,717,027 of record NC_000012.12, read on the forward strand.
CCTTATCCCTTGCTTACTTTGGCCCTTCAAGATTTGAGGTAGCTACCATTACAGACTCAGTTTACTTTTTAATAAAGTTATATCATTGACTTTCTCCCACAGGATTCCGACAATTGGAGTCATGTGTAAGCACTGTTTCAAAAAATATTTTCCTGACAGTAGAAAAAATATTTGGATGTTTGATCTCTACCTTATTGATATCAACTTGGGGGTCCTTCATATATCTTGCATAAATATTAACACCATTACTGAACTTTAAAAGGCCAAAAATATTCCAGTTGTGTTGGTTACACACATTGCAATGAATTGTGACTTTATTCATTAAGAGATGTAGCAAATATAGTCTGTATTTCACAACTTTCTGTCAGCCCTCAACCATAATTTTTTTTCTTTTACCCATCAATGACAAAAAAATGTATTCTTACCTAATTACTGCTCTTTCACTTTTGGGAAGCTATTAAATAGTGAGCAGAAAACAGGCCTGGAGCATTTCTCACCATCATGTTTATTAAGAGCAGCTCAGGATCACATAAGGGGAGAATTATATTTCCTATGTAAGCAGGTGGGTATGTAAGATTGTAAAAAGAGAGCCTCAGTGAAAGAGTCCCTATGAGTAGGAGCAGATCATTATAACAGATGATGTGGGCAGACATCCCACTGATATTTAGTACGGCTTAACACAGCCAGAACGGAATAAAACTTAACTGTGGTCAAGGTGGAGAGAAGGGATGAGTACTAATAAAGTAAATACAGCACATCCTGAGGTTATTTTCTGCTTCTCCTTTAAGTTAACACTGTACTGCAAAGAGAAAAGTTTTATAACTATATTCCAGCTATCTGAACAGTTATTGGCACTGGGGGAAAATGTCTACCAAACTTTTCATGTATTTTCTTGATGAGATTTTTCCTTTTTGATTTTAATAGAGAAAAACTATAATGTTTGCCTTATTGCCTAGATGATAGTTATTAAAGTAAAAAAATTCTTAAACAGGTTATTAGCATCCTTAAAATATTTTAAAATTAAAGACATACTCCAAGTTCATGATAATTTTTAAAAACCTTTCTGCAAAGGAGTATATTTTTTAAAAAATCAAGCCATAAATATGTGTGTATGTGGTAGATATTTCAAATAGAAAAGAACATCAAAGTTTAGTATATTAGCACTTCTTAATGCTACTGGAAGACACCAGTTAGATGAAATGAAAAAAATAAATAAAATGGTGTAATTATTCTGGTATACACACATTGCTTGTGCTTTCTAAAATATTCTCAGTGAAAATAAATTTAAATATCCAAGAATTATTCCTTCATGAAGACATTTCCATTTCATTTTGAGGCTGCAAAACTCTTAAAGATAAGGACCACACTTCCTATCTTAATCTTTGCATACAGAAAGAGAGATTGGAAAAATGGAATCAACATCTTAAGGTTCATAATTTCAGGGACTTGGCAGAATTAGACCACAGTAGGTTAACCTAAGTTGAACTAGGATGATTGCAAAATACAATGTTTTTATAAACCATGTTTAATCTCTCATCTTTACCTCTAAAAATGCAGATGATTTTGATTTTTCTAAAGCCCCTTTGTGTCTGTTTTCCTATTATTATTTCACTGTTTATTATCCTGCATCAAAAACCTTATAAAACAACAAATTGAGTTTTAATTTGAAAAGTTTTGTTATTTCATATTTCCTTTCCATTTTCTCTGATCAAGTTTCAAAATGAAAGCAACCAAAGTGAGAGAAAGGAAAAGGAAAAGACTGAAAACAAATGGCTGCTAATGCAGCTACATGGAGGAGACGGGCAATAGGAGAACATCAATTCCAAACGGTTCTCAATAGGGCAGTAAAAAGCTTAGCAAAAAGGTACCTCTTTGCAATTTTAGATAAAATATAAAATTCTAGGGATTTGATCAGAGAGAGAAGGAGAAATGGGGGAAGACATTATACCTAAGCATCAGAAGCCATTAAAAATCTCAGAGTGGGTAAAGTTATAGCATACATGGTTTTGAGAGTTTTTGTTAGTTGCATGAATATTGTTATTTGATACTCTTTAGTATGAAAGTAACTCAAGAATGTCCATGGATTGGCTTCAATATTTTTTAATTTTTTCTGCTATTGACTTCTCATGTTATTTCTGTGATTATGATTATATGCAAAAATAAAATTATCGGATACCATGCGTCATGACATGGATGAGCACAGATTTATTGGATGAATCAGAATCTAATTACTTATTACTCAAAGCAGGTTTTGTTTACATGTATTAACATTTTATCTTATGTTGGCTACATGAGAGATAAATAAATACCATTTAATAATGATAGTATTGTGAGAAGTGAGATTCACAAGGTTTCTAAGCTCTCCTCATAACTATAAAGATTATTAGCATTTCCATGCTACCAGGGTACTAATGTTTCTTTATAAAAAGGAGCTATTTGCCAAGCATGGTGACTCACACCTGTAATCCCAGCACTTTGGGAAGCCGAGGCATGAGGAACCCTTAAGGCCAGAAGTTTGAGACCAGCCTGGGCAACATAGGGAGGGTCCCCCCATCTCTACAAAACATATATTTTTAATTAGCTGGGCATGGATGGTGGCATGCACCTGTGGTCCTAGCCACTCAGGAGGCTGAGGTGGGACAATTGCTTGAGCCCTGAGCCCCTGCCCAGTTTGAGGCTGCAATGAGTTACGATTGTGCCACTGCATGAGCCTGGGCAACAGAGTGAGACCCTGCTTTCAAAAAAAACCCCAGCTATTTACCAAAAAAAAAAAAAAAAAAAAAAACTGATGGATAGTTATTTCTGCATTATGTTCATTTCTCCTAAATTCTCAGAGAGATGATCTGCTGTTCAAGAGTGATTTTGTATCACAAGCATGGGAATGACTGGGTACAAAGCAATCAGGTAAGAGACAGTGTAAAAGAGAGGAACAAAAATGATATGAGCCAGTAGAAGACAGGTTTAAGTAACGATGTGTTGATGGAAGTATTTATACACCTCAAGATCATGCTTGTAATGCATTTAAGAGCAGTAGCCTTTGTTAATCACAAAAAAGACTCATTCCATGTTTCAAGGGATCAAGATACAGAGAAAGTCTTGCTTTCCTGTTCTCTTATGTGAATGAAGCACCTGTTACAGCACAAAACAGAAAGAATTTTTTAAAACAATAGGAAACTAAGAAAAAAGCCTTCAATAAATGGTAGAATAGAAAGAAGCCTAATAAATACCCTACATGTGGAGAACTGTGAATGAGCAGTATTTTACGGTGGGAGAAAAAGTAAAATCAATTGTATAATGGGAAAATATTTTTCTTAGCCAGAATATTAATTTCCTCATTTAGGTTTTTAAAACATAACAAGGTATCAAAGAGGCCCTCTAAAATATTTGAGTTTTACTTTAAAAGAGTCTCAACTACCTTTTGTCAAAAGAGCACTTTTCTTGGAGAAATACATTCATCTGTACTTTTATACTAGAACATTATTTTTTCATTTATTTGGTTAGTTCACAAATCCCAATGATATGTTGTTAAACATTTTGATCCAAAATGGGTCAAAGAGAGATACTAACTCACTGTAAAAATGATCTTTAAAAAAAAATACAGAGACTATTATGAACCAATGAAATATATGTTGTTAAAGTTTTTTATATGTACCTTCCAAAATAAATTACTAATTTCAGTGAATCAAAATTTAAGATTTCCTAATTGTTCTCTTAAAAACGTGTCATTTACAATTTTTATAAAAACATTCAAATATTGTTCCAAATGTCTTCAGCATTAGACTTAATATTTGTTTCAAATTCCAGATAAAGTCAACATGATGGGCTCGGCACAATTGCTCTTATTTTGTGTTCATCCGTACCTACGATCTTGATCTATTTAATATGATTAACCAGAACTAAGGTAAGACCCAGAAGAACAGGGTCTATGCCTAATTAGTTATAGGACTTGGGGATGGCCCTTTTCATTTCTGGACCATATCTTCATCTACAAAAGAAGAAAAAGCTGGACCGAATTATCTCTAAAGTCTGTTTTTCTATATTAATTATTTTATTTATTTATTTATTTATTTATTTTTGAGACGGAGTTTCACTCTTGTTGCCCAGGCTGGAGTGCAATGGCACGATCTTGGCTGACTGCAACCTCCACCTCCCAGGTTCAAGCGATTCTCCTGCCTCAGCCTCCAGAGTAGCTGGGATTACAGGCATGCGCCACCATGCCCAGCTAATTTTGTATTTTTAGTAGAGATGGGGTTTCTCCATATTGGTCAGGCTGGTCTCGAACTCCCGACCTTAGGTGATCCACCAGCCTCAGCCTCCCAAAGCGCTGGGATTACAGGCATGAGCCACCGTGCCTGGCCTATATTAATTATTTTATTGATCAAAAAGTTCTAATTCAGTAGTACTCACAGTGTTGGTCTGTGATGAGGTCAGTAGCTTATCCGAGAGCGTAAACTACCAAACTGTTACCCTCATCAAAAAAAAAAACTTACAGTAAAAAAGAATGTCAGCTAAATTAAAGTGCATCCGGCAAGCTCCTTATCTTAACTGAGGACCTGTAACAGTTCGCAGAATGGCCTGAGTTCCACACTGTCCTAACACATTCTTCCTGCTCACTCAAATGACTATCTTTGAGTATACCCCAGTTTTTACAGCAATATAAACATTAGTAGTCAATTCTATGGCATGAGAGGAGTGAAATAATTTGCAGGATCAAGAATTGCACCCACAAAGCATGGAGTTGGCTGTTCATTAAATAGTTAAGAGATTATACATGAAGTTTAGCCTACGTGCACAGGCACAAGCCAAGGAAGCTTGAAAAATTATCCATGAATATGGTTATTATTACCATATCTCCAAATTTAAAAACGAGGATATATGAATGGACAGAAACAGGTTTATGTATGGGTTATCGAACTGAAACCAGTTATTTAAATAGAGAGCATGGTGTTCACAGGAGGGTAAATATCATTGAGAAATACTGCATCTACCTTGTTAGGGGTCCAAAAAATACAAAATTGTGTGAATACACAGACAAAATATTTTGAAACATAAATGTCCTAGAAAATGTAAAGGATGATGCACGTTCTATACACATAAGCCTAATCACTGAGCATAAAAAATTGTTATTTTCAGAAGTTTCTATTTGTGGAACTTACAGCTCAGTAAAGCTGAATATACTTTCATTAGAACAGTCTCAAAACTATGTTTAAAATAGAAAGAAGAAATATACCCTTACCTGATTTTATTATATAACTATGATATTTCAGTTAGAGATGATGGAATATTTTAAACATACATGCTAAATATTAAATATTTACACAAGAAGGGAAGAGGGGGAGGTGAATTGAGATTCTCCCTCAGGGTAAAAATTACTATCTATGTTAGTGGATGACATTCTTATTATTCAGGTGTTCTGAGGCATCCATTTGGTCAAAGCTAGCTGTTCATATAAATAATGTTGGAAGTCTATAGTTACATATTTTTTAATTTGGAAATTTCATCACAAATGTATATAAATGATTAACCTTGGATTCATTTCACAAATTGTGACCTTAACAACAATGCTCTTTCTTTCACCCTTTGAAGCTGTTTGCTTGCGAAATGATTTTTGTCTCTCCTATATATACATACACATATACCACAATTCTATATACATCACTTCATTTTAAACGTCTTTTAGTGCTCCTGAGTCTGACTGATGTAAGATGTTATTTTGAACATGCCAAAGCATCTAAACGGCTCTGGTCTTTTCTTTTCAGCCTGCATTCCTTGATAAGTGGCAAAGCTTCCCACTTATCAGTCACTCAAAGTGACTGTAGCTGTCAGTTGTGTACAAAGCGCAATCAGTTTGGAAGCGGAGACACCAGCATTTTTCTTCTCAGCTTGAAGCAAACACGTTTTGACTGCTAGTCATTCAATTTTAAAGCATCCTCAATTAGGGGCGGATGAAGATATAAAGAAAACACATCCTAAATACCTCCAGCAGGCAACAGAAAAATTTTATTGTTATCTCTTGATTTACCTTACGGCAGCCCTATCCCTCCTCTTTTTCTGGCTGCATGACACGGGTGCTCATGACAACGTACCCTCTATCATGAAAAGATTGCCATAATATATTATACTAACAATCTGGGAAACCTTTCTTTGGGCTTGTTTATGTTTTCTTGCTCTCTCTCTCTCTTTCTCCCTCTCTCTCTCTCTCAAATTGCCCCACAGAAAATCAAATAATTGACTTTTAAAATGAAAACAAACTCAATCTTTCCAACTTACTCTGTTTATTACTGATCAAGTTTTTATTCAACGAAAACATAAAATCCAATTGGATAATGAAAAGAAAAAGAAAAAAAGTTAGCCAGAGAAAGGAACTATGTATGGGAGGGAAAAATAAAAAGAGTAAAAGAAATCACGAGTGGCTATGTCAGACAATCCAGCAGCAGGTATGGATGTAGGTATTCGCCAAGCCATGGAAAGGAATACAGAAGTAGAAAGAGAATTAAAAAGGTATTCAGAACTAAACGGTGGTAATTAGAGGAGAAAAATTATATATATATATATACACACACACACACACACGCACTCACACACACACAAACACACATACACACACATATATGCAATAAACAGAGAAGATAAAAGAAAAGTAAATGATCAAAAAAAGATATATAGAAACCTAGGTATGTATGTATGAATACACATACAATTCATATACAATGTATACACAGAAATTAATATAATCTGTAATTAAATATATGTATATGACATTAAAACCTTCTCATTAGTTATTTTAGTTAAACATTTATGTACATTATAAAGTTAGTTCACCTTTTCTAATCTACTATGTAGATATAAGTCTCAACATAAGATAATTCTTTTTAAAGAGATGATATTTATCTATTATAAGCATAGCATCCTATTTTCTTAGCATTTATCAGTGAAAGTTTAGTTGTATGCAATATTTGCATATGTGGAAAATGTCTTTTCCTGATTTATAAATATTTATTTTCACCATTTATAAAAGGACAATCTCTTATCTTGTTTTACTGCAGAAAGCGGAAATAAATTACTTTTAAAAAAATATCCTGCCACATTTGCCAACCTGATAGATTTAACTCAGTTTGAAAAGACCAATTAGTCTTATTTTCTAGAGATCATCTGAATTAAATCACTCATTACTCTTCTAGTAAGAAGAGGGAGGAAGACACCCCTTCAGTTTACAAAGTACTCAACTGTCAGGGTTTCAGAATAACACACACGCATACACACACACATACACACAGGCCTCAGTTCTATCATCTATAAAATGGATATAATAACACAAACTGTCTGAATTCTTGTGCTAATAATGTAAGATGACCTCTGTAAAATGCCAAATACTTAATAAGCAATAGGCTGCTCCTTCTTCTTACCAGTACAGTACAAAGAGATCATATTTTTTCCCTGTTTATAATATCAAGTCAAAAATTTATTGAAATAGAATGACATTTCAAAGGTAGTATACTAAATAGTTCATGGTTTACAAATCCTAAGATTACTAATTTAACCTTATTTGCTACTGTAACTACTAATCTTTAAGACAGGAGATTTATGTACCTTAAACTGTTTGATAGGGTTACAAATCCTAGATATCCCTAGAAAGTTTTGGGATTATTTTGGATTGGGCTGTCAGAGGTGGCCTCCCTGACAAGCATGGCATTTGAAGAGATTTGAATGAAGTAAAGGTCTAAATTATATGATTAAAAGAGTATTCCAGGCCATGAGAATAACCAGTGCAAATGCCCTGATGGTAGAACACTCAGCACGTTCCCAGCAACCAAGAAGGACAGTTCAATCACATTTAAAAGATCACTCTAGCAGCTATGTGAAAAATCTACTTGGTGGGGTAAACAAAGGAAGTAGGGTGACCAACATGGTTAGGAGCTTACTGCAGTAGTCTGAGAAATGATGGTGAATTAGACCAGAATGGTGTTGGTCAATTTGACAGATGTTGGACAGAAAACCAATGTAGATGGATTAGTTGTGAGATGTGAAAGAATGAGGATTCCAGGATGTCTCCTAGGTATTCGCCACAGAAAACAGGCAAATGGTATCATATTCAGAGGAGGAGAAACTGGGAAAGAATGAGTTTGGGGAAGATAATTAAAGGATATGTTTTTAAAATGTGAACTTTGAAGTGCCTGTTAGGTATCCATTTGTATTAGTCTGTTCTCACACTGCTAATAAAGACATATCCAAGACTGAGTAATTTATAAAGGAAAGAAGTTTAATAAACTCACAGTTCCACATGGCTGGGGAGGTCACACAATCATGGCGGAGATGAAGGAAGAGCAATGGGACGTCTTACATGGCAGCAGGCAACAGAGAGCTTGTGCAGGGGAACTCCCCTTTATAAAACCATCAGATCTCATGAGACTTATTCACTATCATGAGAACAGCATGGGAAAGATCCACCCCCATGATTCAATGACCTCCCACTGGGTCCCTCCTATGACATGTGGGAATTATGGGAGCTACAATTCAAAATGAGATTTGGGTGGGGACACAGACAAACCATATCACCATTTAAATGGAACTGGGGTTTCTGACTCTGAAGATCAGGAGAGAAATTTAGGCTGGAGAGACAAATTTTGGAATATTATTTTCAGGGTGACATAAAACCACTGACCAACTGAGACCATTTAGACAGTAAGTGTAGATACGGAAGTCAGATGATGGAGCATTATCACAATTCAGCCTTTTAAAGATGGGCAGACAATCTACCAAATAAGACTGGGAATAAGAAATAGAAACTTAAAGAGAAAAGCAAACTGTGCTGGACTGAAAAGTATTACAAAAATATGGGAGTGATCAAAATTTTCAAATGCTGCTGTAAGCTCAAGTATGATAAAGACTGAGAATTTTCCACTTCTAGAATACTCTCTTTGTAGAAGAAGCTATCCCAGTTTTCCCTTTTGCTTTTCCTTCAAGGGAAAACTAGGGATAAGCCTAGTGGCACACAGGTGTCCTTAATTCCCTACTCATCTTTTCTTTCCCAATTTATTCACCTGTTTGGCTCTCTTTTCTGAAGAATAATGGTGTTAAATACATACATCCCCGAGAGAGAGAGAGAGAGAGAGAGAGAGAGAGAGAGAGAGAGAGAGAGAGAGAGAGAGGTCAGTTTCTCACTGTTTGTAAGTTACATGAAAATTTACTAGCAAAAGCTCAAAAGAGTAGAAGTTAGTACTCTGTCTAGGGAGCTGAAGCAAATTTGCCATATGTTAGAGATGTCTGGAATGTATGTCTTGAATCATGACGTAACTGTGCTCTTCATAGAGTAATTCATTTTGTTAACATTCTGTTAATTTCAATGGCATTTATTTTTCTATTTGTTAACTCTTTTCAAAGACAGGAGGTAGAAATTCATTCTAAAGACTTTGTGAGTACCCCCAGCTATAGCATTTATTTTACCACACTATTGTGTAAATTAAAGTAAAATAAAAAGTGGTTCATTTTGGACCAACATACTGACTTCGGCCAACATTCCCAAATCTTTCTGTTGTTGTTGACTTGCTTTGTTTTGTTTCTACTACTTGAAAATTACATTCCCAGGGGCGTATATAAGCAATGATAGTCCCTATTTTGTTAAGAGGATATGGACTACAGAGCCTCAGTGAGAAACAGTTCAAGTTTGTCCACAGGTAATTTTGTTTGGGAAGAGGTTGAAAAGTCATGGGAAAAATGACTGTCAGTCTGCTTTCTGGGCCAATCTCAGTGATTCCAGAATGGCCATATTTACAACTTGTGAAAAAGCAGCTGCTCCAGACACATGGCAGATTTGGATAAAATGTTCCCAATGCTGAAGCCCGCTGGTTCTGTGCCTCTGATATTTCAGTTTACATGCAGATCTCTCTTCTTTAGACCACAGCAACGCTAACCAAAGTTTAAACAATTATCTAAATAGATTAAATGAACCCAGGATTCACTTCAGAAATCATACTGCAAAGATTGTAGAAGAAAGAAACACAGAAATGGGAAAACAGGAAAATAAAAATAATAAAGAAATTTGAGATTCCAGATAAAAAGCAAAAGAAAAAATGTCCTTCCATTAAATGCATTTTTTAGTGATTTTTCTGAGCAGCTCAAGTCAGGATGAGTTATAAAACCAGGATTACAACTTCTAAACATTGTTATCAACATCACGTCAATATAGTAATCAGCTTAGAGCAACACAGACTTTGTTATTTCAAATAGCGTCTCAATAAAAATATTAAAAAGTTCAAAATATCAAGGACATAGAGTAGTTAAAAATCCTATATAAATATAACCTCTCATGTTTGATAAATTCATCCAAAACAGAGGTCAGAGGGCTAGAAAGCACATATCCAGGAAAAGAGGATTCTGGAGGTTTTATTTAATCATAAGAGTTTGGAGCAATTTATGGAAATAATAAGACCAATAACATAAGGAGAAAAAATAACAGAAATTGGCAGTTGGGAGTAACAGAAGAGGAGATACACCATCCTCATTTGACAAGGCAAGTGTCAAGGAACACTTTATACTTGATTGAACAAGAAAAGGGGTTGTAAGTAAAATGAAGTTTAATAGCACCTACTCAATAAATTTAAATAATATATAACTGCATCTTGAGGAAGGGGAAAGGAGAGTGGCAATAGGGAGCTAGTAAATCTTCATGTTTCCAGGATCATGGTATTTAAAGTTGATAAGTCAGAAATAGCACTATAATTAAATTTTTTGATAGAGAAGTAAATACTAGGAGGAAGATTTTAAAGTGGCTCCTTCTGAGTAAAAGAAGAGTAAAGTATAGAGAACTGAGCTTGAGATGGTTGCTTTCATTTCTTTTTGGTACTTTCTTAGCCATGTAGCACGTGTTGTATCAATGAAGATGAAAATATATACACCTGTCAATCCGTATGTCTGTCTACAGAGACAGGTTTGCCTAGACAGAGAAATAAGAAGAATGAGTGGATTTCTACCATTAGGTAATTGCCAGGAGACATATTAAAAAAAGAATACTTAAGGAATTTTAAAGTGGCTCCCTCTGAGTGAAAGGACAGGGCTGCAGGCAGTTATCCTTACGAACCCTTCAGGGCAGGCCACTTGTCTTCTCAAATGGAAGTTATGCATCCAGAAAATACAAAGAAGAAAGTCATCCTTAAAGCTACTTCTTTATATCTCCATATTTCCTCCTCTAATAATCTATCTGAATGCCAGGAAATTGTATCCTGTCCAGTTATGATGTATTTTATTTCACATAGCAAAACATTAGTTGGAGCTGAAGGAGTTAATGCGTGTCTTTCTCAGGTTGAAATGCTACCTTAACTACACAGTGTTTATTCTTGGCATTTGCAGTCTCCAAAAGAGACAAGGTTACTTTGTAATCTCTTTGTGCTCTTGTATGTGTGCAGGGTCTTGTTGAGGGGGGTAAAATGCTTACCACACTCAGGGAAAGAAATCATACATCAGCAGGTCAGTTAGGTACATACTATTATTTCACCTGTAACATTATTATGTTTCAATACAATATTTCAATGGATTTCCTTCTGCGTAATAATTTTTCAAGAATTACCAAAACTTTAATGAGCTCAGAGAACTTTGGTGCCAATAAAATGAAACCTTTATCACAAATTGGTTGAGCCCATGACTGCAACTTAATCATTCAATTGTATATAAGTCAAGTTGTATTTTTACCGTGTAGGAATAAGTTCCCAGGGAAAGAAAACTCATTTTAAAACTTAGGGCCATTAAGCCTTAAATGGTAGAATATTGGTAAAATAAAAATGAACTGAGCCAAAACTCGGGTAACTTGGAATTGAGCCATTGTTCCACAAGAAACAACTTATGTGACACTGGGAAAAATTTCTAACCTTACTTAGTTTTAGTTTACAAATGTCAAAATGAGAGATAGGTCTAAATAAAGCCTTTCTAAAAACCTCTTGTAGTTCTAAAATCATATGAATATGGAACACTGAACTCACAGTTTTTAGTGACTACTGCCATGTAAAGTATATTCTTTTTTTTTTTTTCCTAGAAGTTCTCCTCTTGCTGGAAACATTCATGAATTGCCCATCATTGGAAATACAGAAAGCACACATTTTTCTCTCTAATGACTTTGGCAAAAATGTTTAGCCCATGTACTTGCTAAATACCAGTCACAGTCCCATTTAATCTTCAGAGAACCAGGTGTTAGTTAGGTATTATATTTCCTTTTTTATAGATTGCAATAATAAAACTCAAAGGGAGTAAACCATCTTCTCAAGATCACACGGCAGATATCAGATGTGAAGATGCACAGACTGAGTTCAGGTTCATCTTATTCCAGATCACTGTTCTCAATCATCTTTTAAAAAACTATTCAACATAATTAAAATTGCATTTCATACAGGTAAATATAATCCTACACCACCTGAAGCAACCAAGTTCCTTCCTACATACTATGCAATGCACACTGCCAAACTAAGAATACAAGAGAATGGAAATATTTTCTTTGCTCTACCCTTAGGTCCTGACAGAATCAGTGACCCAAAGGTATGACTAGTCCTGCACATGCTTAACTTATGAATCAGAAACAATGACAGGAGATTATTAAATACTAATTCTTTGCTTGCAAGAGAACACAATGAACAATAGTTGGAAAAGTTAATCAGATGGGGAAATGGGGTAAATTTTTGGAATCTTTTATAAAAGTTCAAACACTGATGCCCTGGTATGGGAATCATAAAATATGCAGTTGAAAAGAAGTACAGTATCTTTAAACTTGCAATTAAAAAGTATCTTAAGTAGATTTCATGCTAGAACGCATTGTCGGATTAGCCCTATTAGTTGCTGTAAAGAACCTTAAATTCCACTAAGTATTATTGAAAAGGAGTAAGAAACTTATAACTAGGACACGCTTCTCACACACATGCCCAAAACTATAGAAACCCTGTCCCACCAGAAGCTTCAAGATGACAGGAAACTTAGGTCTCCAGGAACACTCAATTTGTTGTCATAATGAAAGCTGAGTAGAAGTCACTCAGTCACTTCCTGTGAAACAGTGAATCAGGTCAAGATGAACCACTGGTCCAGGATCTTTACTGGAAACATAAAGCAACTAACTATCAATATTAGAAACAGGTTGATTTAATGTAAAAAAGAAAATAGGAAATAAAATTGCTAAAAGATGGGGACTGTAGAATAGGCAACAGAGTAAGAGGGAAAAAAAAGAGCTTCCCTTCCAAAAATTCTAGAAAGATATCTTATTCTAAAATATTTACAAATTTCATCTATTAATATGCATTAAAGTTAGCTTGATACAGTAAATTGAAATTTAAAAAAGTATCTTTTAAGTCAATAAACACAAATATTAGAGGGAAATATTCCTGAACAGTAGAAAAATAAGACAAACTTCTTAGTGCTTCTAAAATTAAGAGTCTCATAGAAAAGTGGACATGTTCTTGAGGGAAGATGGATATTTCTGGTATTTGTAGAGTAAACTGATTTATGATATTGCAAACAATAATAGAAAACATTCTTAATCCTTAATGAATTAGGTGGGTCAACCTGGCAGAAGACTGTAACCCTACAAAGTCTTTATAAGGAAGAAATGTAGATTGAGTTTTTAATCCAGTTAGAATTATGCAGTTTTAGAGCTAAGGTTGCTTTTTAAAGAAATAAAAATAGTTCATAAAGAACTGATCCTAAGCAATTAAATAAAACCCGTTCACTTGCAGATTCTTATGGCATTTTCTCTAGAGTAGGTTTACCATACAGCTAAACCTACCACCACTCTTTTCATCAGAGGTTGAGAAAGAATTAAAAAGGCCAAGAGAAACTTGAAATAACCTGGATGTGATGATTAATTATACGTGTCCAGTTGTCTGGATTGAGGATTACCTAGATACCTGGTAAAACATTATGCCGGGGTGTGTTGTGAGGTTGCTTTCTGAGGAGATTAGCACGTGAGTCTAAGTGGCCTAGGTGGGGAACATTCACCCTCTCAATGTGGGCAGGCACCTTCTAATCTGCTGAGGATCCAGAAAGAACAAAAACAGAGGAAAGGTGAATGCGTGGATCTATCTGGTGGGACTGGGATACACTCTTCTTCTGTCCTTAGACATCAACTTCAGGCCCCTCATCTTTGTACTCCAGGACTCACACTTGCAGCTTCCCGGCTTCTGAGGCCATTGGCCTTGGAGTGAAAGTTGTATCAACAGCTTCCCTGGTTCTGAGGCCTTTGCACTTGGACTGAGAACCATGCCGCCAGCCTCCCAGGGTCTCCAGCTTGCAGAAGGCCTGTTGCAGAACTTAGCCTCCATAATTGTGTGAGCCAATCACCCAGTAAGTCCCCTCTCATATATTTATCTATACCTACATCTATATTTATATCTATCTATATCATCCATATCTATATCTTCTATTGATTCTGTCATTTTGGGGAGCCCTGAGTAATATACTGGGGTATTAGAGTATGTAAATGTTTGTGCATACACATAAACATACAAACTTGTTCATGCTTTTTTAATCAAATGATATATATTTCAAATGGAATAAAGACATCTAAATTGACTTCTCCTTTAGCAAGATCTCACAACAACAATGAGCAAAATGTAGGAAAATATTATCTTTCCTGTCATGTAACATATCCATCAAATGAAAAAAATTGCCCAGCTCTAACTCTTATCAATCGAATTCACACAGCAGATCTGTCTACCCCACTTGATGTATTGGATTCCTTTGCTAAAACTGGACCAAGATAATGTCTTTTGTATTCATATATGAAACAAACATTTTAAAGGCATTCTTAATTGTGGACTATAAAACGCTACAGTCTACTACTCCATCAATATACGCGTTGTTTTCTAAGGTCTGGAACAACAACAATGGTATAAAACATCTAAGAAAGTACAATCAGGATGAATAATTTAAGTTAGTATGTTTATTTCTACAAGGTATCAAGGCACTGTATTTAAAAAAGAAAAAAGTAGATGGAAATTCTAGATGAGTATTTTCAAATATCAAATAAGATAATCTATGGTAAATTATTTTGTGAGCATTCAATTATATATCCATTTTTAATTAAAATAAATCTTATAATATTTGCTATACATTCCAATTGCCTTTCATGATAGCAGATTGTATATTTACTAGTCTTCATCCTTGCCCTATGCTTCCAAGAAAAAGGAGGCAGTAGGAAGAAGGAGAAAAGGGAAGAAAAAACATTCTAAAATGAAATATGGCAAAGATTTATGTGGCGGGAAAATTAGTCTGTTCTACATTTTTAATGTCCTATTTCTACATATGTCACCACATCAGAGCTTCCCATAATTGTTTGAACAATCTCGCAGTAGACTAAACAATTCAAATATATTGTTACTTTCATAACTATTAAGTGTTTATAAGACTTCTCCAAATTAACAATTGACAAAATATATTTCAGAACTATGCTTTTCGTTAATGAATATACTGGAAGCTGTGAAAATGAATTTCTTTCAGGTTATCAGTCTTGCTCAGTACTTATTTGTTGCCTGAAAGGGTTTTGACTCTGTCAGTTTCATTTATCTGCACTAACTCTAGAAAGAAGACAAACACACATATATAACTCAATATCTCAATGTTTCCCTCAAATTACTTTCAGTGTGACTTTATTTCCTTTAGGGACTTTTTCTTTTCCCACTCTGAAATAGTTAGGCTGGCCACCTAACACTTTGATCAAATAAAAATTCTAAGCTTTTAAAATTCTCATACTCCACAAAAGTTCTATTATAGTCAGAAAACTTTGCTTCTTATCCTAGCTCTACCAGTTTCTAATTGTGTGGTCTTGGGCATGTTGTTAAACTTGGCCTTTGCTCTCTGAAATACAGTTCCTATAGTCTTAGAATTTCTAGAACATATAATTTTTAAGTGCTTTTCATTAAAAAATGTTCTGACTTATAAATTACAGTGCTTCATGCTCTGAAGCAAGAATCCATCCATTTCAACTTTTTGTCATTATGACAGGGCTTAAAATCCACATTGTGAATGTAGTGGTCATAATTGTGGAATAATTCCTAAGAAAGCACTGAAGGTGTTGGCTAATCTAATTGGTCGGAACAGTTTATTGAGCCTTACACCCATTTACAATATGAGTTGAAATCTATTTTTGCCATTCTGTTTAACAAAGGACTTATTTCAGTATTACAAAAATTATAAAAATCTAAAACTATTGGCACACTTGTCAAATTGCAGTAAAATCAAGTGACTACCACATTGCTGATTATGGAATTACCTTACTTAGAATAAGAAAGTGCCATAACAATATTAATACCTATGCTTTGATAATTAATAACATTTTAAATGCAGATAACCAGGTACCATCGACTAAAAAGTCAGTGTACTTTGAACAATATGAAGTTCAATGAACAGTTTTAAACCACTGAAATGAATAACCACACTTCAGATATGAGTGGATTATAACATGTTGGAAATGTGCTGATCCTAATTGCAGTTAAGGAGGGGAAATGTCCTCGGCTGGAACATCTCACTGAACTTCCACTGTCTCACTGAAGCTATCTACGGGTCATTAAAATCCCAGGTAGAATAAGAAAGAAGGAACAGTGATAGGTCTGCTAAATCCATCAAAATTAGGTGCGCCTGACTCAATTAGATACAATAGGAGAAATCTGGATGGCAAAGAAGTTAAAACATGATTAATACAAGAGTGAAATAATTTTGACACATTTGCTTCCTGTCATTTATGATATTTACACTTAATAAAATATGTTGGATCTCAAGATATAACTTCAAGAGAATCATGAATTTCTCTCCAGATTAGCATACTGCAAAGCTAACAGTGGCCTCCAGATGGATGATGTCACATGGGGTTGGATTCATAGCTCCATGAATTAGGTTCCTTGATAGTCATAGCAAGTGAGTATTGAGCCCTGACACTATGCTAAGGCTCTTTATCCATGATTTCTTTTAACCCTCAAAAATCTCTCTATGAAGTAAGTGCTGTTCAGAAAGTAAATTGTCAGAAGGGAAACAAAGCTGAACTTTTGTCAAAGTTTATGACACTAGCAAGTTGTGGAAACAAGACATCACTGGAAACTTTTTTTCTTTTTGTTACCAATACAGCTGCTTCCTCCTGTATTGATGCTCCTTATTATTGCAAATTTCCAAATAACAAAAATATGGAGGTCCCACAGCCTTCAGGCTTGTTTTCTCCAGGCAAAACCACAGGTAAATCGACTTGAACACCAAATTATTACCATCCCTATGTTCCATCTTTATCACACATGGCTCTCGGGCATGCAATAAAAAAGTTCTATCTGGTACTACTTCTCTAACTGAAAACCCAGGTACCTTTCTGCTTTGGTTCCCTGCACCTATCCAGTTAAGAACACTTATAGACACGTTTTAACATTAAAATGTAGATAAAATGAAACCTTTGTCTACAATAATTTCTTCTCAGCATAAGATGAAAATAACTGTTAGCTTGCTTAGATTGAAGCTCCCTGACACAGTAGGGCCTGTAGACTGACCAGACACCATTTGCAAGATTTCCATGGCAGAGGAGGTGCTATGTCATGAATTAGCTTGAAAGTCATTTTTATTTTGGAGGTCATTTCAGTTAGGTATTTAAGGATAAGAAACAGAATATATATTTTTTAAATTGTAAGTATATTGAAATTATGATTTCTGACCTGGATCTGTTGCTGGAGCAAATTGATTTTGTGTTGTTGCTGTAGAAGCTGCTGCTGCTGTCTTGCAATCTGTGAAGAAATTGCACATGAGAAATTTACAAGTATATTGTAGTCCCGGAGGGAAGTTACTAATGTTCTGTTTCTCAAAGTTTGATTTGACACTGA
Organism: Homo sapiens; assembly: GCF_000001405.40. Taxonomy (NCBI): domain Eukaryota; kingdom Metazoa; phylum Chordata; class Mammalia; order Primates; family Hominidae; genus Homo; species Homo sapiens. The sequence goes on from NC_000012.12 coordinate 23,734,849, forward strand.
TTAAGATGATGAAAATAGACGTGTCTGTGCTCCTAAATTATCAGCAATTCATCCTAAATAAGATCAAGGAAGATATTTAGTCTTTAGGAACAGTTATGTTTCTTTTGGCCTAAAACAAATGAAGCCTAAGATACCACGGCAGTGATCAATCCCAGAAAGAAATGTCTGTTTTTCGAACATCCCTCTTCCTAGTGATATATTAAGAAGGCGCTGCTTCTGACATTTTCAGCCCTTTTCTATAACAGAGTGTTTCACAAATGGAGAAGGGGAGGTTTAAGACTGAGGAGTTCAGAGTAGCACAAAGTATTGCAAGACACTGTATTTATTAGTAAAGTTTTTGGTATTTTTTTTGTTTTTAGGTAAGTAATTTTCTCATTACTGCCTCTCACAAGCCCCTTACCACCAACTCAGTGCATGCTATTGTGGTTTCTGTTTCCATTTTTTTTTACCAAAATGATTCTTAAGAAGGTTGCCAATCACATGCATTATTTTAAAATTCTGAAGTGTTTTTCAGTTGTCGTCTTTTGACCTCTCATCAGAATTCAACACTCAAATGTTTTCCCCGATCATGAACTTTCTCTGTTGGCTTCTGTGACATCATCATACTTCCCTGGTTTCATTTCTGCCTCTCATGTTCTTCTCCTTCTTAGTCACCTTTAATGGCTCTTTCCAGCCATTAAATGTTGTAATTCTCTGAGGCTCAATTTTAGACTTTGTTCTTTTCCTTCATACTTACTTCCATATGTAAGCCAAGTGCTTCTAAATGTGCTTCTCTAGCCTAGAACTTTGTTTTAAGCATCAGGTCCATTTATTGAGAAACTTATTCAAAGGAACCTCAAGTTCAACAAGTCCCAAACTAAATTTGAGATTTAGCCTCCCATATAGTCATCTTAAGTATTTCCTAACTTAGGAAACAGCACAATCACTTACCACTCTCACTGTTATTTGTGTTTACTTCTACATTTACTTCTACATTTACCTTCTACATTTACTTAATATTATGCCCATGCTGTGACTTTATATTTGTTTATTTATTTGCTAGTAACATCTTTCTGTCTCCTAGGGAGAAGTCCATAAATTCAGTGAGGGTGGAGGCCATGTATATTTTACTCACTGTTCTCAGGAAGTCCGTTACAAAAGCAATGCTGAATGGATATCTAATAAGAGTGCATGAATAGATGAGATGAAAACTGTAAACATTTCATCACATGGGATAGGATATAACTTCTAACATCCTGAAACTTATCACTCTCTTATAAATAAGTTCTAGATCTCATTCTCATCAAGTAATAGTCACTAACATTTTTATTAAAAAAAAAAAAAAATCTCTTGGCCGGGTGTGGTGGCTCACGCCTGTAATCTCAGCATTTCGGGAGGCTGAGGTGGGTGGATCACGAGGTCAGGAGATCAAGACCATCCTGGCTAACAGGGTGAAACCCCATCTCTACTAAAAATACAAAAAAATTAGCCAGGCGTGGTGGCGGGCGCCTGTAGTCCCAGCTACTTGGGAGGCTGAGGCAGGAGAATGTCGTGAACCTGGGAAGTGGAGCTTGCAGTGAGCCAAGATCGCTCCACTGCACTCCAGCCTGGGTGACAGAGCGAGACTCCGTCTCAGAAATAATAAAAAAAAAAATCTCTTAACCTCTATACCTGAAAGTCAAAAATTCAGGAAAAAATTCACACATCACCATAAACAAAAGAACCCATGTGATGAGGATGGATGTACCTGGCTGCGCAAAAAAATTTATTTCCCTATGGATGATGGTTTAATTATAATTATTTTAATGCTTTAATTTTATCTTTGGAATATGGTAAAAAAAAAACACATTTTGTTCTTTCTCTTTTTTTTTTTTTTTTTGAGACAGAGTTTTGCTCTTTGTTGCCCAGGCTGCAGTGCAATGGCGCGATCTCAGCTTACTGCAACCACCGCCTCCTGAGTTCAAATGATTCATCTGCCTCAGCCTCCCGAGTAGCTGAGATTACAGGCATGCACCACCATGCCTGATTAATTTTTTTATATTTTTACTAGAGACACGGTTTCACCATGTTGGCTAGGCTGGTCTTGAACTCCTGACCTCGGGTGATCCACTTGCCTCAGCCTCCTAAAGTGCTGGGATTACAGGCGTGAGCCACAGTGCCCGACCTACGATTTTTTTTTTTTCTGAAGAAAGTGGTAAAAGAGAGAGTAGAAGGAAGATTACCTTTTTCATTAAGTCTAGTTCCTTCCTCCCACATAGCAATATTTCAAATGCTATTTAAATCCTTTTAACAGAACTTTAAGAATACTTCAGAACCTGACCACTTCAACCTCCCACGTACTTTCTCCCGTTCACCGTGTCTCTCATCTGGATTGTTGTAATGGCCTCCATTTGCTCCATTTTGCTCCTGCTCCCTATAGTTGATCACAGACCAGCACCCTGAGAGTACTTTTTAAAATATGAGTCCACTTTCAGAGACTGAGGTGGGCAGATCGCAAGGTCAGGAGTTCGAGACCAGCCTGGCCAACATAGTGAAACCCCGTCTCTACTAAAAATACAAAAAATTAGCCAGGCATGGTGGTGGGCACCTGTAATCCCAGCTACTTGGGAGGCTGAGGCAGGAGAATCTCTTGAATCTGGGAGGTGGAGGTTGCAGTGAGCCAAGATCACGCCATTGCACTCCAGCCCAGGTGACAATGCGAGACTCCATCTCAAACATATACATATATATATGTATAGTCATGCTAGTCATCTTTTCAAAACACTTCTCTCTCACTCAGCAAAAAGCCGGTGTACATATAATGCCTGCAAGGCCCTATATGATTTGGTCTCCTGCTACCTCTCTGATTTCATCTCATCCCCTATCACCTCATGCCTGCCACACTGCATTCCTAACTGCCTCTTGTACACACCAAGGATGCTCCTGCCTCCCAAGGATATTCCTGCTTCTGGGCCTTTGCACTTACTTTTCCCTCTTTCTGGAATACTCTGCCTAGACAGCCCCATGGCTCACTCCTACACTTCCTACAGGTTTCTGCTCAAATGTTCTCAGTCAAAAATGTCTTCCCTGAGCACCCATTTTAAAAGAACATATTCCCATAGATAATACCCTCATCTCCAATGCCCTGCATAAGTTTTCAACATAATACTTAGCAACGTACAGTTTACTGGTTTACTTATTGTCTATCCTTCCCAACTAGATTTCAGTACACAAGGGATTTTTGTCTGTTTTATTTCCCCACTCTGCTCCCACTAACTAGAACAAAACCTGGCATCAAATTGGTGGTCAATGAATATTTATCTAATAGATGAATGTGGAATGGAGCTCAGAATCTGGGGGAAAGGCTCATCAGTAAACAGGTCCTTTAGCTTTTGTAACAGCTATACCAGAAGTATTAGAATACATAGAATGGGGACATTCTACACTCAGTAGGGAGTGCTGGGAGGAGTGTCAGAAAAAGACTACAGGAGAAGACGAACCTGCCCTGACCCTTAAATAATAAGTATTAAATGTCTTTCATGAAAAGATCTGCCACCACAGAGTGGTAACTGTGCATGCCTGCCATGTATGGTAGAGAAGCGCTGGGAGAGCTGAATGGGCTCTAGAAACATGACCTGTAGCTATCACCAGGGATCTTCTCTCAGGCTGTGGAGGCAGCACTGCAGGACATCTCTCCAATACAGGAGAGAAATTCTTGAAGAACTTAGGGGTTTGTAAAGTTCCAAGGAGAATGTCAGAGGTCTTGGGAAAGTATTAGAATCAAAGGATTCTAGAATCCTTTTATAATATTCAGGGATGGGCTAGAATGTGAAAGAGATAAGAAAGAAGCTTCCTCTCCATCAGTCATTGCTTAGATCTTTCAGGACATGTGTGCCCTCAGACCCACCAAAGCAAATAGGGGTTATCTACAAAAAATATCCCCAGCCAAGCTACATTTTCTGAAGCTCCTAGGATTCTCCAGAATTCAGTTGACTGAAAGATTGAGAGTTAAGGACAAGAAAAGAGTGGTGTTGTTTTATACTGTTACAGGCAAGCATTCTGAACTCTTTTATCATGGGGATAAAGCAAGAGGCATATGGGCCATACCCAAAAAAAAGCCAAATATATCTTTAATGAAAGTGATTAGGCATTTCATTAAAAATAAAACGAACATCTTTTAAGCAGACATCAACCACCAAGTAGAGAAGAGTACAATGGAAATAAGGGGGTGGAAAAAAGGAGCTCCTCAAACATAAACTGAGTATTTCTTCATGCCATTCAACCCTGCTAGCTTACACTTTGAAAGATGTTTAGAAGGTTTTACAGGGATGTGTAGACACACGAATATTAAATAGTGGCCATCCTCCACCTGGGATGGTGAATGGACTATGCCCAGAACATGGAAGAGGAAAAGGACTTAGCCATGAAAAAGAGGGCCATACTTATCTGTAAGCTGAAACTATATCACCTCCCCTCTATCTTACGTTGTATTTACTACCAATTTTTTTTAACTAATAGTTCATAGGCATTGCCTCCATTTTCCTACTATGTATATTCCAGTTTTTATTGTCTGATTTCGGCTACTAAAACACCATAGAAGCCTTACTCTTCAAGGCCAACAATGAGAATCTAAATGAAAAATCTAGTAGTTTCAATTTGATATTAGAACGATTACTTTTCTATAGCATTTAACACTGTTCCCCAAGACCTCTTAAAATCTCCGTTTTGTTTCCTATGACATTGCACTCCTGGCCCCACTTCCATATCTGATTCTTTCTGCATATGTTCATTTTCCTTTCTCTGCCAGCTATATAAGCCAGTATCTCCCAAAGATCTACCCTTAGTTCCTTTCTGCTTTCTTGTAATATTACCACTGTAAATTAAGGCCTATAAGCCTGCCACATCTCTGCATAAAACACTCCTATCCCCGATATTAACATGGCTGCCTTTTGTATGTCATTTAGATCCCAGCTCAACTGCCAAAGCTTTAGAAAGATCTAGCTGCCCAATCTAAGGAGCATTGCCTTGTCATAGCAATCAACATTTATCTTATTATCCTGTTTATATTTTTTCAAATTATTTATCACTATATAATATCATTTTGTTATCTGCTCCTTTATCTGTCTCTTTCTTTCCACTAATATTTAAGGGCTTTGTCTCTCTGGTTAATTGAGATAGCCTCAATAATTAGTTAGTACAGTGCCCGGCACATAAGAAGCACTAGATTACTATTAGTCAAATAAATGAATGAATGTTATCTCCTCCAGTAGAGTTTAAACCACCATTTCTCTGTAAATAACCTAAGAAACACCTGAGCTCTCTTCCAAAATGCTGACTGGTGTTTCCAGCTGTCTCTCACATACCTCCAACTGGACAACTTGACAGGAACTGTAATTCAACATCATAAAACTACTTTCTTTTCCAAACTTGCTCTTCTGACTTTCTCTGTTTCTGGTGATGGCATTCTCAATCTCCCTATTACTAGGCTCAACTCTTTTCCTTTCCCTTTTGCCTACTCAAAGAATTCTACTAACCATAACTCTTCCACCTGTTTATTCCTTTCATCTCTTTGTCCACGGTCATTACCCTGACTAATTTAGATTCTCACTCTTTTTAATTTAAAGTATTATAATGGCCTTGTAACTGAACTTCCTGCCCCCAGCTGGAAACTCACTTTACTTGTTGAAGCCCACAATTTCTTCAAAGCATATCTCAAATGTCAGCTCTCTAATGAATTCTTTCAAAATGCTTCTTGTTGAAAATGTTCTCTTGACTCTCCATGGTTCTTTTTTGGTATTTTTCTCATGATTTATCAGAATTAACCTTGATTATAATCACTTCTACACTACTTACCACCAAAGTAGTTAATAAGCATCTTAAAATCCGGGTTTTGTCTGTGGGTGGGTTTTTGTTTTGTTTTGCTTTTTTGGCCTTTGAATTTATTTAACTGGGGAGGTGGAAGGGACTCTTATTCATTGTTGTGTGCCTAGGACAGTGACCTATAAGTAGCAGGCAAAGTAATGTCTGAGGAATATGACTGCATCGCTAGTTCTTACTCACTTGTTCTTGTTGCTGCTTGGCCAGCTCCATTTGCTGACGCTGTTTCTCAATCTGAGAGGCAGCTAGTTTCTTCTGCTCATCGTGGGCAGCCAACAGCTGCTCTCGGAGGCTGGTCAGCTGGTTGATCATACCCATGAGTTGCCTTTCTTTCTCAGCTAAGCTCTCGGGAGTCCCTACAAATCATATAGCAATAAAACAGACAAAATAAATGAAAAAAAGTAATTATTTCAATGAAAATGGCTCTGTTGTATACAGAGCCAGTCCAAATATAAAGTTCAATAAACACAAAAGCATTACCTACCTTCTTTTACATTTTCACGCAACAGTAAAAAGTGATGGCAATTTACCTATTACAAAATACCACAATGAACTTGGCTCTCTGGCACAATAGATAGTACATTGGACTTCAAATGAAATTCCATAATGACCAAACATTTTGAATGTTTTTACACTTATGACCAGTAATAATCTATAGTTTTTTTTAACTTTTACTTTATAAGTAAATTTTAAAAATAATGTTGGCTGAACATCTACTGTTTTTAATATTCTATGCTAGGGCCAGCTGGAAATAAAAAGATGTCCCAAGTACAGTTCTTGGCCTTAAGTACTACAGTTTTTCATCTAATTAAGGAGGCAAGACAAAGACACAAAAAACTAATAGCCAGAGTTATTAAGAGGTCAAGGCATTAGTATTAGTGATATGATTCTCCCTTTCTTAAAAAAAAAGTTGAAGATTCAGAATTCTATGTTAAAAGAGAGCAAACATCTATCTAGCCAATCAAGTTTTAGAGCGTATTCCCCATATGCCAATTCAGAGTCTATCTTCGAAAATAAAATACAGTTAACTGAGCAAATATTCAAGTTTGAGAACACAAATATAGCAATTGTGAGATAATGTGGTTGGCAAATTAGCATCACATTATGGTCACGTAAGCTAATACATAAATCCAAAATTTGGAGAAGTCATGGTAATCATTTAAAACACATATTACACTCAAGATATTTAAAACATGCCAATGAATCTTATTAAGTTAAAATTTATATTTAATATAAGAGAAGTATGTGCTGTTCACTGAAAAGGAAACAGTATCTCTTTTAATTGTTCTTTTAGAACTCACAAGATAGACAAGGCCCCTATGATAAAGTACTACCAGTAGGAGAGAACACCCTCTTTAATTACAATTTTCACTTCAAACATAAGACACTAAGCACTGTTTTACTACTGCATTTGCCACCTGTATACATAATTAGATAGAAGGATCTGTTATAACTCAATCACCCTTCTTAACCCCAGTGCATTTCTCCTACCAATTTAGGCTGAAACAGTTTGTTCTATTTTAGGAAGTAGCAGCTATAGTTAGTAGCTTATAATTTTTATATGACCATTTGGAATAGAAAGAAGGGTTCTAACATATTTTACATATAGCATAGAGAAGAAATATTCAGAAAAGAAAATGTGTGAATAAGGCAGTAACCATTTCTTATGCTCTTTCTTATTATCAATGCCTATCCTTATTCAAGGCAGGTAGTCAATAATGTGTTGCTAATAATTTATTATATCTCAGATATTTGGATTCCATCAGAATGAATGAACACTAACTCCATGAATAATAGCCACATGACTATTATATCCTAATATTAAATAATATAAATATATCTTGGGAAGATTTTCTTAATGAAAATATTCATATGCTAGCAAGATAAACATCTTCCTACATTGTTAATAGAGAAGTAAATTTCTACCACATTTCAAGGAATACACACTAGGAATACCAATACACATCATGTCTTAGAATGCGCATAACCTACGAAGGATAATTCTGCTTTTAGAAACCTAGCCCAAGGCTGGGTGCAGGGGCTCATGCCTGTAATTCCAATGTTTTGGGAGGCCCAGAAAGGAGGATCACTTGAGGCCAAGAGTTCGAGACCAGACTGGACAACATAGCAAGACTCCATTTCTACAAAATTATTTTAAAAATTAGCTGAGCATGGTGGTATGCAGCTGTAATCCCAGCTACTTGGTAGGCTGAGGTGGAAGGATCACTTGAGTCCAGGAATTTGAGGTTGCAGTGAGATACACTGCCTAAAAAAAAAAAAATCTAGTCCAAAAATATCATAAGAAATGTGGGTTAATTACTAATTGTTTTAAATGAAATTCTAGAAACAACCTAAATGTCAAATAAGAATAACCAAATAATTATGGGTCATCCATGGTATTTTGTAACCATAAAAAATTATTTTTGAAGAAAATTTAATGACATGGGATCTAGTTTATGATATAAAGCTAGGTTTAAAAGCAGTTGGAGAGAAATGAAACATTTGTATACTCACCTCAATGCATGCACATGTCTATGTTTATAGGAATAAAGACTGAAAGCAAATTTAGCTACATATTAATAGTAGCTATTTCTAAGTGGTGGAATTATAGGTCATTTTAATTTTTTTCTTTTTTCTTTTTTTTGAGATAGAGTCTTGTTCTGTCACCCAGGCTGGAGTACAGTGGCACGATCTCACCTCACTGCAAACTCCGCCTCCTGGGGTCAAGCGATTCTCCTACCTCAGCCTCCTGAGTAGCTGGGATTACAGGCGCATGCCACCATGCCTGGCTAATTTTTTTATATTTTTAGTAGAGACGGGATTTCACCATGCTGGCCAGGCCGGTCTCGAACTCCTGTCCTCGTGATCCTCCCGCCTCAGCCTCTCAAAGTGCTAGGATTCATATTTTTGTATTTAGAAAATTTTTCCACAATGGTTATTATTACATTACTTCCACACTCAGAAAAAACTTATTTCACCTCAACATGCGGAAGTATAAGTTAAAAGCTTAAGCAAATCAGCACATACTCAACACCTACAGTTGGTCCTGCAAAACCCACTTAAGTTAGCCCTCTGCATAGGTGGGTTTCACATTCCGTGAATACTGTATTTTGGATCTGTGTTTGGCTGGGAAAAAAAGTCTGCATATAAGTGGACCTGTGGCATTCTAGCCTGTGCTGTTCAAGGGTCAACTGTATATATTTGGTGATGAGAATTAACAAATATCATTTTGTCATTAAGTATATGAAAGATTAACAAAATTATTTGTTTTCACTTAGTCATAAAGACATAAATAAGATTTCAAATTTAAAACAAAATTTCTAATTTTATAGTCCATACTCAGTTCAAACTTTTTGAACCTTCAGCCCATCTTGCTGCATCTTCAGCATTCTCACATGACTTCCTAGACATGATTTCATTCTATTTCAACTCCTACTTAGCTAACCTTTTCTTCTCAATCTTTTTCACTGACTCCTCTTCTGCCACCCATGAATGCCCATATTCTCCCCAGTCCCATTCTTTACCTTTTCCGTCCTTGAACTAACATGCTTCAAACTCTAAGAACTATATTTCAACAATGCTTTACAGATTTTAACCTCCTGAGTTCTAAAATACATAGTTTCACATTCAATGAAATAATAAGGTACGTGCCAACCCTAAGATTGTCCCCCAGCCCTATTAACCTATTTTTAGATGCAGAATGGGGTATCTCTGAGGGTGTATCTCAGTCATAAAATTCAACATGGATAAAGTGAAACTCACCACTTTCCTGTAATTTTAAAGCATTATTACCAATCAGCATTCTAAAATATTAACTTCTTCAATTTCCTTCTCAACTACCCATCCCTGCATTGATATTAATCAATCACAGTAATTTTTCCTCAAAATAGGTTTGTTTTTCCTTTAATTTTAATGAAAATTATATTTTTCAATATTATTATGTTCATATTAGTAAATAATGATAAAAGTGTATAGTAAAAGATCTCCTCCCAACACTGTCCCTTCAAAGGTAACCACTATTATTATTTTTTTGTGTGTCTTATCCTTGATAACACAGATTTAAGCATATACAATAATATTTCAGTATTAGTTTGCCAGGGCTGCCATAACAAAGTACCACAGACTGGGTGGTTTAAAAGACAGAAATTGCCTTACAGTTCTGGATGCTAGAAGTCTAAGATTAAGTTGTCAACAGGGTTGATCTGTTCCAGGCCTCTTTCCTTGGCTTGCAGATGTCTGTCTTCTCCATATGTGTTCACATCGTCTCGGTCTGTACATACCCATGTCCAAATTTCCTCTTCTTATAAAGATACCAGTCATCTTGGATTAGGACCCACCATAATAAACTCATTTTAATTTAATTCCCTTTGTAAAGATCCTGTCTCCAAATACGTTCATATTCTGAGGTTCTAGGCATTAGGACTTCAGCATATGAATTAGGGTTGGTGGGTAGGGGAAAGTGCGTAGTTCAACCCATAAGAATGCCTTTTACGCAAATGATAACATAACATAAATACTGTTGTACTGACTTAGAGAGAGCACTTTTTCCATCCTGCCTTCTCTATCTTCACTGCCATTTTTGTCATCTTTTTTCATGAATTTTTGTAACAAATTTTTAAAATAGAACTTTTAAAATAGAACTTCCTGTCATCAATTGATCTCTGTACAAATCTATCCTCTAAAACTGGTACCAAAATTACTTTCCTAGATAACAAAGTCATATCATGTCAGAGTCTAGTCCTGTCATTTCCCCTGTTTAAAGACCTCCAATTGCTCCCCATTGGCTTCAGAAAAAACTGTCAAGTCATTATTGCGAATTAACGAGGTCCTTCAAAATATCACCTACTTGTCCCACTTCCTCTGTGCATCCTAAATTCTAGCCACACTGAATGTTCTAACATTATCCCACCACCACCACCACTCTGAGCACTTGCAAATGCCATCCTTAACAAGTGCCTTGCCTGGGCCAGTCTCTCCCTAAACATTCATTCTTCATGCTCCAGCTCATGCATCTTGTTTTTTGTGGCTCTTTTCCTGATTTCCACGGATAACATTTGTTCTCTTCTTTGGGAATCTACACAGCATATGTGTAGATCTTTATTATAGTATTGAATCATTGCATTGTATTATCTTATGTTCACATTTTTCTCCCAAAGTCAGGAGAGGTAGCTGCAATAGCAGCAACTGTAAATGATGGACTTTTCTATCCTCATTATCTACTACAGGTAACGGTAAATAGCATATGTATTGCATATAGAAAATCATCTAACACCGTTTAATGAATGACATAAAGAATACAGCCGCTTCCCTTTAAACCATTCTCAAGTTTAAGCATGCATAGGAATTCTAGTTTTGGCTTAAGAGAGTTGAGCCAAAAAAATAAGCTTTTGCAAAAGAAATCTTCACCATTTTTACAAAAGTACTAAACTGAGATGAAGAAGTCCATCCCACGGCTTCATCTCTAAATTATCACATTCTTCATGATCATCCCCAAGTGCTTAGAGAGAACTTAATAAGTGGTCTGTGAACAGCGGAGAAAGTAGCAAGAGTCACAAGACATCCTTGACTTTAAAAAAGTGGAAGGAATATTAACTAGATCCTTGGAGTACTCCAGAGGCCTCCCAGCAAAAAGGAGCTACTCTTTATTCACCTAGATTCAGGTTTTTAAGAGTCATAACTTATATATGTGTGTGTCTATATAGTGTATAACCCTATGGAGACACAGTCATGTATATATGAACTTGCTCCATCTGAGTCAGATAGCTAATGTCATGAGTTCACTTGTGTGTGACTGATAGTAATTTATTTTCATGTTTCAGTTATTTGCATTCTTGTATGTTTTTAATCTATGCTAGTCCTGTTCCAGTCCCCTTAGAATGAAAGATAACTGAAGTAAGACACAAAAATATTGTTTCAGTCTTCTTCCTGCCTAAAAACTGCAGGCATAGCAGTCATTTATACTTCTGTATTCCATAAAAGCAGCACATGTCAGATGCCTTAATATAATGAGACAAAGTCATGAGGGAAGGGAACCAGCTTCAGTCATCTCCAGCTCAGCAAAAGACATCATGATCTCATATGGTTTGGCTGTGTCCCCACCCAAATCTCATCTTGAATTTAGCTCCCACAATTCCCATGTGCTGTGGGTGGGAGCCGGTGGGAGGTAATTTAATCATGGGGGTGGGTCTTTCCCGTGCTATTCTCGTGATAGTGAATAATTCTCACAAGATTTGATGATTTTATAAAGGGGAGTTTCCCTGCACTAGTTCTCTTCTCTTGTCTGCCGCCATGTTTAGTGCCTTTCACTTTCCTCCATGACTGTGAGGCCTCCACAGCCATGTGGAACTGTAAGTTCATTAAATCTCTTTCTTTTGTAAATTGCCCAGTCTCGGGTATGTCTTTATCAGCAGCGTGAAAACAGACTAATACACCATCCATACATTGCTTAGTCAAAATCCAGGTGTTCATTTTTTGTCTACCTCATCTTCCCTATATAATTCATTGGAAATTGATCAACCCTAGAACATATTATAAATCAGTCTCTGTATCTCATTTCCACTATTACTCCTTAATCCAGGCCACTATCATCTCTTGCCTTTACTACAACAATTGCTTTCTAGTCATTGTCTCTATTTCTACTTGTTTCCTTACTAAAATCCATTCTCCAAACAAACGTTCATAGTTATCTGCTTAGAAAGGTAAATCAAGTCATGCCATATGGCTGTATAAAACTGTTTCAAAGCTTTATTCTGCACATGGAATAAAATGCAAACTCCTACCCTTACAAAGCCCTGAATGGTGTGGCCCTTGCCTTCTTCCCTGACATTATCTCTTCCCGTTTTCTCTTTTGTCAATATGCTTCTATGAGTTCCTCTAATACCAATATGCAAACTTGCTCCCACCACAGGACCTTTGAATGTTAACTTTTACCCTCAGAAGACTCTTCGCCCAGACCCAGGTTTCTCAACCTCAGCGCAGTTGACATTTAGGCCAGACAATTTTCATGGGGAGTGGTCTTGCCTCCATCTTCTAGATGCAGGTGGGACCCTCACTCCTAGTTATAATGCCCCGAAATGCCTCCAGACATTGTCAAATTCCTCCTGGTGGAGCAAAATCTTCCTCTTGAAATGACTGGCTTTTTTCTTTAATTCATTCAGCATGTGTTCACAGGGCAGCTCCCATGTGCCTCATACTGTTTTTAAGTGTTGAGGATACTAAGAGAACAAGCCAGAAAAGAATGCATGCCTTCAGATAGCTTAAATTTAAATGAAAGAGATTAAAAAAAAAAAAAAACGAATACAATCAAATCTATCCAAGGTAATAACTTAAAAGTCCAGCTCCTCGGAGGGCCTTCGCTGACCACTGGAATTATAAAAGCAATCACATCTCACTTTCTATCACATCACCCAATTTTTATACTATAGTAGTTAGCATTATATGTTATATTCTTATTGATATAGTTATTTATTTATTGTATCTCCCAGTAGAGTATAAGCTTTATGGTAATAGGACACTATTATAATTTGTTTTGTTCAACACTGTATTTCCAGTATCTATAGAATAATACCTAACAACATAGTGGATACCTTTATACAGATATATGACCATTTGTTGAGTGAATAAAATAAATAAACTTAAGAACAAAGAAAAGTCCTTGATTAGCTGATAATGTACAATTTTATGCACAGGAATGACCCTCATCAGGGTTGAATTAAAGATGATCTCAAAAACATCGAAATAATAAGAAAAAATACATGAAAATTGCTATTTCCCCAATATTGTTTTACTCCACACAAATGAAATAGATAAATGGCTTGAAATCAAATCATCAAAATCAAAGTAAACCATTGGGAACTATTGTCCAAATAAAGAAAAAGTACAAGTAAACTCACTTTAGAAAAAAATGTCCTAGAAGTTTAGAGCTAAAAATAAACTAATTACGTTTCTTCCCTCAAAAAACTTACCAAAAATTTAATTATTTGTTTCAAAGTGAAAATCTGTGCCAGGGTGGTTTGTTTGTTTTACTATTTGTGTTTGTCAGACTACTAGTGTTACAATTTGAACAAGACTTTACTTAGTTTAATTTTTTTATGGAAATGTCACTTTCAACTGGTATTCCACTTGAAACATCTAAAAATCATTCATTGTATTGCCTTTTAATATTCCGCCTAATGAAGAACTACTACTAGGCTATAAGCTCTAGGAGGGCAGGAATCTGTCTACTAAATACTAATGGTATTTGCTACCATTATATCTCCAGAGCTACCACATGGCAAGACAGATAACAGCCTTTGTTGAATAAACTGAAAATAACATGAATAAAAACTAAGTTAGTCTAAATTTATAATGGAAGCTTCTTTCAGCAGCACTCTTATCCAACAAAAAGAGAAAAGGTAGACCTCCCCTCATCAAAAAGGCTAAATAAAAATGGCACTATTACAGCTCATAAAAGGAGTATTTGTTAGGTTATCCTACATGCAAACATCTATTAATTAGTTCTTTACATTAAGAAAGAATTTAATCAGACTTTGACAAAATTTAGCTACATATTCTTTACTGCAATATAGATACCCGTCAGAAGTTGGAATCAATTAAAATTATGTAAGGAATACTATAGTTCATTACATGACTGAGTATAAATTAATTGACATCTTCTTGTACCCTAATACTATAAGTATTCTTACCTTTTTAAATATGTTTATGATTTCTTTTGACATGATAATGTTGTTGTTTTTGCTTCAGTATCTTAAAAGGTGGGCCTTGGCTTAGATTTAAATATATCTAATGTGGAAAACTTTCCATGTTAAGGGTGACACCATTAGAGTGAATAAAATAATGAACAAGTAGCTATAGTCTTCACCACTGTTGCCCCACGGTAGATGTTTTGTTTCTGGGACATTATGAAAGAGATGTACGCATTATAATTTCTATAGTGAGTGAAAGGGTTATTCTTGTTACCTTTTTAAAAAAGTATTGCTCTATAAAACATATTATTAAAAAATGTTACCTTTTAATGGAGACTGTAATTTTAGGAACTTTTTCCAAAACTATTCCATCTACTTACTTATTGTACTTGAAATATAAAAACCATTATTTTAAAATATCACATTAAATCTGCTGCATTTGGAATGTAGTCAATAATAGTTATCCCAAAACATGGCATTTTTCACTTGTCATTCCTTCCTCAAATATGCACTACATTCCAAACTTTGAGCCAACAGAATATTAGGTAGTCTACAAGGGGCTGGTCAATATGTAAACAGGGAAAAATACAAAACTGAGTGTGTGTGTGTGTGCTAGGGACAGATCTAAGGACGGAGTATCTTGGATGCAAATTATAGAAGTTCTTCATCCAGGTTTGGTAGGTCTAGAAATGTTCTCCAGTTTTAATTCTAGATTCTAGAGATCACCCAGTCAAACTCTGTTGAAGACAGGCTGCTAAGCATTACATAAAAAAACACAGGCCTTAAAGGCAGTGAGAAGTTAAGTTCAAATTTTGACTCTGCCACAACTAGAGTATGTGGTGTCTGATAATTAATTTCTGAGTCTCAATTTTTTCATATGTAAAATCAGAATTAAATAATGTTGTCACAATAATTTTGTAAGAAAGATGTTTACGCAGTGCCTGTAAGAAGATGTTCACTAAGTGGCAGGCAATAAATCATAATCGGCAACTTTTTAAAAATGAGTAGATGAGGAAATAAACCAAAAGTGGTAGCCCAATTTCCACAAGTACTTGGAAGAATCAGTCCACATAACATCAAATCACTGTGGCTACACCATGCTTTCCTAGTAAATTTTAGTACAAAACAGGAAAAGGTTTTAGGTTAATTGCATTACCCAATAGTCTGGAGAGTATTTAAACAAGCTTTGGAATTCATATCTACAAGAAAACAAATAATGTGTTTATAATTATTTTAATTTTAGAATCTTTATGCTTCTCAAACAAGCAATTTTTTTAAATGAATGAATGCATTTTTAAATGAGAAACATGTTGAGGAGAGTATTTTTTCCAATATAAAGCCCAGATTAAATATGTAAGAGTTTAGTATTTGATTAACCTTATGTTTAAAACACACATTATTAAGTACCTTAAAAAGTACAAAGTATATAAAATTTCCTAATTGTCAACTGGACTGTCAATATACAGCTCAATTGAGATACAGTGACCTATCCTTTTCTTCTGATCACTAGCTGTATTTACACACTGGCATGAGGACACCGGCGTCATGAGACGGAGCAAATCACTGGTTTATAGAAAATGTACTCACTCTTTGCTTTTATAGACATTGTCAAACTTATTTTGAAAACTTATATTCTACGCGCCAGCAGTCTTTCTTTAGTTCTTGTGAAATAGTTTTTACAAAAAGTGAAAACATTACTCATAAGCAACTACAGAGGAACTATAAAACAAGCTTAGTTAGATTAAAAACATTAAACATTTACTTTATTTAGAAGTAAATGACTACATGTTGTGTACCTTCCTTGTGGCTGACTCTTGTATTGAACAAATTCCAGATCCAACAGTTCTCTCAGAAAATAATAAACATTTCCAACCCCTTTGTAAAAATGTGCAGATATGCATGTTTTAGGTTAATGTACAAATGTAATAATAACAAGATTACTATTCGTAAACCACATGATTCTTAAATCTTTACTGGATTTTAAAAGAACATGTTTGAAACAACTTTTGAAGTGATATAAACCCTTACATATTGAAATGCTGAATATTAGTTTCCATGTTTTAAATTTATAAAACTTATAGGATCCCTTACTAGATTTTTTACCTGGGATCTGATTCCTATTCTAAGCCTGCTTTTTTCAAATCATCTAATGTTATTTAGACGTAATTATCCCTTTCAAGCCACTGACTGACTCTATACATCTTCTATCTCAAACATTTACATGCCACCTAAAAGATTATCTACTTTCATCCACACACTGAATCTACAGAATCTACATTGCCCATGTCTTTAATTCATGAGCTCTGAAAGGCTATAGTATTGCTGAATGGATTATCTCCTTGAATCCCTTATTGGCAGTTCTAGAAGTGTTTGGTGTTTGCCTTTATAGCCCTTCTTCTAGAATACACAAAATTATAGCCTTGCAAAAGAACCAGTTGTTGAATTACATCAAATGCCCCTGGCACTTTTGCTAAAAACAGATTCAACAGTTTGTGGGCCTGAATTAATGCACCGTGACCAGGGTCAGAAGAATCCATCAGAGATTCTAAGGGGAAACAAACCAGGCTCTAAAAAACTCTTGAAATAAGGCAGGTAGAGAAACTGGTCTAGAATTTTTGTTAAATTCTGGCACTTTTGTTAAAAACAGATTCAACAGTTTGTGGGCCTGAATTAATGCACCGTGACCAGGGTCAGAAGAATCCATCACAGATTCTGAGGGGAAACAAACCAGGCTCTAAAAAACTCTTGAAATAAGGCAGGTAGAGAAACTGGTCTAGAATTTTTGTTAAATTCTAGCACTTTTGTTAAAAACAGATTCAACAGTTTGTGGGCCTGAATTAATGCACCGTGACCAGGGTCAGAAGAATGCATCAGAGATTCTGAGGGGAAATAAACCAGGCTCTAAAAAAACTCTTGAAATAAGGCAGGTAGAGAAACTGGTCTAGAATTTTTTAAAGTGACTTGGCCAGAGAACCTCCCGTACACAGCTCTGCTTTTATCAAGATAAAAACAATTGAGAGTATTTTGCATGCAGATATTTGTGTTATAATTCTACAAATAAACATTAAGTCAGCAAAATACAAATTTTGCAATTACTTTGTTGAAAAACAAATGATCTGCTTAGATTAGTTAAAGCCGACATGGATCCCCAGATACTATCCTCAGGTGAGGTACCAATGCAATGAATGACCTTCGGTGTAATGGAATTTCATGCTAGCTGAAATTGTGTGTGACTATTGGTTGCCAGCCGGAGTAAAGGCATTGTTTCTCCCTCCGCACTCAATAACTATGAGACTCTAAAAGGTATTTCTTCACCTTTCACATTATTGTTACTCAGTGCTTCTGCTATAGATAAGGGCAAAAGAATCTGTAAACTGACCAGTTATACTACATCGCTTATAAGTAAAGAAGAAACAAATACTTCTTTTGGGCAGCTAATCAGTTTATAGCATATATTGACTGTTGTTGGCAGAACTTTTCAGTCAAACTGTTTTGTTCTGCAAAACCAGATCGAGTGTCCTTTTTACATGTTTGCTAGAGGATTGTTTCTAATGTAACTTTAAAACCTAATTCACATTTCCAAAGTACCAGAGCATAAAATGGCATGAATTCTAACAGGTAAAATAATCCAACATGAAAAATAACTTTATGCTCTTAGAAGTAGGTGACCTTTACTAACTCACATTGTTTCTTGAAAAATGAGATTGACTTTAAGTGGGCATGACAACCATTAATTGATAGCTAAACTCTCCAAATCAAATGCTATTCATTTTTCCTATTTTAAAAAGTCTATCATTTTTTACTTTTTGAATATTAATAGTAAGAAACACTTCTCTAAACCCTTCCAAGCTATGATTGTAATATTTGTCCAAATGCTCTGAAACTAATTCACTGATAGGAATTTAAAACAGCACTTAAAAACAGAGCTCACTTCTCACTTGGCTATAGTATGAAATATTCAGAAAAGGGAAAAGGGCACACACACACGCACACACTTATTCACTCACACATCTCCTGGAACTAATTAAAAATTAAATGCAAACTGGCTAATATAAATGGAGGAGAAAAGTTTCCATGCACACCAAGACTCTGTGAATACTGTAAAGGCTGGAAACATCCTAACATATGCAAAGGTTCTATTTAAATACATTATTTTAAATTAACCTTCATAAATAACAATTCAATACATTCATATTTTCAGATTTTAAAAAAAAGATTACTTATTGTTCCCTCCCTCAACTAAACAAGTATACGAGAGCATAAGACTTACATCTTTATTTGCCTCAAAAAATAACTTCCCAAACAACTACGCCACTGTTCTTGTCTAACTTCTGAAGCGGCAGGAAAACTACATTCCTGGGCCCTACATAATCTTTGTGCCTGACCCCAACAAGAACCTTTAAATCAAATTCACTTACCCCCAGAGGGCAACACACTATTGTATCCTCTCCACTTTCTAGCCACCTATGAACAATGGATAGTAATTGCAACTGTCATGGGCAGTCAGTAGGAAAAGTAACCCAGTGCTGTTTTCTAGGTTTACTGCCAAACCTGAGTTGAACACCTAATAACCATGCCCTGAACAGAAGAAAGACCTACAGTTGCTTTTAAAATGCATCAGAAAACAGTGTTTTGAACAGAACCAGAGGACAATAACCTAACTTATACTCTGAATGTGAAGCTTAAAAAACTCAAAATTAAAGACAGAAACTTCTTTTGTGATTGTACTGTAGCTTCCTAAACTAACCCCCAAGGCAAGCCTGAAAGGGACAGCTGAGCTTTCCTCTAAGCTTGTCATCACTGCTGTTGCTGCTTTTAAGTTTGACTTGTGAAGGAAAACGAGGGAGGGGAAAAAACGTTTGTCCTCCATTGGAATGAGATCAGAAGGCTTGGAAAAGGCAGTCTTCGCTGCTCTACTCTGAGTTATTACCTAGGTCAGAGGAGAATAAAAAACCTTGGAGAATGCATCTTATGCCTCAGGGGTAAATGGGTTAAAATCCATCAAAATAATATCAAGGACCTGCCGCCTCTGAAGATGAAAACTTCTCAGTTCTCCTTAAACTTTCTCTTCAAGCTCTTTAAGGCATATTGATTCTCATTCATTTGAATTTGATTCCATTGTAGATTTTGGTTACTGAATTTGTTGATTAGCACCAATTCATTTTCTCATCACCCTTTCACAAGTAATCATAGCCTAAATACATGTAATTCCAAATGATCTGCATGGAAAGTGAAATATTCAGCCAAACATTTTCCGGAAGTTTTTAGATATCCAGATGTTCATGTCATGTAGGCCAAACATTTAAGACTGATGCTTTGCCTTTCTCCAGGATACACTGATGGAGTAAAGCCTTAAGAGAGAAAATTGCTTCTGTCATTGGGAAAACACTTGCACGGACACACATATGCAAAAAAGTTATTTATACACCTATTTCTACATGTATAATAATATAAATCTAGTGATGTCTTAAATGTATATTCAGCCTCTACCAAAAATGTACACAGTAATATATAACTAAATATTTTATACGGATGACTAAGTATCTTGATTTTCTTAAAATCCTACTGTAGAACTCAGAATCTTAAGTGTCCTACTAGCAACAAATAGAAAACTATCATAGATTGCCTACTGTGTTTTGAGAAAACATACTTTTAAATTAATTGAAAGGATAATTTGCTTTTATCTTATATGAGGAAATTAAATCTTCTCCCCTTGTTATTAGTAGGAGTTTATTAAGATATGAATAGTTTTATAGAACTTTTCTTAGCTGGATGTAATTGCTGATTCAAATAAAACCAAAACAAATTGTTACCTTGACTGGTACAAAACAACCTTTTATTATGCTCTCCCCTTTCATCATTTCTGGTTTTAAATTTAGGTTCTACACACCCATATTTCTTATATGTACAATGTACAAAATCTTATAAAATACAGTTTTTAACCTTGCTATAGGTACATTCTTACTTATAAAATAATTTAATTTTTGAAAATAATTTAATTTAATTTTAATGATGAAAATCAGAGCCTGTTAGAGGTATAGTGGGGTGATTCTGTTGAAAACAACATATCATTTATTCCATAAGGCACAAACAAAGAAAGAATATAAGAACCCTGCTACATCCTCCTTCAAGATAGAAAGAAGAAACCCTAAACACAGAGAATGCAAGAAGCAGAAGAGGTGAGGGCAGAAATACTTTATCACCATTACTATTTCTGAATATCAACTTCATTTTGGTACATTTTGGATAAAAACAATCACACCATATTACCTTTTATTTCGCCAAAGTTCCCCGATCCCATTGCAAGAAGCTTGTCTTTCCAGTCCTTTGAGAGTAGTTTTTCAATACTGGGGGTTTCTAAGTAAAGAAAAAAAGAAGTGAGCAAATCAACATGACTCTCCTTACAATGGAGCTCATTAAAAGTCTATCTGCTAAAAATAAGGCCATCCCTATCCCAGCCCCACTTCATAATGGCTTCATCAAAAAACTGATAACAGGGGTGGAAAAAAAGAATGTGTCCTGTCACCTGCTGTTTCAAAATCATTAGCTTTTTCCTCTTGCGGAACAAAGCCATACTGATTCTTTATGACAATGGGTACACATAAACCTTGCGGTTCATTGTTTTTCAATTTAGTGAACAAATTCTTGCTATAATGGATGCTTGTCAATTTCAGGGTGTTAGTCTGCAGTCAAAAAATAATTATGTTGATAAAATGCGGAGTAAAAAAAGGCAAAGAATTAGCTCTTAAATCTGCTACATGTAATTATATCCCTCTGTGTGTTTACAATTACATCCACTTTATAATATGTGTTTAACATCGTGTGGCGGTAAGCACACTGTGGTAAGATTTGCCAGTACTGCGAACATAAAAAAAAACAAAAAAAAAATTGGTATAAAAGAAGCCTTAAAAAGATTGGAAAATCTAGAGAAGTGAGGAATGCTGCCTATAATGGAAACCTATTATTTGCTTATTTCAGATTTGTATCACACTCTTTTAAAATGCCCTGTATTCAGACAGGGCACACACATTTTAGAAAGCAAGGTGCTGCTTTAGTCTGGTATTTGTTTCTACATATAACATAGGTTTTGACCTTTCCTTTTGTGTTGAACTTTAATGTATAAGTAAATATAAATGCCAATAAAAACTCCCAAACATTAAACTCAGTTTCAAACAATATAATTGTATATTCTTGTCAGCACTTAGATGGATACACAATTACAATGGCTTTCAATCCCGTGATTAGCGCAGCATTCACTTAGAAGATGGAATGTACTAAAAGATAAGTGTCCCAGTATGCTCCATCTAAATAACAATACCCACACTTATTATATAGATCAAGGACATACACTGCCATTCTCCACATTGGTGTTTATGTGTATGTGTGTTTGTTCAGGCATTTGTTTACTCCCTACTAGGAGCATAAAGGGAGTACATGTTAACTTATCAAAGGGACCGTCTGGCCTAGAGACCGTAATATTATTAGAAACTGGTTAATTTTCCCCACAGTAAGATGCATTTTAGAGAGTTTTCATCATCACGTTTAGTTAATGCTGTCTACTTTTTCCAGGGCCCCATCTTTACAGCGATCAGCTAGCAGAGTCAAAAAGCCTGTGTGGAGTTTTCAACAAAGCAGAGGTGCAATTTTCCTTGGAAAAAAAAAGTAACAATATGGAACACTTCTGTCTCACATGTCAGAAACTTGTGGAAAATAAAATGGTGAAAAGCTCTGAATGATTACTCTTTTACATAGTCTATATGTATACATATATACATATATGCAAATATGTATATGCCCTTACAACAACTTCATAAATGCACATTTACCTACGGAATGAATTTGAAATGAATGAATGCAGTTGAAATGAATGAATGAAAAATGGATTTTTTCCCTCAGAACAAAATACATAGCTCTATTTTTCACATTTAAGGAACTAATACCGAAAAATTTACTTTTAAGTTTTCTTAAAATATCCCAATTTCTATATGGTATTGGTTCAGAATATTAACAGCAACTCTAGGAGTCATAAAACAGAGTAAATATCTTCATATTATAACCAGCATTTCTCTTCATTGACGCTTTAAAAGTAACTTTGAAATACTTCCACAAGGACTTCCAACATTTCTACATTCCCAGTAAACAGTTTGAGAGTAAAATTATTTCTTAAACCTTATCAGAGTAGGTCAAACAAACACCACTGTCTCTTTTTTCCAGCACTCTACAAAAATTCTTGAGTAGCATGTAAACAGGGCACAGCCAATACGGTATTTGCAATAGAGTACTGTCAGTCATTAAAAGCTAACAAACCTTTGCAAAGCAGGAATGCAGCAATAGAAATCCATTGTGCACTAACAATAGGCCCCTGAACCTCCAGGCACCAAAAGCAGACCATTTTACTTTTAAGGCTATTGTCTGCAAAGTCCATGACAAAGCTTTTCCCCTGCAGCTAGACAAAATATTCACTGTAGTGTGCTCATAAAGAAACAGAAGTCTTCTGTCTAAGTTGCAGAGTTAAAGAAACAGCAGCCAGATTTCTGAAACCTGCAGAACATTCCAGGCCTCTTTATTAACTAGCATAAAGATATAAGGCTGGTAAACAGAGCCAGTTTGTTCAAGTACTTGACTTTTAAGCACACACTACAAAAAAAAAAAAAAAAAAAAAAAAAAAGAATAACTTCTTTAAGACTAAGTTATTTTGAAAATGTAAAATCAGAAACATATCTAAATCACGGTTGTCATGTCTGTGGATGAATAAAGACACTCATACTTACAACTTAGATGAGGTATATACTTTAAATTCAGATTCAAATACATTTATTTAGCAGCCTATGTGCCAGAAACTATGCTAGAGGTTTTTATCTGTATTCTCTCATTTAATGGTAATAACCAAATGAAGACTTAGATCATGTAACATCCATGTTACGGGTTTAAAGAGATGAAGCAGCACCAGCAAAAAGAAAAAAGAGAATTGCTCTGAGGTTCCACAAAATGTAATGGGCAGAATTGAGGTCTTGAACTAAGTTTTTTTTTTTTTTCCTACACATTCCTAACTCTCTTATCAACAACAAAATGATAATAATAGCTACTATTTAGAGGGCTAAGGGCTAAGCAAGGTACCAGGTCCTTCACATGTGGTATCTCAGACTGCTCACAGTAATCTGCTGAATTAGATATTGGTACATCTGTTTTACCATTTAAGAAACCAAAACTTAGGAAGTTATCATGACTTGCCCAATGTGGAGCTAAATTCTACCTATTGGATCCCAAAATCTTTGTTCTTTGCAGCACATACATTGCTGTGGTTTGAATGGGTCCGCCCAAAAGCATGTGTTGAAAATTTAACCCCTAATCCAAAAGTGTTGGGAGGTGAGGCCTAATGGAAGGTATTTAGGTCATAAGGGCTCCACCCACATGAATGGATTAAGGCTGATTATAGAAAGGCTTCAGGGTACAAGTTCCATCTGTCTCTCGTGTGTGCACTCCCTTATTCTTCTGCTTTCCACCATGGGACGATGCAGCAAGAAGGCCCTCACCAGATGCTAGCACCTTGAGGTTGGACTTCTCAGTCTCCAGAACTGTGAGAAATAAATTTATTTTCTTTATAAATCATTCAGTCTGTGTTATTCTGTTATGGCAACACAAAACACACACACACACACACAGACACACACACACACACACACACACACACACACACACTGTCCCTCATTTAATCTACAAAACAGTTCTGGATCGTAGGAAAAATGATTCTTACTAACTCCCTTGGATAGATGAAGTAAAAACTTGATAAATGTTCTAGGGTAACACATATGTATGAGCAGCAACTGTGGAATTAAAAGGTAGGCTTTTTTACAGTTTTTGTTTTCAGGGTGTGGTCCAATTATATGCCTTGCACTCTAGGATTCTGGATAATTTAGTGACAACCTATAAGTATATAGCAGAGATATACAATGAAATTAATTTTACTTATATAGTAGAAGGAATATTGGGCTATAATTCAAACAACCTGGGTTCTCTCCAAGACAGTGACACTGGCTAGATTGGCCTGTGGGGGTGACGAGGGAAGGGGATCATAAGACATCATTTCACCCACTTCACCCCTCTCTCTGAATTTATGTAAAGCAAAGAGCTTCAAAAAAATCCACATTCAATACTCTACTAACTGCTAGTTTCCACTGGTAGTTCTTGAAATAACAGTAAGAAATAATCTCATAATAATGAGCACAATGAATGGACATGTAGCAGTGATTAAATTTCTCTGAAAATGGTAAAGATATGGTAGAAAATGCATGTTTCAAAATGTAAAGGACCAAATGGCAGAAGCCCAATATTTACAATACACCTGTTTGTTAACGTGTGAATATGAGTAAAGTGAAATTTGACACAATTATGTAAGTGTAAGTGCTGCTTCACTGCTTATGAAGTGAATACAGTAATTATCTATTAAATATTTAATTTTCTAAAATAAGATTTTAAAAATGCACAAGCATAGAATCGTATTTTGTACTATGAATATGGTATGTGGGGTGCCCAGTTATTTGCAAATGTTCAAATTCTGGAGTTTCCTTTAATTTTTTTTAAATTTTTGTGCGTACCCAGTAGATGTATGTATTTATGAGTTTCTTCTATTTTCATTTTAAGATGTGTCATGTTTTTCACTTAACTCTAAAAGAGTCTCCTGAAAATTCCTCCTCCTGAGAGTTCATTCTCCCAAGTACTGGAATATCATGATTACCTTCAAAGTAAGAACTAGGGCTCCCTAGATTAAAAATAAGTGTGAGTTAATAATCATTATTTGCATAGCATTTCCATTTACAGAATGCTGCCAGATACAATTTTGTCAGTGGCATATATAATTGTTATATCCATTTTGCAGATGAGGAAACTAAGGCTCAGAAAGATGCTTTGCCCAACATCAGCTCATCAGTAAGTAGAACAGATGGAATACAAAACCAGGTTCTCTTAATTTCAGGATCTGTCTCTTTAGGGGAAAGGTAAATGCTTATATTTTAAAAAAGAACATAAAGTTAGGAAATAGGACGGATATAAGACAAATTCAAAATAAAATATACCCTTCATCATCAACACACTAATATTAAGATGAGTCTAATTGGCTCGCTATTGTTTCTTTCTGCCAACAGGACCCTTCTGATACATTTGCTTGCTTTTCCCTTCTCACTCTTGCCTCTTTTGCTCACATATGCTTCTTCACATCAATGCCTATGGCAATCCCCACCAGTGAATGGCCCCCCCCAACTGTGCCAGCCATTGTTACAACAGCATCCTGCCTCTTTAGGGCCTGCTCATTCCCTATAACTCTCACTCCTTTTTCCCTTCAGTGCCAAACACTCTTAAGACCGACTCCCTCATCTGGAACAATGAGACCTAGAGACTCATGCCAACATATTGTAATTCTCCAACAAGCTGCCAGTGCCAAGAATTAAACCACATTTGCTCCAGTGCAGTAGCTTTACACACAAGCTCAGGTATTTGCTTTGTGTTTATGTAGGTTTTTTTCCTTAATCTCCCTTCAGCTGCTGTGGCAGAGCTCATTGAAAAATCGAACAAACAAAAAGTACGCTATGTATGATATTTGACTTTTAAACAAAGTCACAGGAGTTAGGTTATACCAAACCTATCACTGTTGATACTTTAATTTTGCAGCTTAAACTAAGCTGTTTTATTCTTGACATGTGATAGTGTACACATTGAGGAATGGAAGTTGTCTTCTGGAGGTAACTAGATTTCAAAATATACCAATATCTCCTTCAAAGTAAGAAAGTAAAAGCACATGTAGACTATTCATGCCATAAAATAAGAATTATAGAGCTGAAAAGGTCTTTATATATCATTTAGATAAGCACTTCATAAAAGCAATTGAGGAAAACATATATCTGACATAAATGGAACATAAATGGTTTGGCTACTTAAAACTAAAACAACACACGCATTCGATTGTCATGCAAATCTAATTAACACTAAACAAATTTATATTTCCTCTCTACAAGATTTAGATCATTTTAGGTACTAACAGGTTGGTAATTTTTAAACTAGTTACAGATTATGTAGTATTTTTAAAATATTTGACCAAGGAAATTAGTGTTGGGAGATGACCGTGTGTATGGCTCAATACGATTTGGGTAATAACTGGTTTAGACCAAACTTTTCATTTTACAGACTAAAAAAGTACCAATTAGAGATGCTAAATAACTTGCCTAATATCACAAACCTATATAAAGGCAGAACTTGCAGTCCAATTTCCAGTTCAGTGTTCTTAACAGTATATCACATACTACCACAAAGTTTTTTAAATAGACGGCCAAACTCTTGAAAAATGAAATTGTAGTTCTATTTTATTCACTTTGTCTAGCTTAAATTAGTAATTATTTGATAGGTGGTACTGTGGGCTAGTCTGTTTTAGAACTAAGTATTATTAACTCGATAATCTGTTTAAATTAGGTACTGTTAACTTGATGTTCTACTCTTGGAAGCTTTCATCTGGTAGCACCATGAAACTGAAGAATAAATACAAGTTAGTGCATTTATTTAACCGAATTTATTTTTCTTCAAAAGGCTAATTACACTTTAATATGTTGCTATTTATTAAGTTATGTATAATAAAATTATTTTTGAGGGGAAGATTGAGCTAAATCTGGAAATCATATATCAGTAAGAGTTCAATTCATGTTGACAATAGCTGCATATCTACACAATATTAGGGAGCAAATATTAAACAGCACAGTTTAAGTAATATTGACCTTTACATATCTGGAAAGCTATTTGTACACTAAAAACCAGAAGGCCCCTTAACAGTCCCCTTAGTCAAGTATTACAGCTAGTCGGCCACTGGACATACCAAGTTCTTCTAGGAAATATCAAAAAATAACCTGGGCACAGTGGTGGGCCTATAGTCCCAGCTACTCAGGAGGCTGAGGCGAGAATACTGCTTCAGGCCAAGAGCTTGAGGCTGTAGCGTACTTTGTTTGCACCTGTGAATAGCCACCACACTCCTGCCTGGGCAATGTAGCAAGATTCCCCCCTCTAAAAAATTCGTAATATAACACATACCACAACAAACAATAGAAACACACAAGAAACTCCATAGCATTAAGATTTAGATAAGCTTTATTTTTATATGTGATTGTCCTGAAGTGAATTAAACACTGGAAATACTTTACGTTTAGTATTGCCAAAATACTTGTTTGTTTCCACTTGAAAGTTAATGAGAGCCTGTTAATACAAAAAGAAAAAAAAAAAAGTCTTTGGCTGACTCAAGTTTTACAATTTTTAATGTGAAGTTTTTAGAAAAATGTAATGTAATACTTAAATCATTAGTCATAGGCTTAAATTTTCTTGTTGCATCAGCTGAACCTGCTCAATTATAATTGGTTTTATATCACATTTTAGAAGAATATCTTTTATCACATGATTATGCCATAATCAATATGGTATCATTACTACATATCAATAACCTTAGGTTTACTCCTCACAAGACATATTTTCTATACAAAAATCTCCACTAAAAGATAGGCATTATTCATATGTGATAGAAAATCATTCTTTCATCCACTCTATCACTCACAAAGTAACTGCATTTTCTTATATAGACTACAACTCTTTGTTTTGTTCTTATTTCAAATATTAAATCCCAGCATTTCAACAAGAAATTGAAGAGCTAGTCCTCATGCACAAAATCTCCTTTATATTTTACTACCAAATATTTACAATGATAATATAATGTCACATATAACCTGACTCCATCACTTATTAAGTTTTGTGCCCTTTGGCAAGTAATGTAACCTCTCTATGCTTCCATTCACTTACCTGCAAAAGAGGCTAATAACTGCACTTACTTCATATGCTTGTTGTGAGAAGTAAATGAGATAATTTATGTAACGCCATTAAAACAGTGCCAGGCACATAGTGACACCCAAAAATGTTGACTAACATTACAACTACAACTTACTATAAAACAACCTAGGAAAATAATTTCAAAAAATCAAGTAAAATATGCTTCACCTTGCCTGTCATGAAAACTACCCCAAAATCAAAAGTTTCATCAAAGAGTAATAGGGCTACTTGTACCCATTTTTATGAAATAACCACCTACTATTAATGTATTTGGTTATCTACCATTCCTATGACTTCTTCAGTTTGATCTTATCAATAAAGATGATAAAGGAATGTAGTAAGTATGAAGGACTGGGGAGGTGCCACTTCTATTAAGTTAATGTATAAAACGCCCGTAAACAGCACAAATACAAAATTGCTCAATTAATCTTTGCCTTTTTTTTTTCTTTGTTTGACAGTTGTCTTTCTAACTTCCCAAAGGTTCTATTAGGTCCTCAACAATATCTAAAGCTTTTAAGCCAGTGCTGTTGACAAGTGAAAGAGAACAACAAATAGCTTTGTAGTGCTCTTTTCCCAGGGTCATTCAACCAATGGTAATAGTTATTATTTTTATATATTAGCACTGAGCCCTGTCCTTTATCATGGCTAACTCATCCAACCCTCCTGACAGCAAAAACATTTTAACTTTTAATAAAAATGGGAGAGTGCAGCACTCTTGTGTAAGGCTCTTTCAGTAAAGTGCACAGCTAATGAATATTGTCCATTTGGATTCAAATAATTTATGATGTCAGCAGCATGTGGGTGGGGAGATGTGAATCAAATTCTAGCTATTAGTTACAATGAGAAGGGTGAAAGTGGAGAACAGGAGGGTTACTAAGGCGAGAGGAGTAGAATGAAAAAGCAAAAGCAACTTAATAAAATATTGAGAGGAAAAATATTTATGATGCATCCATAACAGTCAACTTATAAAAATTAAAATATTTCCAACAAAAGATTTTCATGACTATTTTTGTTGTCCATCCATCAAATAACCAACTTTCTTACAGACCAGTTGTAATAACTCTGTTATTTTCCATATATTCCATTTGAAATAGTATTTTCTCAACTGTATATATGTGAGATAGAACAAAATAATAGAAAAGAATACTGCAAGAACTATAAGCTATACATTATGTCATAAAGTATACAAGAATCAGGCATTTAAAAACAGTTAAATTCACAAGGCAAATTTATAAACAAACTGAGGAAAAACTTAAGATATCTTAAACATATTGCAGCTTAGTAAAGATGAGAGTGCGTAGTTCTGAGCAACTTATATATGCCTACTGATATATTTAAGAAAAAACTACCTAAATATGTATTTGAATTATAAATGGAGCAATTATCCTACTATAAAAAGTGAATTCACATAATCACTTTGTGTAATTGGATGTCTAGGCCATGTTGAAAACAAAAATTAATATTTGCAGAATTTTGTTATTGTTATTCAAAATTGTGAAAGTGGGTGGTAGAGATAAAGAAGATGCAAAATGTATAGAAATAGAAAACCATTTAACATACATTAGAATAAGAATTTCAATACTTTAAAATTATGACAGAATGTTTTACCACTGGAAGTGAGAATTAAAGCACATACAGCCTGATAAAGCACTACACATCCTGAATCTTCTCCATCACAACATATGTGAAAACAAATCACAATCTCAGCCTGCCAGATGCCTGAAAAGATATGAACAATAAAAGCTGACATGATTCATATGATAAATCAAAGATTGTGATATGCAGGTAGTCGACTAGTTGAGCTGAAAAGCTAGTTATAATTCAAGTTATATTTTTATGTTCTAATACATAGAATCAGATTTTAAAATTTAAAAAACCCTCTGATTTGCTTATAATCGTATATTAAAATTTGTATATACATACATATCTTTCTCAACCAAAGTAGTCCATCTGCCTTAACAACTTGTTTATTATTTGGTCTCTTATAACCTTTCATGTATTTTGTATTTTTGTCATTCTCAGAGCAATTTTAGGTAAGAAAATACAACAGTTTTATTTGCAAAAGGGCGTTTAATGTTCACAAACTTCGATACGATCTAATCAACAAGGAAACCTGCAGTCATGTGTTAGCTATGATGTTGCTGTGAAGTCAAAAGTGTAAAACAGCAAAAAAAAAAAAAAAAAAAAAAAAAAGAGTTTTCCTTGGAAGTATTTTCATATTAGAGGGAATAAGTGAAATAAGTTAAAAAAGAAGCAAACAATCAGCAACAATAAATAATTAAAGGAAGCCTGGATACACAGAAAAAGAGAAAAGCAGAGTATGGAGTTTTACTTTTCCTGCATCACCAGAGACTTCTCATTCTTAATGATAAAGGCAGTGGTTATAAAATTAGTTATGTATAATCTTTTGAAATATTTATTTAATTTCTGAACTATATGAAAGGTATTATCTTTGCTTTTAATGGCATAAAGTACCATTAGAACTATTAGACTACTTTCAAAAATTAAAATACACTTTATTTATGGATACTGCCATCTTCTTTATTTTGCACAGTTCACACAAACATGCATGCTCACATACACAGACACAAATGATCAAGAGGCATCATATCCTATTTGTGTATTCATTCATTTATCTAACAGTCATTGGGTAAACCCCTCCTATGGCACTGTGATAAGAACAAAGACATGGCCTCTGTACCTTAGGAAACTCATCATCTCCTGAGGAAGATACACCAATTGTGACCATCACTAAAACCATTTATTCAAATTGTTATAGTGTCACTGAGTTGTTTTCCAAATGTTTCATTTATTGACGCAAAATTAGAACTAACGATGCCTTACTTGAATTATTAAATTAGTGAATAGTAAATAAATGTGCAGACAGACTTTTCTAAATGCTACTATAGCAGTATTCCCATAAAGTAAAAGTTCTAAAGTAATCTTCTGGTCATCAGTTAAACCTGCTATAAAAATTTCTACTAGACAACCAAAAACGGGAGCAGTTTCTCATCTTGTCTATAATGAGGAAAATAATTGAATCACATAAGCAATATAAAGTTAAATTTAAACTACATGGATAAGAATAGTAGAATCAATTAGTTCAACATACAGTATATACTACATATTTTTCCAGCCATGAAGGATATTATCAAGAGCATAATAGAATTGAACCCTACCCACCTAAAGGTCAAAATCATAGGAGGCTTTCTTAAAATGCAAAATTCCAGGGCAATCAGAGAGTATGGTTCATTATATTTTGTTTGAATCCCAGGAATCTGAACTTTTCTAAGACTTAAGGTAATTCCTTGATGAAAACACTGACGGGTTATTAAAATATGGATAAAAGCATCATAACAAATATCCAAAATTTTGAATTAAAATGACTAAGATGTGAAAGAGTAAAATCTACTGAATTCTTCTTAGAAAGTTAAAAGAATTTTACTAACACCACACTATCATGAATAATAATTAAATATTAAATATTATCAACAAAAAATCCAAATATATTCCAATACTTTGCTGTTTTACAACTCCATGAAATGTAACATTTTTAATGCAAGAAAAAAAGTCAAAGTAAAATGCAGTAAAAACTGCTAAGGGGATAATATTGTATATAATTTATTATATCGGGGAAAATGAAGAAAATTATTTACTGATGTATTTTGATCAAAGATTTTGCATAACTCTTAAATAAGGGATTATAAATCATGTAACCACATATTAGAAACACACTTGTAATCCCAGCACTTTGGGAAGCCAAGGCGAGAGACTCTCTTGAACCCAGAAGTTAATAGCCTGGGCAAAATTGAGAGACCTTGTCTCTATCACAATCAAAACTAGCCGGGCATGGTTGTGAGTGCCTGTAGTCTCTGCTACTTGGGAGGCTGAGGTGGGAGGAGCCTTTGAGCCTGGGAGGTAGAGGCTGCAGTGAGCCATGATTGTGCCACTGCACTCCAGCCTGGGCAAGAATGGACCTTGTCTCAAAAAAACAGAAACACACACACACACACACACACACACACACACATATATATATTCATCAACATAATGTACTATACACATAAGAAGCATACATATGTTTATGTAAGTTGCAAACAGAAAAGAGAAACTCCTGAGGTGTCAGCCAAATGACCAGAACATCATCTCTGAATTGTTGAGAACTGAGGTGAAGCAGCCTCAGAGAAGAATGGGAGAATCACGTTACAAGCAATTTAATGAATCAGAGAAGAACAAAGGAGATAAAGTCCTCTTTATTCAGAAAATTCCCTATGTGAACTCTTTAAGGGAATGGCAGGACCAGAAATTACAAATCCTGGAAAGGGTGGTATGGTAGAAAACAAAATAGTCTATGTACCTTGAATATAACTAACAGGGATTTCTACAGGACAACATTTTGAATGGTTATTCTTTCTATATTCTTAAAACCATCGGTGAGTAATATCCATAAAATCATGTCTCATATCTAGTAACTGAGAGGAAAACATGATCTATAAATATTCGAAAGGATAATGAAATATGGGGAAGGCAAGAGAAAGAGTATTGTTGAATATTCTTTCTCCTGCACTGATCTTTTCAGAAATAAATGTTGAATATCTTCACTCATATATATATATATATATATAATAAATGATAAAGATACAGATCTGTAGATTTATATCACCTAAATCTTTCTCTTTCACACACATGTGTATTTAGTATAGTTAATGTATGATATTTACATATAATTTGAACTCAACCCCTCATTACGAATGTATCTGAGGAACAATAGCAGGTGGGGGTAGGGAGGGCTCCAAGGATGCTCATCATACTATGCCATGGATTCCATGCTTTCCTAATGAGTCACCCATTTAAAAGAATGACATTTTCAAAGGTAGAAAAATGCTTATTTACAACAGTCTAGGGGTTTTTGTGAAGTGCAATGAAACATAAGCAGTTAAAAAATTAAGGTATAGATCAGTATTTCATCTCAAAGGGATGGATGCGTCCAATAAAATAAGAGACCACCCAATTTTCTGACCTAGGGGTCAGAGAGCAAGCTTTTACAAACTTGGAAATGGTCTTTTTTAAAGCCATGAAGGTCTGTGTTCCACATGTCAGAAACTCAAAGGTGTTTATACCGCTGGGAATCTTCTCTAAGGTATAAAAAAACACCCAGGAACCTGCTATGGCAGTTTTGTCTCAGCCCAACAGGGTCTCTTTTACAGAACAATTACATCTCTCACCTAAGATGAACACCAGGATGAATATGAAAGCTTCAAAAAAACTTCACTGGCCTCAACTAATTGGAAGAATTCTCCCAATTCTTCAAAGGAGATGATTTAAATGAAACATTGCTAGTAATTAGGATAAATTAGGAACATATATTTGAATCACTCTTATAAAGTGTTCCAATAATAAGAGTTGAGATCATCAATTAAATTACAAGCATTCCAACTTGAAATTCCAACTACAGTAGCTGCTCATAATCTAGTTGCAATTTTTTTTTACAAGGCAAATATTTTCACGTAAGAAATCTGGGAAGTGAAACAGGTAAGTCATTGCAATAAATTTGTAATCATTAAAATTGATCTTTATTGCTTGACAGGGTTCAACACTGAAAGCTGTATTATCTACCTAAAACATACATTTATGAGATTAAAAATAAAGTGTTTCATTTCTAAAGAAAGAAACAAAAACGCTATTGTTCCCTGGTAGCTACCAAAGAACAAAAGATAAATTACTTCGTATAATGAGGGTATTAAATTCTTCATCAGAAAATTTCCAAAATGTTTAAATTACATTAGATACATAATCTAACAAGCTTTCCTATCATACAGTAGGTATCAATGTATTATTTTAGTCCATAATTCTAGACATAAAACTTGGGTTATTTTTCTCTCTTGTTTTTTCCTTAGCAAACTATTCAGCTTATAGAGTAGCACCCTCAGAAATTATGAAGCAGCAAAGCCAAATCTCCAAACATGTGAAGAGTTCTGTGCCAAATGAAGGTGTTTAAAAACTAAACCTAGCACCTTTAAAAAGTACCTGATTTGAGCTTAATTGAATCTCTTGTTTCCATACATATTTTGGCCTTTCTGTTGTTGACGTGACATATAAAGTACTTAAAAAATAATGATCAGTGAAGTTTCACAGCATGGAAGGAAAAAAAAAAAATAAGAGGGGAAAAAGTTTATTTCACACTATTTGAATTACCTGTAGGTAGTTCTCTATGGGGCTACTACCAAATCCTTTAAGCCCACCAGCTCTTACCTACATTAAATTAATGAGGCATCTCAAGCATTCATTCTTCACCAGCAGCTCTAGGCTCTCCAGTTGGACACCTACAATTTACTAAATTACAAACAGTGACCTAAGGGAGACATCTGTTTGTCATATACAACATTGTAATATAAAATAAACTAGAAGAATATCTGAGAGATTAAGATGATAAGATATATGTTGAATTGTATCTTCTGGGGTTAATAGGGGCCGGTCTACAACTCTGTGATCTTCTCTTTGCCAATACAAATTCCTATTTTCCCATCAGGAAGTAAAGGTCTCTGAAGATCAACATTATGAAATACAATACTTATGAACAATCCAATGCTAAGAGGTCTCTATTATGCCATGATACTCACTACCTCCATACAATATTTTATTAAGCCTAAATACATTAAGCTTGATTATAATCAATTTTTTATAATACCACCTTCTTACTAATGCTCATAACACTTGGCTCCCAGGGATGTATTTATAATGAGATGGCCGGGTGTATTTTCCATTAAAGGCCTCTGTTGGAGTTTCTATAGTGCCTTTTTTCATATATTTCAAGTTAAATGCTCCCTCTGTTTTTTTTTTTTTTTTTTGCCTCACAATAACCAGTCACTTTTCAATGATTAATTTTCTATCAAAGAACAATTTGCTTCATTTTCCTTTGTCCTGTCATGTTTTCAGAACCAGCTCTTTCTTCCTCCCCTATCCGTGGCAGAAACTCACCTCTTCCCTCCTGCCAGACCACCACTTTCTAGCCCCCAAATTGTTTCTAATGATGTATAGTCAAAGATATTTAGGCTCACCCCCATTACCCCACCCACCCAACGCAGAGGACTACTACTCAATTAACAAAAAGAAAACCCTGAATTATCAAGGCCATAACTGAGCCAAAAAGGACTGTAGCCATTTATTTTATATGACCTCAGCAATTTCTTGATTGAATTGCAACCCTGCATTAATTCAAACACTGTGTGTGTGATTTCATAAATGCTGGGTGTGTAAGGTGGAATCAAGGAGGGGAGAGAGCGACAAAAAAATTATTTTAAAAATCTCAGAAAAAAATTCTTTTTTCAGATTTTTTTTTCAACATGCTCTTTACTTTGTTATGGAACTTATACACATTTTGTGAAATTCTCTGAACGGTATTCCTAGGCATGTTTAAACAACAGAAATAATGGAAGCATAATTGATTGCAGCTGGGAACTGTCATCCCATCAGTAAGCAGCACCTAACTGACAAATACTACAAGCTTGTTAAAGATTCCTTTATGAACTGGGCACTGTAAGAAGACTGGGCATTCTTTATCCCATGCAGTTAAATCAAAATCTTCACTGACTTATTTCTCAAATTTTACTAGACTACAAACAGTAAGTGGTCAGTTTGTTGGCCTCTATTCAGTTGGTTTGGGCAGAGAAGGTGGGGTGCTTGTTTTATAAAGCTAAATACATAACAGGTTTATAAACATGCTATATCTTTCTGTCACAGTGGAGATATTCAATAAAAACAGTCTTCTCAGTACATGAACTTTCATAGGAGAAACGAGAAAAAGTAAAATCTCTTACTCAAAAATCCATTTTTGTGAATCAGATTATTATAAATTTCTTCATACATATCGTATTCTAATCAGGGACTACCAAGTTTCAATTCTTATCTAGAAGGAGCTTTTATATCAATTTTTAAGTTTACTTAACACATACTTTCCCAAAAATGGAGCAAAAAAAAAAAAAAAAAGAAAGAAAGAAAAACTAATAACTCCACATTAAATTACTAAGAGAAAAGCTACAGTAAGCCCCTTTTCCTATTTTCTTATATTTGTGTAGCTGTTAGACATTTTGCAAAGGAGGGGAGTACCAGCCAGCCTTTCACAACAAAAGACCTACTGTCACTGAGCCAGTCCCAGACATGGTGGAAACCAGCCCACAGGAAAAGGCCTGGCTCCAATGTTAGGCCCCGGCCGAGTACAGTCACTATATTCACTCAAATTGGCAACAGGTCTCAGTGTTCCTGGCTTTGAGCTGTGAACAAGGGTCGGGATTGAATAACCAATTATACAACCGCTGACTGAGTTTATCCAAGGTTTGCAAACTGCTATAATAGCCCAGTATTCAACCAACTGTTTTATCCTTTTCCAGATATAGTGTCATATCTCCCCTTGTGCTCCATTTACATGTCACTTTATTACATACATCCATTAAAAAGGTTAATACAGTGTCACACTCAATGCCTAAATGTTGCCTTACAGGAGTTCTGCTTCTCTCGGGGCATTTCATATAGACACCTTTCTCTGTCTTTCACTTTCTCTCTGCAAGTTAAACCAAGTTTCTGTCAAGACTACAAAACAGTGCCTGAAAGACCAGTAGCCAAATGTCAACAGTTTCAAAAATATTCCTTATACAAAGAGGCTGCTTTAACCCACCTTGGTATATAAAAAATGTGAAAACTCTGAAGTTTGGCAGTTCAGACTAGCACCCAAATTTGAGGTGCTCATATAAATTCATAGAAATATGTGCCTTCTTCCTCTGCCAAAATGGACGTCTCTCTCAAAGTTCAAGAAGACATGAAATTTCTCCCAGCATATTTGCATGCCTGCTCTTATACTAAGTGGTTACCATGGAATTAAAAAAATAAATTTTCAAGTACTTTTCCTAAATATCTACAAATGTGAAATTCTTGAATGAACACCTTCCAATTCAATAAAGCATAAGAGAAATGGTAGAAATATCAGGTAGCTGTGAAGACGTTGGCAATTTTTTGATGTCTTCATCTTTGGCCCTTTATTTTTATTCCATGCTTTGTGTTAACAGGTGTTTTACACATAACTTATCTTCTCCACTGACGCTATTTATCTTTAAAATCAATAATACAGATTCCTTTTAGAAACATGATATCCAATGGATTATATGAAAAGTACACCAACATTAAATAACAAAGCTGGCTAAAAATGAGAATGACCAACATTATGGAAAATCACTTACATCTTCTGTAAATATTTGAAATACGTGTATGTCTTTTGTTTATCTGTAATTAAAATAAAAGAAAAAGTTCTCTCAAATGCGCAATGAAAACCTTTTATATAGCAGCTACTAATTGAGAGCTAAATGATAATTAACCTTTAAGTGCTTTACATATGTTTATTTTTAATTCTTACAAAATGCTATTTGTAGTTGTGAAGAACAAGAACTTTATAGCTAGCCTTCCTCTTTCATTTACAAGCTCTGACATCTGGTTTACTCATCCATATAATTAGTATATACCTAATATACCTAACATATAGGGCAATTTAAGGTATTAAATGACTTTCTCTAAGTGAGGTACCTCAATATACTAAATACGTTTAGGTGTTTGTCACCATCAACATCATTGTCATCAGCATCATGACCATATTAAAAAGTAATTTATTGACCAAGTAATCGAATCTCAAGCAGCTCAGTGAGTGGCAGGGCACATGACAACATTTTGCTTTTTCAAGCAAATCGGTATCTGCAAGCATTTCCTTACTAATAATATCAGTCTTCATTTACTGAGCATCTACTATGCTTAGTTATTTGCAATGCCAAAGTGTAGGAGAAACATTATTCTAATAAAGGAGTCAAATCTTATTTCTGCAACTCTTGAGTTTGATATAAATACTTAACATTCTGAATTCCATCATCTTTTAAATCATTGTTAATTCTAGCTAAAAGTTTTAAGCATGACTATTTTTGTTATTTTATATATATAGATATGAGTATATAAAATAATAAATACTTCTAATTTCTTGGCCCTTATCTGTGACTAAATAATTTGTTCACCAAATCCAGTGGTGGTAGAGTTGGCAAAATACAATCTATTCTGAAAAACCAAACTGTAAAACTGTAAATATAAAACCTCTGTGCAGCCTTCTCATTGTTACCAGGGCTTTACTTATTTATTTATTGAGACAGAGTCTCACTCTGTCACCCAGGCTGGAGTGCAGTGGCACAATCTCGGCTCGCTGCAACTTCTGCCTCTCAGGCTCAAGGGAATCTCCTGCCTCAGCCTTCCGAGTAGCTAGGACTACAGGCACGTGCCACCACGTCTGACTAATTTTTGTATTTTTAGTAGAGACAGGGTTTTACCATGTTGGCCAGGCTGGTCTCAAACTCCTGGCCTCAAGTGATCCGCCCGCCTCAGCCTCCCACAGTACTGGGATTACAGGCGTGAGCCACTGTGCCTGGCCTACCAGGGCATTTTTTAAGTTAAAACTTGTCGCTGATTTCTAAAAAGGAAAAAAAAAAATTGAGTTTTACATATTTGCAGGTTTTGGAGATACAAAGACACCAGTCAAAAAAATCAATATAAAACCTAAAATGCAATGCAAAGTATTAAAATGTTAATGGAAATCAAGTGTACTAAGGCTGACATTTGCAGGTTGCTAAATAAATCAGTTTCATTACTTTATCAAAGGTATAATAGTAGAGGGAGAAGAAAACTTCAGAGTCAGTCAAAACCAGGTTTGAATTTTGGTTCTGTTCTTTATTGACAAGCAGATGTAGGCAAGGTATTTAGCCAGGGTCTGTCTTTGCTCATTTTAAAAAGTAAAATTATGATGCCCACTCGCCTTACAGAGAGAAAAAGGAAGACAAAAAGAGAGACAGAGACAAAAACGGTGTCTACACATTAAGTGCTTAATAGGGGATAGCTGCTATCATCTTCATCAATATCATCATGTTACCTTTTACTGCCGTTATAAATATACCTATAGAAACATTACTCTAGAACAAATAACTGAAATAATTATTTATGGGTTTAAATATGTTTTCTAAACCAAACTGATGTTTTGATCTGGGACCTATTACTAGAAAATGACAGGGAAATAAAGAATAAAAGCTAAGAAAAATAAACCCAATTCTTTTACATATTTTGGTTATAATTGTAAGTGGCACTAGCCAGAATATTTATCTAATAAGTTTCATTCAAATTTCGGAATGATATAAAAGACTGCCATTGAAAAATAATATTTTTATTTTTCTTCCTTTGCACCCAAAATTCTAACTTCAATGATATTCTGCTGAGTCAAATTTTTTGTACTAAATTTTAAGAAGTTACTTAAAATACATGTATAAAATAGTAATAATTGATTCAATTATAAAGTTATAGTAAATTGTTAATGTCTTCACTATGCTTATAATTATACTCCAACAGCATCAGCATAGCAAAGAGAGAAAGTAAAGGCAAATGAGAAATTCTTCACATTCTATCACCCTAAGCAAAAGAGCAATTGTGCACTGAGAAGTCCTCTATTTTTACCCTGTCTCATTCTTGTAGTCATTTTCTCTGAAGAAAAAAAAATAGTACTGGAATATTAGTCAAGCTAATTGGGAAAATATGAAGAAAGTAGTATTAAACAATTTACACAGATATTTAAGTTTTAAAAAGATTTTTGTGATATACATCTTTAATCTGAATCCATGACTTTAAAGAAAGATTTTTTTCCAGTGATGCTCTTTTAAAATATTCAAAATTCAACTACTTATCTCCTTTTGTATGTATGCAAAATAGAATTTGCCTTAAAGCAGACTCTGCATTTGTAACGGCTATGACAAACCTACATAGTTTAACAAATGATAAAAATTACAAGACAACTTTGTAATAATAAAGAGACAACTTTGTCACACTAAGTCATTAAACAAATGCTCTAAATAGCATGCATATTGTATATTTTGGAGCTATATTAGGCATTGTTTCCTTTTCCCTATCTTGTACATAATAATATGAAAATCATTAATACTTATTGACTGTTTAAAATGCGCCTTGCATGGTGCTGTGGTTTATATAATTATTTAATTTTCAAAAAATCCTTAATAGGTAGGTAACATTAACATCATCTCCTCAGAGGAAACTGAAACTTAGAAAGGTTGAGTCATTTCTCAAGGACATATACCTAGCGAGGAAATAAGCCAGGATTCAAACAACTGTCTGTTGAATTTCAAAGACTGCTCTCTTAATCAGTAACAGTACTGACCCACCAAGCCCACTAACAAGAATAGGTGGCATAACACAAAAAGAACTGAGTGCATATAATGCAATACCATTCTGAGCTCCTGTTGGTGATGATTTCTGAGTTTTCCAGGGTAATCCTTATTATTTGAACTTAGAATGTTATCCAAACTTCTTACCAAGGTCTACAGAGTTCTACAAGATTTGGCCTTCATTTATTTCTCCACAGTTATTTTGTACTGTTCAACTGATCATCCACTAGCCACTGTGGCCATCTACATGCTTTGCCAATTAGCTGAGTTCATTGTCACTTCTGTGTGTTTCCACTATCTATTTGCACTTTTAGGGCACTCTTGTCCAAAAACCTCACCTGATTGACTCTGTCTCTTATTCATATCTTAACTCATATTTCACTTTTTGAGAAAGGCCTTCTTTGACATACCATCTAACGCCACGGTCTCCAACCTTTTTGGCACGAGGAACCAGTTTCATGCAAGGCAGTTTTTTCCAAGGACTGTGGGCAGGGGGAGGGGAGTGGGGAACGATGGTTTCGAGACGAAACTGCTTTACCTCAGATCACTAGGCATTAATTAGACTCTCATAAGGAATTAAACTGCTTATAATTCTTTCACTGAATTAAGTAATGCTAATAAATATAATCGTACTCAGAGAAAATGAAATTTATAAGTTGAAAATTCAAGCACAAAAAACTTTCAGAATTACAAATCGATGAACTTAGTGATAACATTTCCATTGAAAACATTATCTTTTTTTGACCAATTAAGTTCTCCTGGTCATTGTAACTTAAATGAACTTATATAAAATTAGTTTAATTAGTAACAATTTATTTTCCTCACTGTCTTATATTGCTATAGGAATGTAGAATTATGACACAGTTAAAAAGGACAAAAATAAACTATCAACTGCAAGTAACAGTCTTCAAACTTTTAAAGAAGGATATGACTGAGGAAGGCAAGAAATTTTATTTTTG
Organism: Homo sapiens; assembly: GCF_000001405.40. NCBI lineage: Eukaryota > Metazoa > Chordata > Mammalia > Primates > Hominidae > Homo > Homo sapiens. Next base: position 23,776,423 of record NC_000012.12, read on the forward strand.
AAACAAATTAATTTATCAGAGAAGAAACTATAGAAACAGAACTTTAGAGTTGAAAGGGACCTTAGAAGTCACATTCCTTGAGATGTTGAAGACTTAGGCAAGACCATGCCATTGACAAGGAAGGAGTATTTGAGGTTCCCTTAGAGCAGTGGTCCCCAACCTTTTTAGCACCACGGACCAGTCTCGTGGAAGACATTTTTTTTTAACAGGGGGATGGTGGAAGGGAGGATAATTTTGGGATTAAATGGTTCCACCTCAGATCATCAGGCATTAGATTCTCATACAGAGTGCACAACCTAGATCCCTAGCATGTGCAGTTCACAATAGGATTCGTGTGCCTATAAGAATCTAATGCTGCTGATGATCTGACAGAAGGAGGAGCTCAGGCAGTCATGCTCGCCCGCCACTCACCTCCTGCTGTGCAGCCCGGTTCCTAACAGGCCACGGACCAGTACTGGTCAGCGGTCCAGGGGTTGGGGACCCCTGATCTAAAGCAATATAGCCTTATTGTCACTTCCTATTTTCAATTTCTATCCATTTTCCTTTATTTTTATAGCACTTGTCACTAATAGAAGTAATTTTATTATTCATTTATTTATTTTCTCTTCCTCCCCACTAGAACACAAGTTCTAGGAGAACTGGAAGTTATCTGTCTTGGCATATGTCAGACACACAACAAACATTGGTTGAATGAATAAATGAGTATATGAATATTCTGCTACACTCTTAGAGATCCTCTTTGCTTTAAGGCAGCTCAAGATTACATAGGATTTGGAGATCATTCTTGATGTGAGCAAAGACCATGATTTGGATTACTCATAATTACAGTAAAAGAAATGATAAATTTGCATTATCTAAGTTTCTTAATTATCTCCCATGTATGCTATACATCAAAGGAGTTATACTGTGGATACAGGCAGGGATACTCTTGTTAGATCTAATTAAATATATTAAGACAGACAGTAATCAGAATATCAAAAGTTACAGGGAACTAGGAGTGATATAATTTCCTTGTCCTCTTAAACAATTCTGAGCTCACATTTTTCCAATTTTTAATGAATTCAGACTCTTTTTGGGTACACTGATTATGTCAGAGAGCAATGACCATAACGTCTGCCTCTATTCTCAAATTTCAGTAAACACATACACACACAATACATACCTTTCTTTGCACAGTCTAACTTATATATGCATGCATATATTTTCTGAAGCATATATAAAACTGACAATTATTTGGGTAAATTAAGCAAAAAGATCCCTTTCATTCCTTTACTGCAGAGTCACACTATACAAACATTTAACTAATCTAAATTCAACTATGCTCATTTGAAAAAAAAAATTGAAAGAAAACATAAAATAAAACAAATTAAGCAGGGGAAATAATTTTATCTTCCATCACCTTCAACGTACTTGCACTGAGTAAGCTGACACATGATACATAAGAGATGAGATTGCTATTCCCTTAGTTGGTCTCAGTTCTAGCATGGCTCTCATGGTTTGAGCATCTCACTGTGCCAAGAGTGGGTTTGTGTTTAAAGATACATACTTTTCATAAAATATGAAACACAAATCAACAACTTCATCTGAGGCTCCACCAAAGAAATGGCAACATGTTGCAGTGGTTTGATGGACTGATCAAATGACAAGGGCATGATAGTCTTCATCATGGAAACTTCCTGAGGTATTTCCAAATGTAATTGTCCTTCCTAACTTTACAACTGTAACCCAGTTTAAATGTGACTCCGTTGTATTTCTTGCAAATAAAAATTGATTAAATATTGAATCATGACTTTAATATGCACATCTAGGCAAGAATAGTTTTCTATTCAACTAGTTCTATTCAACTAAAAGAATAGTTGCTATTATTTTCTAAAAAACATTTAGACACAAAGGAAAGACATGAATGTGGAAGGTCTACAGAGGAAAACGAGGTTAAGTGAACCAAGTTTTATAAGCTAAAAGGAGTTTCCATATGAATGAACGGGACAATATCATCCTAAGCAGGTGAAGAAATAAGGAAAAAGGCATGAGAGAGAAAGCCTAGCATGTTTCAAAAGCCAAAAGAAGTTTGATATGTGTAGGGCATAAAATGGGTATCTTAAGTAGAGAGAGCTAAAGCTATAAAGGTAGAGAGAAGTCATACCACGAAGGATCTTGAATAGCATAATAAGGAAACAGCAAGGAATTTAATGAATTTAATCAGGAAATGTATATAAGCAGATTGGTAAATTCCCCTCCTTTAACAGGAAGGGCTGGGAGAGCCAAACTGGATGACGTGGTCCTGTGCCAATGATCTTGTGTTGCAGGCCCTTTTACCTAGAGCTCTGGATACTTGAAGAGAAAAAATGAGAGGAAAATTATCATGTCTTCTTCTTCATAAGAGAGTGGTGAGACTCAAGGCCAAAAAGTGTTTAAATGGCTTGTGAAGGCAAGAAGGATCTGCAGTAGGCCTCAGAAGCTAGAGTACTGAAGGTAGAAACTGAAAAGTCAGAAAAATTAGAACAAAGCACCTCAGATCAAAATGGTTAGATGACAGCACAATCTCAGTGAATGCAATAAAGACTGTTAAGTCATTTTACTGGAAAGGCAGATCACTGTAGCAGAGAAACTATTCTAAGCTTATGACCAATATGTGTGGCTTCACTGCTTCCAGCATAAGATACTTTCATAGTAAAACTTTTCCATGGTGGATTCTAATGTTTAAGTATTATGTCCCTAAATACAAAATGGAAACTTTCATAAATTGTCATTTAGCAATACTCACCTAATGTAGGCCTTAAAAATGCTATTTTGAGAAATGTTTATTTTTTTATGACACTTCAGGCACAATAGCAAATTCAAGAGCAATTATTGCAAAAAAGGGGAGATTACACTTATTACAAAATCATCTGAACCCAGTAAAATCATGTGATTTTACTTCCACTGAATAGACTAACTCAGGCCCTTCTCAAACTTTTGAAATGTGCTATCTAGTATGTGCCATCAAGCACATCCAAATGACAAAATAAATGAACAAGCAGCAGGAAAATGCTAATAAATGTTAATACACATATTCAAAAATAACCAATCATGGTTAGTTTTTTACCAAATTCAGAAGCTAATGCGAAGATATCTGTGATTTTAATATGCACACCTATAATACAGTCATATTCTGTTTAAAAACTGTTCCTAGTCCATATGACAAAACTAAATTGTTCATGGTTTGACCTAAAGTGCATCATAAGGAAGAAACATTAGCCTAAATCCAATTTCATGGGAACTTCTTATTTCTGTTTTCTGGCAACTTCTTTTGATCTCAAACATATGGCTTTGGGAAATTTCCCAAAAGCTTTACTATTTCTTGAATCTTCAATTTCACAGATTAAAATATATATATATATATATATATATATACACACACACACACACACACACACATATGCATACATACACATAAATATATGTGCATACATGACTAATAACCTAATGATACAATGTGTGCTCCAATTAGAAAAAGACATGTGTTTATGTGTGTGCATGAGACACAGCGAGACTGTGTGTGTGTGTGTGTGTGTGTGTGTGTGTGTGTATTTGAGTCTAAGGTTCTATACTGACCATTAACAAGTACTGTGATGATACAAGCACCTTTCCCTAATCAATGTTGTCTTGACAAGAATTTTTAAGTTTTTATTCTAATAAAGATTGATATTGTCATTTTAGGATTATCTGTGCAATCTGAATACTGGACATTTTATGTACTAGAGGTAAAATGTCTAATAAACTACATTCTTTAATAAAAAGCTGGTTAATTCTCGTGTCAGCAGAAAGAGTGCTATTTTTTTCTTAATTTTATAAATTTTCTATTACAAGACTACAGATTTATACACATCATTTTTTAAAAAAAGGAGAACCGGTAAGTCAAAAGGCTAAGTTATATGCTCAACACTTTGTTAGGTATTTTATAGATTTTTTTCTTCAATTATAAAAGATTGGCATCTACTTTCAAGGATCTTACAATGTAGTGAGAGGTTTTTTGTTTTTTTTTTTAGCTGATATGCATGAAGCAAAAAGGAATAATAAGTGCTAACTGGGTGATACTGATTTTGAGTGTAATAAAAAATTAGAGAAGAAAGAAACGTATCAGGGCTAAAATTAGTCAAAATCTCTTGAATGAGGGAGAATTTATTTTAAACCAGTAGATTTAGAACAAGAGTACAAAAATGGGCTGTGAGCAAGCACACAGAGTAAGTGAAAAGTTTTGTGTGGCAATCCTGGTAGGTAGACTATTTGATGAATATGGAGCAATTAATTTGATCACATTTTGGAAGTCTTAAAAAGGGGCTAAGAATTTGCATTTCATGAAGCATATACTATAGAGCCAAGAAAGTATTTTAATAAGATGTAAAATACTAAGAATGGTATTTAAAAATCTGAGTCTGGCATTATAAGATAGAGTATGCTGGTAGGGAGTGGCAGTAATGGCAGGGAAATGTAGAGGCTCTACTCTAGACATGAGGAGCTGGGCAGAAAGTGAAGGAAATTTCTGAAAGGGAGGAAGAATCAGGGAAGATTCTAGAGGTATGCACCACTTATGAACTAGAAAAGCTCATTTTTATAAAAGATTATTAACCACTCTTAATACATTTACTGATTTTGGCAGTCATATTGCCCATGTAATTCCCTTGTCTCATCCCAGACGGTTAAATGTTCTATGAAGAGACAACAGTCCCCATATTTTGGAAACAGGGCACGGTATCAAAGGTAAGGTTTCTTACCTAAGGAAGCAAAAACAGCTCAACTTTTCTGTACTTCCTTTCTTTCATGCTTTTAATGGAAACCTCTGCTGTTACCATGGAGGAATTTTTTTTTTTTTTAATCTTCCATCTCTGCTCTGGCCAACTAACCACAGGACTAAAAGCTGCCTCCCTTTCTAATCTATGTGTTATGATACTGCTAACAGATGACTGTTACTAATAGATAACTGAAAACAACATGAAAATAAAGAAAACATGCATGCTTACAAGGTCTACCTGTTAAAAACAGCTGTGATTGCCTTTTCTAACATAAAAAGGAAAACAAAACAGTTTAATTTTACTACTTACTATCCTTCTACATTTAGAGTAATTCAAAAACTACTTTAAAATGATGAAAGTAAAAGAAAGGAAATGGTTTCAGGTAGACTATTAAAATAAATAACAAAATATATTAGCCAAAGAAAATTTAACACTTTAAGTAAAACTTCAAGCACATTATAATGTGTTGTACTCTCTCTCTCTCTCTCCCCCGCTTTTACCCCCTTTCTGGGGTTTATATGTGTATATGCATTTCTTCCTTGTCTGTTCTTTAGAACACAATCAGTCTTTCTTTGGAAATAATGCTTTTTCTTTATTCCTAAATCAACGCAGGATCAAGGAGAATTTGGAAAACTGAAGCTAAATTAAAGGCCAAATACAGAAACTACTTTTATTTAGGTGAAGTTATATAGAAACAATGAGTCATGATATTGTTAAACTAACAGAATATAATAACTTTCTAAGGTTAAAAGAAATGAATGGAAACTCAAGTTAAAAAGACTTGGATTTCTTGGTAAGACTGGATATACACTTTTTTTTTATTGACTAGAAAATTCCATAGCATTACACTCAGCATATAGAAGCATGCAACAAATGTGAAATGTCAACTTCATTCTAATATCCACTAGTATATTAAGTAGTGGTATAATTTCAGTTTCCAACTCTAGGGAAAGATGTAGAATAAACAAACTATAGAGCTATAAGTATTTATGTCATATTGATATTTCTTCATCAATAGTTTATAATCACATTCTTCTAGATAAGCTTTTACCTTGTGTCATTTTCAACTAGGTAAACATGTGGACAATGAGAATACGTGTGATCTGTGTTTTCTCCAAGAATTCGGTAGTAAAAAATACAATTACCTAATAAAGAGATAATAAATCTCAGGATCAAGACATAATAGACAAATCAGAGATATGCAGAAGCAGAATGACTGTGGAAACCTTAAGAATTTAACGTAACCTTGTTTGAAAGTGTTAACGTATCCAAAAAGTCAGGGAGAAAGTTCCAAGTATCTAAAACTTTCGGATGTAAGGAGAGTGAAGGTTTGATGAACAGAGGAAAGAGGAAGAACAGCAGATTTAATGAAAATGATCAAAGATCTGGCACAATGGCAAGGCCATCCCTATTGTTGAAGGTGCATTTACTACAAATAACAAATTCTTAAAACTAGTTTGTTCTACTAACACGCTTATCATGATCTTTAAGAAAACTATTTGTCTTTCCACAAAGATTTATCTCTTTCTACAGGAAGAGAAATGTTTGTCATAAAGTGCTTCAGTATTCCGAACTTAGGAAAAATTATGCTTTTTAAAACTATAGTTTTGGATTCCAGTTAAATAGTTTAGTCTCCTGAACTTGGATGAAGCAAATCTACAACAGAGACATGAATTTTTGTGTGTGTGTGTGCGGTGGTAAAATCAGATTTACAAGGTTATAAGCTCTCTGATCATCAAATTTAATAAATATTCTGTAAGGCCCTTTGAGAGCCTTTCCTCTGAAGAAAGCACACTGCCGTACCTGTGAGTTCTCAGTTCAAATGCTCCTTTCTTAGACACTTTTTCTGACCATTGTAGGTATCTAAATTAGCTCATCATAGTCATTGTCTCTTATATCATGTTGATTCACTTTCTTCAAGGCATATACTGTCTGAAATAATATTTTCTTATTTTCTTATAATCTGTCTTCATCCACTAGTATATAAGTTCTAAAGAGTAAGGACATTGTCTATCTTGCTATTCAATGTATCTCCAATGCCTAGAACAATATTTTTTATGTTCCCCTTATAAATGTAATTTAATGTGGAATGAAAGTAAGCTAAAGGAAGTATGTCTAGTTCGTATAACAGTAATTTAATGAGAAGGATAGTACCTTAGCCATTTCATTGTGTTGAAAGATGTACTGATTCTGGGGGAAGAACAGATAATCAAATGATAATTTTGTTTGACCAGAAAGAACTAAGCAAAGATTTAAAAGTAGTTTTAGCGTATTACAATTTAGAAATATAGTAAATTTGACCATGTGCTGAGGAATTAAGTTGAAATAGAGAATCAAGTTATATAGCAAAACATGAATTCAATATGAAAAACTCTTGTCTAGAAGCCTTTATTTTTTGTTCTAGCAAACAGAAAATAATAAAACTGTTGCAAATAAAGAAGCAAAAAGGAAGGTGTTAATTCATATGAAAACCATATAGCACAAGATCTTAGAAATTTTTCTTTTCTTTTTGTCTTTACTTCACAGTAACTTTACCCAAATTTTAGGAAAAAAACAGATATTTTGATAATGTTTAATTGACATGGAACTGACAGGCTCCAAAGAGGCCACCACTAAAGCGCATTTCCTCCACATGCAACAAATACAGATAATTTACCACGTAGATTCCCAGACATTGGACAAGTGTCTGGGAATCTGGCAATAAACAAGTTGGGCTCTCCTACCTGCCTTCATGGAGTTTATCACCTGGAGGATTGTTATAAAAACAACAACTAAACATTTGTGACACCGTTATTCTACTCTTCTTAACAAAACTCAATCAGAATGTAACTGCTGAATAATTAACATCTAAAATTTCCAAAAAGATATTTAAAATAAGCTAACAAATTGAGTATATTTAATGCAATATTATGATGACGAGAAAGGAAAAAAAAAGTAACCATGCACAGGCCTCAGGGTGGGAAGACTTGGCTCATTGAGCTGGCTCTTTTATCAATCACTGAATAGCTCTGGGCAAATCATGAAATCTCATAGGCTTCTCCTTAGCAAAATGAGGAACTGGATAATAAAATCTTGAAAATGCCATCTAGACCTATGGATGGTTCTTTGATTATTTTTATTTTATTTTATTCATTTTATTTTTTTATTTTTGAGACAGAGTCTCACTCTGTCACCCAGGCTGGAGCGCAGTGGCATGATCTCTGCTCACTGCAGGTTCCGCCTCCCGGGTTCACGCCATTTTCCCGCCTCAGCCTCCCGAGTAGCTGGCACTACAGGCACCCGCCACCACGCCCGGCTAATTTTTTGTATTTTTAGTAGAGACAGGGTCTCACCGTGTTAGCCAGGATGGTCTCGATCTCTTGACCTCGTGATCCGCCTGCCTTGGCCTCCCAAAGTGCTGGGATTAGAGGCGTGAGCCAACATGCCTGGCCGATATATTTTATTTACACATCAAATTTACATAAAAACCAAAATAAAATGGGAATATGCAATAAAGAATGGTGTTGTGTGAGTACACAGACTTCTCCAAGGCTCTACTGATTCTTCAGTTTTGAAGAAGCATTGCAACTCTTTCTTCATGGCATCAGAAAAAAAATCATTGGCCACACGCAGTGGCTCACACCTGTAATCCCAGCACTTTGAGAGGGTAAGGTGGGAGGAATGCTTGAGCTCGGGAGTTCAAGGTCAGCCTGGGCAACATAGCAAGATCTTTTCTCTGCCTGCCAAAATTAAAAGAAATCAGCTGAGTGTGATGGCACATGCATGTAGTTCCAGCTACTTGATAAGCTGAGGTGGGAGGGCCACTTGAGCCTGGGAGATCTAGGCTACAGGGAGCCATGATTGTGCCACTGCACTCTAGCCTGGGTGACACAGGGAGATTCTGTCTCAAAAATTAAATTTAAAAATCATCTATTTAATCAACACTTTGCGCATCTTCTTTGAGAAAGATCACAACTGACAAGTGTTCTTGATGCAATTTATTTACCATTAATGACATGAATTCTACAAAGTAAATTTTATAAGAGGTGACTGTTCCCCAACCTGAGAGCTTTTATTGAGAATTTAGACATTACTTTAAAATTAGTCTTGAGAAGTTGTAAATCAAAAACCTACTACCTTAAATACCTAATTTTTCCATTTCCTTTGGTTTGTTGTTATAGGATTAGTATAAATGCTGAATTGGTGTCATTTGTGTTTAAACCAAACATTGATTTATTTGTGGGGAAAAGAAACAAGCGGTGGAATGTTGCAAAATTAAATAAAAAAATTTTAATGAAAAGCCTAAATCATTTCAAATAGTAAATTTTGATAATTTATTCCAAAAGTTTACTTTTTATGTAATCACCTGCCTTCCTAAGAAAGAATGCATGAACAAAATATAAAGTGGTAGTTTATTGTTTTGTTTTTATCAATTCTAAACTCACTCACTAGGAATGCACAAATAAATCAGTTAGATGGACAATAATGTTGAATAATGCTATGCATTTAAAAAAATGTTCGTAAGGCATTAAAGGGACTTATAGTTGGAATATACATATGCCCAGACACAAACACACAAACACTACTAAAATGCATTGGGGATGCTTCTTGATGTCGAGAAAACATAAGACTCCTTAATTTTAGTAAGTCCATCCAAATCTATTTAGTCTCTCAAAGTAAGCAATAGAAGAATTATAGTTTTTTTAGATTTTTTTCATGGTGTTGTTAAATTAAAAATTTTTTTCCTCTCATTTTTGTTGGCATTTTCTTTCCTTGTTTGGGCCAGAATTTACAAACAGGAAAGTAGAACTGTGAAGATTTTTTAAATAGTGGGAAAACAAGTTACCTAAGCTTCTTTAAATTTAAAATGAAAAGTTTTCTTTTCTAGTTATCAATTCAGTGCTTTTATTTTTAAAAAGAACCATGAAACCATTCTTTTTCCATTGCTCATCCAATTCTTTTCCTAAGGATAGTGAAGTTTTGTTATAATAGGATATGAATCTTAAGAAATTATTGGTTTATCCCACAACAGCTAGTGTTTCAATCATACCAGAAAGACATACTTCCACTTACAAATATTAAAAAACAAATTTTATATTCTTGGTAATAGATTTTAGGCAGTAAGTTCAAACTATTGTATGTAGCTATTTAAATTATAAAAAGTCCTTGTTTTAAACATACATTTTTCTTTTCAGGAATGATAATTACTGCTTAGATATTCCTTGGTAACCAAGGATTTTAAGAAAATCCTGGGAAAATAATCATGTAAATGGAAGAAAATCAAATCTGGAAAGGACTATTTTGTTTCTGTTCTAAAACATTTAATAAACACCCACTTTTCCATTGGTGGACAGAGTGAGACTCCATCTCAAAAAAAAAAAAAAGAAAAAAGAGACCTAGAAATCATAGTGCTTTTGTAGGAGATCAGTGTTCCTACTGTATCAATCACGTATTATTTTTCTAGAAGAAATTGTAACAATAGCGTAGGTATGCAACTATAACATCAAAGTATGACAAATCCACAAATGAGATACATTTGAAAGCCAAGTATTATAACATTTACTGTCTCTGAATTTTTATTAATATTTGCCTGACCCATTCTTGATTTGACTTGTATCAGCTAGGCAATGACCAGCATCACTGATTTTGGAGAAAAGTTATAAAACAAAAACTTAAAATTATGCAAATAATATCTATTAACATGTTTTTTTCTTTTTCTGAATTAGTTAAGGTTCCTGTTTCGAGTTTTGTAGTGAGTGAAATGAAAAGTTTACTGTGATCACAGTTGGAGAACTATTGATATTACCCACATAGTTGCTGTAAGCCAGAACAAAAAAGGTCAGAGGAGATTATTTTCTTCCATAAGCACTCTGCCAACAATAAACAGCTTTAGATAATTCACAGAACTTCTTTTGATCTTAGATGGAGGAAGGAGTAGAGTATGCATTAGAACCACATAATTTCTATACATCTTCAAATTGTAATTTAGAAGCATTAGATACTCATTAAAACTTAACTGTAGGTTTATCTCTGCACAAACAACTGATAAAACAAGCATTTAGGATATATGAAAGTAACTGGTATGATAAAGGAACTTAAGATTTTAAATACACCAATCGGAAGAGATCTGACATTCTGAAGTACCAAAGTCGTCTGCTCTGTGAACAAACTATTTAAAACAGTATGAAAGAATTTTGGTCTCACTTTTTTCCATTTTCAATTCCTTTGTGACTACTTAAAACAAAAGATTTAAACCGACTAATTTTATATTAAAGGGCAGTTAGAAACCTTTCTTTTCCATATCATTGGTTAAAAGAAAATTACACATTTTCTTCGATCCAAAATTTGCATACACGATGAACACAGTCATCTGAAATATATCAATAGCAACTTCATTAGAATCAAAATTACATTCCTTTCAAGTAACACCCATTGCTAACATAGAAATTTAAAGTCTTCAGTAAGAGAATATACTCAACTAAAACAGACTAGGAACATAGTGTGACATACTAGTCTATTCTGGAAACAAACCACAGTGATTGTTGTCGTCTAATCAATCAAAGAGACTTCAACTTAGTATAGGTTGATTAAAAAACTAGAAACATTATTGATGTTAGTTGTAAAGTAAAATAAGGGTTATAAAATTCATGACACTGTAGTTACAGGCTCAATGCTCATAACCATTACACATCAACTTTAGCAGAGATAATACATAGGAAAGTGAGAAAGTGCTCCTGCTTAGACCCGAGATGCTGCAGCAGAAGTAACAGGATCTGAGCAAAGAGTCTTATGAAATGAAGACAATGAGAAAGATACTGCTCATCTATTTATTTGATATTGGAATTTGAATATATATTATACTAGATATAACAAAAAGACTAAATACTAGCTAAACACAGGTGTGAAAGTGTTATTAAAAAGTTGTAGTATTCATTTTTATTATGGTTTATCATTTAAAAAAACAAAATTGGAGTTACAGAAAGACAAAGTTCAAAAATAAAAATAAATTTTAAAAGGCAGAAAAAGAAGGACTTGGAAATAAAATGAGTAGAAGGATTCAGGTCAGAGAGTAGCAAATGTAAACCTAAGGTTTAGTACAATTGCTAGGGCATCCTATTGTCCAGAGCTGTAAGAGAAACAGTTTACAGTTTTATGATGTCCATCAGATAAAAACAAATCAGTCGCACAGAAACAAGCTTTCTTAACACACAAACCTGAGTGAAAATTTTCCCATGGGTCCTCATTAATGGAACACTTGATTTGATTTAGTAAACTACGTGCTTGTAATAGCATTTTTTTTTAATGAACATTTCTTTTAAAATTCTTCTGGGTGGACTTACGAGGTAATGTCAAAGCACGGTTTAATAAAAGCAATTGTATAATGGCCTGGGAATGAAACATGATAAAGTTCTGTTTCATCCAGGGATAAAATTTAGAAACCTTTAGGTATGCTTGGACTTGGGGTAATCAGATATGAATATTCTATTTTGTAAGTGAGCTTTTGATAAGAATTTAACGGCAGAGAGTTCAGATTTTATACAATTTGACAAGAACACAGCAGAAATTCTATATTGTTGAATAAACTGATGAAATAAGTAATTTCATATTAATCAATATTTTAATATATATCAATTAAGCACATACCATGTGCCACACAGCATTCACTAGAAATGAATAGTATTGAATTTAAACAACAAAACAGATTAAGTACCAAAAAATTATACTGTTTCTGTGTTTATTATAGCTGAAGAAACCTAATACAAGATAAAAATAAATTTATTAAGGGCCATAGAGAATATTTGTAACCTATTCCTAAGGTCTGCCAATGAATCTTTTCTTCAGAGAGCAGAGCTGCCACATTTAAATAAAAATGTTGTCAAAACATAAGTATAAATCATAAATCTCCAGAACTGATATAAGAAATATGTATGGGCAAGAGCACACAGAAAAGAAAAGGAGGGCAGAGAAAAGAAAGAAAGAAAACTGAACGAGTGACTAGATCATAATGCAATCAAAGATTATCCATTTTCCTCCTTTAATTCTGATCCTTTCTTTGAAATAAAAAAAAAAAACATTAAATTATGTTACCATTTTCAAAGGCCATCTTGCCGTGTGCTTAACATATATTTTAATTCTGAGGGTAACAATGGTGACTGCCAACAATATCCAAGGAACATGCGTTTTTTTCCCATTCTTAGCAGTATTAACCTTTTAAGTGAGAGAATGGAAATCTTCCTTTTCTAATAAATGTGATCCGAAGGAGAGTGTGAACCAGTTTTATTCTATCTGCCTCTGGCCTATTCTTAAAGGAGAATATGTTTCTTTTTAGGATATTCTTTCAATTGAAGTATCACGTGTTTAGGGGCAAGGTCTCACGGAAAATATTAACCTAGATCTTGAAAGGCTAATTTCTTATTGTATTAATATAGCCAATGCTACCATTAAAATTCTCAGGATAATTTATCTGTCAAGTAAATACACTTTGAAAATATCTAGGAAAGAAAATCATATTTACAAATATGCCAACCTCAATTTCAAGTTTTATAAGGAGATCACAGAAAAAGGTAATAGAACACAAAATTACTTTTACTGCAGTTGAAATGCAACTAATAAAATCAGATCTTGATCTGGATATTACCAGATATATGTGAGAAAGAAAATAAGAAAAATAACCATGTACATAGAAACACTGATACATTTCATACTTTTGAAAAACAACAAATCTGTGCCTCAGGAAAATGTAACACTCCAGCTTTTTCAAGCTCAACCCCGCAAGTCCATTCTTAGAATAATTTGTATGGTAAATATCACAGAATGCTTTTTATAAGCACTATTAAGAGAACTATGTAAAGCAAACCTGTAACAAATCCTTACACTCTGCCTAAAGAGCATCAAATTCAGAAAATATGTTCATATAGAATGTACCTAACAATTTGGGCTCAATATGATAATCACTATGATAATAACTATAAAACTGAAAAACAAATGTATGAAATAGAACAACATTTGCTTTAATTTTTCCAGTTTATGTGTTCTACTTAATTGCCAGAAGACATTATTATTTCTCTTCATTTACATAATTTTCTGTGTTTATGTGAATTTTATTATTTCATAATCATATCTTAAGTGTCATGATTTGCAAAATATACATACGCATGTATTAAATATGAATAAAGTTTTCAAGAAAGGCATTGTTTTAGAAAATAAAAATTCTGTCAAGAACTCGATACCATACATTCAATAAATAATAGTGACTTTATGATGTCACACTCTTAATTCTGTTATTTCTTTCACAACCTCATTGTCCCTTCTTGCAGCGCCTGCCCTCCCTGGTACCTCTCACAACTCTCTCTCTCTCTCTCTCTCTCAATCTCTCACACACACACACACACACACACACACACACGAAAGTTCTGTGAACACTCCTTTCTTTTCAATTGATACATTTTCCACTATTGATCTTAACTATTTCTATTATCACTTCTATGTAAATTAATCCAGAATCATTCTACTTATGACCAGACTCATGTTTTCAACTGTCTCCTAAATACCTGTGATTGTCTTTCAGTTACAAGCCGGCCTATCCAGACTGTACCCTACTAATAAAAGTTAGTGTCTAGTTATTGAGTACAGACAAAGGGCCAAGCACAGTAATAGGCTTTTTCTATGCATGCAATCTCATTTAATATTTACACCCCGCTCTATAAGGTAGACAATTAATATTCCATTAAAACTGAGAAAATGTTGCCTACATTCTTGCAGCAAGTAATTGGCAAATTGGCATTTCAACTTGGGAAAACCCTAATTCTTCCATTCTTCCAATGTCCCTCATCTCAGTAAATAACGTTACCAGTCTAACAACTGCTGAGGATCAAAATTTCAGAGGAAATTTCTATTTTTTCCAACCTATCTACCAGTAATGAAGACTTGTTAATTACACAGAGGCAGCTTTTCTTAAGAATGGTTATTACCACAGGTGTAGAAGATGACAGGACTCAAGCTACACAAAACACTTTCTTGGGTCCAACTCCTGACTATGGAGTAATCATAATTACATATTCGGCTTCTATTGTCTCAGATATTGTTTTCCTGAACTATGCAAGTGTGCTTGAATTTCCAGTTGTTTTTGTTTTTAGAAACAGAGTCTCACTATGTTGCCCAGGCTGGAATGCAGTGGCTATTTGCAGGTGCAATCATAGCATACTACAGCCTCAAATTGTAGGGCTCAAGGGATCCTCCTGCCTCAGCACCCGGAGTAGCTGCATAAGCATGTGCCACTGCACGGGCTTTAGTTGTTTATAGTGGAATGAGATAATTGTGTTTCAGAGCATTTCAGCTGCAGTGTTCAATGGGCTGACAGGTATCCTGCAGACATAAAGGCCATAATGTACTATGGAAATTTCATTGCCAAGTTCCTTATCCACAACCTGCATTGTTGTGAAGGTATATCACATACTAAAGTTCAGACCAATTAGACTACCACTTTAACCAATAAAAAAAATCAGAGAAGATGAGATCTTATAAATTTGATCACCCACTTACTTTGTTTATATGAATTACTGAGACTCAGTAACTTCTAAATTGTGGTTGATGTGGTTCTTTAAACATAGTTTATAATAAGTGAAATACTGAAACTCCCAAGGTTTGACAAATAGTGAAATTAAAAAGTGATACCTATTTCAAATAAAGTATTTGAAATAGGTATCACTTTTTTGAAATAGGTATCACTTTTTAATTTTACTTGTATATAGAATACCTATAGACAAGACTGACTCTAGCAAAAATTAGTAGGGGATATAGAGTAAAAATATTAAATTATCTCTTTCTAAGATTTATTCTTTAATTTTAAAATCAAATTTATTAATCAGGGAAGATTTTTAAATAGTATCTAAGTTTTCATTTTTATATGTGAAAATTATAATATAGAAAGTTATTTGCAGGTGTCAAACGTGTACACAACTATATAGAAAAACTTTATTGTAAAGTGCTGATGAAAGACCAGAAGGAAAGCTTAGAATGTTAAGTATAGGGAAGAGATTGAGAGAGTGTCTACAATGGGAATATAGAATAGAGATACGAAAACCCCACAGTCAACTGAGGAAAAATAGTAATGACCCATCATTTCACACATGGGGATACACATAACTAAGGCGATAAAAATCTCGGACAGGCCAGGCACAGTGGCTCATGACTGTAATCCCAGAACTTTGGGAGACCGAGGTGGGTGGATCATGAGGTCAGAAGTTCGAGACCAGCGTGGCCAACATGGTGAAACACCATCTCTACTAAAAATACAAAAATTAGCTGGGTGTGGTGGTGCATGCCTGTAATCCCAGCTATGCAGGAGGCTGAGGCAGGAGGATTGCTTGAACCCAGGAGGCAGAGGTTGCAGTGAGCCGAGATCTTACCATTGCACTGCAGCCTGGGCAATAGAGTGAGGCTCTGTCTCAAAAAAAAAAAAAAAAAAAAAAAAAAAAAAAAAAAAAAAACTTGGACAAAGCACTGCGATATGGAGCAGTTTCAGATGCTGCCAAAGAATTCCTTGGAAAACAACTGTATTGTCTGTATGTGATGATTTAAACTGCTTTGACCTCATCATCTGTTGTGGTATCTGTCTTTCGAGCTGAGAAGTCTTGCTCTTACTTTTGCTTTCTTTTCAAAAAATATTTTACTGTCCTGGATGAACAGAAAGAAATCAGTGACTAGTTGAAGACAACTCACCTCTTCCTTCTGTTCTCTGTCACTAAGTAGTCTTAAAGGTAAAACTGGCTAATATTATAAAGAAATCTACTGAGACCTTAATTAAGGTTTTCGAAATTTGGACTTGATAGTCAAGACAAAAAATTTCAAGGATAAAACCTGGAAAATAGAGGAGAGACCTAAAACGTTTTTCATGTAAGACTTTCACCTAAGGATTTTCGAACTTCCTCTGAAATTACAGTAATCTTCCTGTAACTATAAATTCTCCTCATATGAAAATAAGTAGATATACATTTGTATATTTTTCATCACTGCAAGAATTCTTGATAAAATATATGCGAATCATGAATGACTACAAATTTTAAAGTAAAAAAATTGGTAGTTACAGTGTAAGCCATTTATTTAACATGCATTTATTAAGTGCCTACTCGGTGACATACACTCTGCTAGGCCTTTAGGGTGAGGGGCAGACACTAAAATCAGTACATTAGCCAAAAGTAGCTTATAAAGAAAATAACCCTTGAAAATAGCTTTATTTACCCAGAAGGTACAATATGTATTTTGTAGTACCCAACCCTAAAGAGTAACTTTTCAGCACATGAATATTTAAGAAGAACTATACTGGACTGAAGGAAAAACAAATAAAACTATTCTGTATTTTATGGGGTATAGGTGGGGAATTCTAAAAAGTGCCTTTCTGCAGAATTTGCTGAATTGCTTGACGCAAATTTAGGGTAAGCAAGATCATGTTGTGTGAAGATTAAGCAAAATAGTGGGGAAGCTCTAAGAAGCCAGGTTCCGAACTTAACACAAAAATTAAATGTCCATATATCATAACTACAGGGTACAGCCAGAAGCAACATAAACCGGATCTCTGTCTTCAGAGCTGGACCAGACAATGGTGAAGTAAGAAAAGCACCAAGGTGCAAAATTTAAGCAGGCATTCACTCTTGAGGTAGCACACTGTCAACTCTTCTGTATTTTCAAGACACTGAGAATGCATTCCTTCTTAAATTTTGTCACCTAGGTACTAGCAATTTACACTAACTTTCCCAAGAGACAGAATGGTTCTCCAGGTCTGTTACCATCACAGGGTATGGTGACTATGGCATATTTGTTTTGTTACAGATAAACCTACAAAGATGTATACAGTTTTTCTTTATAATCCATCATTGAAATGTTTAATGTAATATGAATTAACAAGAATTTCATTGAAACCAGAGAGGAAAAATATTTTAAAAGTTTTATCTAGATAATCCTCTATTTTAATATACTCCTATATGATATGAAGAGTTTTATTGATTTTCTCTTTAATTGGTGTGCTGTTTACTGGTTTATTTTAGTGAACAGAAAAATAAGTATTTATACGCATATTTACCTAATACTTATTTACTTAAATAAACGTTTATATAGGTTCACTTATAAATCTTACTCCCCATAAAGTCTTATTTGGCAAATTCTCTTTAGAGTTTTCAAGAATATAATCTTAGAGTTGATGTCAACATATTTTTTCACAGATCTTGTAGTCTAGCAGCTACTATATGTACCATTGTCTCCCAGTAGATTGTAAACTACTGGGTTAAATGAAATGACATAAGGTAACTGCCAAAAATGATAGTACTATTCTTTATTTTTTACCTCCAGCAGGGTTAGAGGTAGAGCCTTACTTATTTTAGCATTCCCTCCAAAAGATATGTCTATCATATAGTAGTCATTTAATCAACGTAGCAAAAACAAAAACGCAATGTTTACAGATGATACTTCATGTTCCTTGTAAGAAGAACGTTTAAAAACTATTTCTGTAAAAATATACAAATAATTTTTTATTTCATCCTTTTCATAAAAGTATAGCTGTGAGCTACATATGTTCATATATTCTGCTGATACAACAGCTGATTACCTTAGGACTAGTTTAGGTCTACAAAAGAAAATTTCATTTTTATAGTACTGGCATTAAAATAGTATCATTTCTTAGTCAAATAAGTCACATTTAGATTTTCCTACAGATGTTAAGCATCTCAATGATTTTTAAAGTGTACTATTTTAGATTAGAATTTTTTTTAACAATTCCGCTAATATATTAAAAATTTAATAAATTTATTTCTAACAAAAACACAATAAGAAATTCTCCACAGTAAACTGGAATAACATCCAGTGGCTACGGCTCTTGAATTTAAAGTTTTACTGGCAGATTTGACCATGAGGATTCATGTTGCAGTATCTTAAAAGGGATAGGTTACATGACACCTAACATAGTTAGGATTTCACCTCTTCCTAGAACAGAGTAGCCCTTTGAATTTTCTGGAAAATGGGAGGAATCAGTGTAGGTGGCACTGAAAATAAGAGTAGTGCATTTTTAAAAACGGTAGATTCAAAATGGAATCTTTTACCATTGACTTTTTTTTTTTTGATGGATGGACTTGTATAAGATTTTTCAAAGAACACAGCTCATAAAAAATTCTGGCAACAGATGCTCTAGAGACTCATTCTGTTTATCACAGAAAAGTTATATTACGACTTTAAATACATTTTCCCCTTTTCTGTACCTCAACTATGTTCCTCAAATTTTACCTTTTTAGACTACCTTTGGATTTCCTTTTAACAGAGTTGACAGAAGCTCCTTTAAGTCTTGCCTTGTGGCTAAATTGAGCATCAGATCGAGCCAAATGTGAGGGTGGTTTTTGTGATGTGGGATAAGCACGTATGTGAGTGTGTGAGAGTGTGTGCTCATGTGTATGTGCCTATTAACTGTTCAAATAATCCGGGAAAACAGAAAAAATGCTGAATGGGAGTTTTGTGGGTAGGACTAGCCAGGCAACAGAGCCTTTGCTGTGTATCAGTTAGTGAATTTCCAAAGGTTGCTGCTATACAATGAAGCTACAGTTTACAGACAGCCACCCTCAGGAGAATGTGTGTTTGTGTGCACACATATGTATGTATATGAAATATAAAATTATTGTAACATCTCTATTGATTACCATTTTCTCTTCCTGGAAACAATCTTCAAAGAATGAACCTTTCTGGTATTTAAATTACTGAATAGTATTTAACTAATAAACAAAAAATATTCTGAAGTCTGGGCGACAAGGTCAAGAAAACGGGTGTAATTTAAGAGTCTGAAACCTGCCTGATGTGCAGCTGTCATTCAGCCACATAAAGGGGAGTCTAGAAAACCTCTAACTGTTACTTATTGATACCCAATCTTTTAAAAAATCCTTTTAACTACAACTCAGTTATGATGAACACTTTTAAATTATAATGAATCCATGGTGTTTAGGACTCTAATTACACAGTGCCACTTCATTCAAAGTCCTTTTGCCTAAAATCTTGCCTGGCAGCTGAATTCTTTCTTACTTAATAGTAAACATTGCAATGTAACATTGAACAAAGCCCTGCAGAATCCAATAAGATGGTGATGGTCAATGGAGAAAAGCAGGGAAAGTAAATGTATCATTATTCTAAAGACCTGTAAGTATCCCTGGAGGATAAATTTCAGGAAAAGGGTAAAAGAGAAGTACATTTGAATGAGTAGTTTGAATTTCATAAGTTAACAGCAGTCAAAGGTCACATATTCATAGCTGAGTTGCATAGCTAATGCTTAAAAATCATATCAAGGAGTTTAATGACACTGAAAGCTGTAGAACAAGCAGGCACCAAATATAAGTATCACTGGTGGTGGAATTTTCATATTCTACTGGGCCTTACTAGGAACTAGGTAGGAGGAATTAAGTCTGGATTAAATTCTCAAACTGTGTTTAGCTTCTAAACTGTGTCTCCTAAATGAAGACCAATTGTTCCTAACTGCAAAATTATAGGGTTTTACAATTCTAATGCATGAAAAAAACTAACTGAAACTACCTAAACAGATCACCAATATAGTGATTTCCATTCTAATATAGTGTATTTACTCATTCTTATATAGTGGTGCGTATATATGTGTGTATATTTAAACATTTTTTCACATTGCAAAGCCTTAAGACAAAATATATTTATAAATTTATATATAAATATATATAAATATTTATATATATATTTATATATATATATACTCAGCAGAGCTAAGTTTGATGCTCTGCTCCACGCTACTGCACAGTAGGTATTTTTATTTAAACATTTAAGGGGGAAATTAGTAACTATTTTTATATGTTGAAAATCAAAACACGAGTCCATCTCCAACGTAAAATCTGAAAAAAACACAGCTTCAAAGTAGCCTTAATTAACACTAATACACTTTATCAATTCAAATCATATAACTAGAATGGATTCCTGACACCCTCCTCTTCTTTTGGTACCTTAACTAGTTGAACTCTTGAAAAATAAGAGTATCATTTATTTCAGACTAGGTATTGGTACAATCAGATTAACAGAGATACTTAAACCTGCAGGGTTTCTCTTTAATAATTTTTGGGCAGTGGTTCAAATACCTGCTTTAAATGTATGAGGATATACACAGATGTATCTTGGCCATATAATATGCTTTTATTAACTCCACCAGGCTATGTGGGTCGGTTGAACAATTTCCTAAGTTATGAAGCAATGATGAGACCACTGAGTCACCCTCTACTTGAGTTTTTGGCTATAAATAATCCTGAAAGACAGACTTCAAAGTGATAACTCTTCGGCATTTGCACCCCTCTCGCCCTTCCACAAAAAAGAAAAAAATCCATATCCTTAGAGTAGGTCCTAATGGATCCCAGGAAAAGAGCTCCAGGAGTGAGAGCAAATGCCACGTACCTATATGATTTTGGATTAAAAATTCTGGGATAATTCCTGAAGCCCCTAAAAGTTTGGGACTGTTCTAAAGAAGTCTGAAATTATAAGAAATATTTTATGCTGGGCTGTAAAGACATTTCATTTCTCTGCTGTGTTTGAAAGCTTCCAATAGCTTTCACTTCTTTCCGTAAAAGATAAAGCTATGCGCTAGCCTTCGATACTGTACAATGTAGCCTCTCTTTACCTCTCTCAACTTACTACCTCCTAACCTCGCCTCAGGTTATTTCATTCTAGCTATACTGGCCTCCTTGCTGTGCTTCAAAACTGTCAGGTCCTTTGTTTTTTTGTTTTGTTTGGTTTTGTTTTTTGTTCTCTTAACTGGAATGATCGTCCCCCAAATATCTGCATGATTCATTCCCTCAACTCCTTCAAGTCTTTTGTTCAAATGTCATTTTCTCAGGATGGATTTTTACATTTATCTTTTCCTATCATTCTCATTCCCCATCTCCTGCTTTATTTTTCCTATATTGCTTATTGTTATATGGCAAACTATATATTTTACCTATTCATTATATTTTTAATCTGATTACTCCCACTGGAGATACAAAAACATAGGCGTTTCTATCTTGTCCACTGCTGTATCTTCTGTACCTAGAACACTGACTTGGCATTCAACAAACATTCACTGAATTGAATTGTATCTAAGGACCTAATAATTTGTGCTGCCTGAAAAAAATACAAAATTCTTATTTTTCTCTTTCCTATGATTGCCATTTGAAACACTGCAAATTAAGGGCACATACTCTTTTAGTAGTTTTAGAGGCAGAGACTTACATGGCAAGTCTTAAGTTTGGGTATCCTTCATTCTTTGGTTAATCTCACTGCATATAACTTTATAGATGCATACAGAGTTACACATGTATACTCATGCATATAGCAAATATAGGTTTACATTTACACACACATATATAATAGCAATATCCCATTTTTATTCCTAAAATGGCAAAAGAACCAAAAAAAAAAAAAAAAACCAGTTCTCTCTTACAACACACACACACACACATTTAAGTTTAAATTTAAAGCTGTGACCAGTCATTCTTGTCACTCAATGGTCTATAACTATTTCTACTCTCAGGACATAACAAAACATAAAACTGTATTTTAAAAAAACTTGATAAATTTGAGATTACTAAAGTAATATAGAACTCTGTTAAAGCAAGTAAATTATTGAGACTCATATTAGAAACATACTAAAATTATTTGTAAAGAAAATTTGATCTGTAAAAAGCAAATATACATGTACATTTTCATAACAACCCTATTGTATACAATGAGGTATGATGGTACTGTTTAGCCAAAATAGAAACATCAACATTATTAATTTAAAAACCAAGATTGGTTCATGAAAATTGTCATCGTACTATAATTGGAAGACTTCTTCCCTCCTGCTCAACATAGTAATACTTACAAAAGGTCCTATCTCTTTAAGAGCTTTTTGGGGGTTCCACTCTCCTCTTCCCCACACACAGAAAATAAGGGAGTATTTTGGTGATATCAGCCATTTTATATTGTTTTCTTCCAGTAGATAAAGGTTTAAAGAACAAAGGTTAAGAATGTATAAGCATTCTAACTTATTCTTGTTCATGGATTTGGTAGTGCTGATACTAACAATGATGCTGTAATAACAGGGTAATAACAAAATCTGTTTGAACATTAGAGTCAGCACCTTCCTTCTAATGCCCATTAATTCATATGATGTGATGTGAATTATCTTAAAATGATAATGAGTTTCTGAAGTAAACACTATATCCTTTCTCCCTAACAATGTAGCCAAATCATTCTAAGATGCTTGATGTGTTTCGGGACAAAAATATTGTAGGCACACCCTACCCATAGTGACTATAAAATGGGTAAACAGTGAAACCCTCAGCAGTTTCAGCTAGGGTTAAAGTATGATAAAGCAACCAATATCCGAAGTGAAAACATTCTACATAGGGAGGATTTCTCCAAGAGAAATTTATACTAGAAAAATTCATGTTAATGTCCATACTAAAATGCTTATTTCACAATAAGTTTGGTCCTCCTCAACTAATACTTTTTTGCCTCCATAAAGTACACAATAAAGAAAATATTTTCAGTATTATTAATACTAACAAAATTTATCCAAAATAAAATTACAGACAGTGTCCTAGAGGCAAGATTAAGCATACCATATTACAGACCTATGCTCTTTTCTGCTTGAAACAACTATATGAAATTTTAACAACTTATTTATTTTATCTGTGAAGATTTAGAGTTAGACATAATGCATTTCACAACAGGTAATAACCTAGATTAATTTTCAATAATGTAAGTTCAATGCCAATCTTCCAAAGATATTGAGCTAAATGTAAATGTTTAAATAAAATATGTCATTGGCTCAAATAACAGTGTACTTGAAAGACAGCCGGAATATTCTTAGAGTGATATCTAAAATGTCATTGAGTGCTCATGGTTGAGATGCTAGTCCAGGAGTCAGTCAAACACAGCCCATGGGCCAAATTCTACCAGCTATGAAAACAGTTTCAACATTTTTAAATGGTTGAAAAAAAGAAGAATATTTTACAATATGTGAAAACGATATAAAATTTACATTTGTGTCTATAAGTAAAGTTTTGTTGGAACACACACAAAAATAAATTAACAAAATGTCAATGAGAATAATGGAGGGTATAGTGATACTTTCTTAATTCTGATAGGAAACCCTGATAAGGTTTGCACAAAATTATGTTAACCCAATACCCAAACACACTAACTCCATACATATTTGCTAGCATATGAATGAAACACTGTCAGATAGATGAACCAAAGGAATGAACACAGTGTGCAAAGGATGCTTAAAACGTACATGATGATGACTAGTGAGAGACGGTAATATTTCAAAATTGGGACATGAATGATACAACGTTTAGGTATCACTCTTTAAAATTTAAAAAAAAAACAACTTTGGTATAGAAATGGGCTAAGCAGCTACACCACTAAACTGTTAATATAGATGAGGAACAGAAAATTTTATTCTATTTCCATTTACACCTGTCATATTAAATGCTCCTCTAAAGTACTACATTTGGGGGAAAAGAGCCTTGCAGCTGCTCACATGGAAAACTATGTTTACAATAGTAACAGGTCCGAAAGAAGGTATATCATGAAATAAACCATTATTCTCATTAGAAATTCCATTAACAACACCATATATATAGCCTTTACCTGTTTGCTTATCTGTCAAATTGAGACAATCCTACCTTATAGGATTGCAATAGGAAATTAGATAATGAAAAGCATTTGGTCACCTGGAGAACTTGTTAAAACACAAACATACTGAAAACCACTCCCTGTTATTTTGAAACAACCAGTAGTAGCGCACTGGGCCAAACCTTGAGAGATGCTTCTCAAGGAAAACACTATACTGTTGCAGCCCATTCCTCTTCGGATGTATTTTCACAAAACGCAGATGAGAAGCCATACTACGAATAGGAAGTCTTGTTACTTGTCTGTCCCTTGGCTCCTAAGGCAATTTTACATCACCCAGGCCTAGTGACAGCATTAACAGCAAAATCCAGTGCATAGGACTTATTTGCCAAGATAAAACTGGAGACCTGTTTTAATTATGAAACATTGGTCTATAAGAAGACAGGGTGAAGGAAAAAGGGGACCAATAGAAGAGAAAGAAAAGGAGCCAAAGAGAACATGAACAAGGAATAAGAAAACAGTGTGACAGTTATAAGGCCTTCCTTCAATCTTCCAAACCCATTTAAACCTGCAGTTTTTTAAAGGTGGCAATCAAAAGATGGTAATAACTGAACCACAGTGAACCCCTGGCTTATCCAGTAGATTATCTATCATGCTAAAGACCAAGGAAGTGAGCCCAAATTTCCATCTAAATGATTTCCTTTCCTTTTACGTACATTTTGTGAGTAAAATTTTAAAAAGTAGCTTAATGTAGTCAAATATTAGGATATTAGATTTCCCACCTTTTATATATAAAAATGTTCTTTTTAGCAAAGCATGTATTATTGTTCCTAGGATTTTCTCCACTTTTTAACATTATTAATACTAAAATCTATTTAATTTTTCAGTTAAGTACTATTACATAAATTAAATGTAATAGCGCTTGGATTTGGATTCCAACCCTACGGTTGACTTCAGATGTAAATTTTATTCATGCTTTCAGTTACACTTTTATTGATAAGTTGTATAGTTAGGGGAAACAAACTAGAGATTTTAGCTACTTCACCATCTTGACTACTACTGTTTCTTAACAGTCCTATAGAAAGAGGATTGACAACGTCAATTCAGAATTTACAGACGTCCTTCAGAATTTACATATCAACTATTAAAATATGAAAGTCTTTTTCTGGGAAATGCATGCTACAATTATAGAATAAAATTAAAAATATTACACGTAGAACAAACTTTACGGAACATTTAATTCTTTTCTTTTTCTTTCTTTCTTTCTTAATTTTTTTGAGACGGAGTCCCACTCTGTTGCCCAGGCTGGAGTGCAGTGGTGCGATCTCGGCTCACTGCAAGCTCTGCCTCCCGGGTTCATGCCATTCTCCTGCCTCAGCCTCCCGAGTAGCTGGGACTACAGGCACCCACCACCATGTCCAGCTAAATTTTTTTTTTGTGTATTTTTAGTAGAGACGGGGTTTCACCTTGTTAGCCAGGATGGTCTCGATCTCCTGACCTCGTGATCAGCCCGTCTCGGCCTCCCAGAGTGCTGGGATTATAGGCGTCAGCCACTGCGCCCGGCCTTTTCTTAATTTTTAAATCACATGAGACCCAACTCAAAGTTTTATAAGACAGCAAGTCTATGGATATGCACAATGAGACTTAAATTAAAAATACTAGCCATCCCATTCGTTGTAATTTTTTTTTTTAACCAATTTTGGAGTCTTATATCCCAAAATTTGACACATTTCTAAACACAGCTTGCTTATGGAAATCAGCATAGCTTGTCTGTGTGATTATCCTCAATACGGAATTGTGACACCCTCTAAAAAAATCTACCTTAACCTTTATATCTCCCCAGATATGATAGATGATATCAGCTATAATTGTTTTGTAAAATATATTTCTACAATACATTTCAATACAATCCATATAAACATCCTCCATGGGTTTATATGTCATATTAGGTAAAAGTGGAAATACCCCATACGTAATTATCTTAACTCTGCAACTCACATAATTTACCATCTTATTGTGTCCCTTTATGTGTCCGTAGTCTTGCAGTCTGGCTTCTGATCCGATTAGTAACTGCCTACTTCTCAACCACACTACAGAATATTAAATTGTTAAGCATTGCTACTCCCGCCCCTCTTCCCCAACATTCTCCAACATTCCTAAAACTACATTCAATCTTAACTTTCCTGAAATTATTATTTCCTTGTTTTCCTTTTTCACTAGGTATTCTCTTGGACTCTTCCTCCGAATGTGCCAGAATTAGCTTCTCTACAAGATTCCATCATGCTTCTCTAAATTCTCTATCACAATCTCTCCCACTAAAGCACTTCAACTGTCATTAGTATGTGAATGGTTCACTGATTCCTATGTCCTTTCTTGACCTCTTTCAAGTTCTAATTTCTTATTAACTACTTATTTAAGCATCTCAGTATGGCCCACTGTTACCTCAAAATCACTATATCCAAAAGAGGACTCATTATCTGTCCCAACAAGAAATCAGCTCCTACTCTTTGCTCTCTTACAACAGTTAATGGCACCTTTCTTTCACAAGTCATTTTGCATCTTTAACTTCTCTCTGTTTTTATCTTCACATACCATCTGTCACCAAGTCCCATTAATTTTTATCCTTCAATATTTCTGAAATTCTTGCTCTCTTCTCTATTTGTAAAGCCAAAAACCCCATTTAGCTCTTGATTTTTCCCTATTCTGATAGCCTACTAATGAATTGCCCTACCTTTGATCCATAACTCTTTTATAAAATATTTAATACTAATCTGCTATCTACCAAATACTGTATTAGCCTAGGAACACAAAAATGAAATGACATAGTCCCTGCCCTCCAGAAATTTATAGTCTAGTGAAGAAAGAAATTGTGAAATAGTGTGATTAAGTGCTGTGAGGTAGAAACAGTAAATCTTATGTAAGCACAAAAAAAATGAGCACAGACATATCATTTCTAACCAGGCTGACAACCATAAGAAAGTCCTTCCCAGAATGGGTTTTTTTTAGCTGAATTTGAAAAGACACATGAACCGCATTCCAGAAAGTGAGGGGTTAAGAGCTTTCATAAGGATGACACAGCATGAATAGAATCTCATCTGTGTGATTAACCGTAAAGTCCACAAAATCTCAGATGCAGATATCTGTTCAGGTAGTTACAGACATCTGTTCAGATACAGGACAACAAAAAGTTATAGGTTTTGTTTACATTTTATCCATTTAAAAATAATTAATAAGTATTCAACAATTCCTCATCAATTCCCTTATTCAATGAACAAATATTAGGCAATGATCATATTTGGAAGTCAAGCTATCTAGTAAATAAACAAGCTTCTTAAGCCTCAATACTCTCAAAATCTCATGGAAGAAATAAATATTACAAGGAATAGAGTAAAATACAAATTCTATAAAGTAACAGAAATATGGGTGGCTGCATCATATTAACGTGAGGTTAACTGATCACACTATAGTATCTCCAATCTGAAATTCCATTTAAATAGAAAAAAATCCATAGATCCATATCTATAACAGCATATCCACTGTGCTACTGTTTGTTTGGTTATTGTTGTTAGTCAAAGGAAATTCCAGTAAGTGTGTGGCCAGGAAGAATAGGCAATGAGAAAAATGGATTGTGGAACAGAACTCTGATCAGATCACACCACTGCTGGAAAATCATCAATAGCTTTTCAGGTCCTAACCCATAAAGTTTCAACTCTGTAGCCTGGCATTCAGGGCTTCTCAATCCTAACCTCTCTCCATGTGGAATCTAATTTGGTTTCCTTTTCTCAATTTATTTGCCCTACATCCTCAATAATTATTTATTATCTCTGATGGTACCCGATGCATTTTAACCTCTATGCTCTTAGTTGAACTATTCATCCCAACTCAATCTCTCCAGATCCAGCCCTGGTGTCCTCCCCTGATGGAACTACTGACTGACCACCTTCGATGACTAATTTGAATACCGTTTTCTCCTTAAACTCCTCCTTCATCACTCCATCATGAAATAATCCACTTTGTTTCTGATTACGATATCTGTACCTTTCTTATGGAATTTATTATTTCCTGATATTTAACATTTTCTCTATTTACCTATCATTGTTTTATATATATATATATATATATATATATATATATATATATATATATATATATATTCCTTTAAAAAATCTTCAACATAAAAATGTAACTTTCTATGTGACAAGGTTGGCACCTTACTTGTTTTCTATGAGAGTGCTTTGCATGACTAGACGTTTTTTTAAAAAAATCTGTGGAATGAAAGAAGGAATGAATGAACTCATTCATTACATCATAATTCATTCATATTAACTGTGCTCATCACATGTTTTGAACTTGTGAGAAATAATATAGTGTAATAGTTTAAAAGCTAGCTTTGTGCTGGATTATCTCTGAGATAAAATCCTGCTTTTACTAACCTTGTAAATGGGCAATTTATTTAGCCCATTTAGACATCAGTTTTTCTATCTATAGTGGTATATGTTGATGCATATGTGTGTGTGATATATATGAATAATAAATAAATAGGCATATATTGGTAAATAGAGTAGTTGCAAGGATTAAAAGTGCTAAAAGAGATAAAACATGTAAAGCGCAATGCCTGAAAAAAAAACATATGCTCAATAAATGTTATCTACTGTTATCAAAAAGTAGCATCACTAAGGTTAGTACAACCTTTCAAAGTAACCAAAATTATTTTGTTCTGCTTCTTTTATTCCTATTCCCAACCATTAAAAGAAAAAAAGAAAATGGTTTATGCATTTTATACAACCCAAACACAATGTGTCAGAAATCTAGAGGACAGGAATCAGGATGGTCTATACAAATATATATGGCCAAACACAATATGTTAGAAATCTAGAGGACAGGAATCAGGATGATCTATACAAATGTATACGGCCAAACAGTAATTCAGAACAAAGTCAAACTTATCATCTAAGTGAAAGTTTTAGCAATCAGAAAATTTTCTATATACTGTTAACATTTCCTTCACATTTTACAAACTTCAGCTTTAATATTTGACTGAATAATTTGCTGTATGTGTAAATTTTGGTATGTGCCCAATTAGACAAAGTATGCTGTGAAATGTATTTGTTCATTACTCTTCTAGGGGTAGTGCAGATATAGACAGAATACATACTTAGGTTATATCAAATATTATTTCAATTTATAAAATTAGGAATATGCTAAGATTTAGATGATCAATTTTATGAGTAACTACATTTTTTTCTGACAAAACAAACATTTTAAAAGTGGCAATTCCTCTCAATTCTCTTTCTGCTTTAACTTACAATAATAGCCTTAGAGAGCTAAAGAAAAGTAAGGATCTTCCATTTCCCCTCTCAGTTTTGTTTTTAAATTTCCATTAGCCTTCTACAGTTCAATGAAAAAAATCAGCCTTCTACACTGAAACCTAACATTTCTCAACACCACTGCTAACAATGCCATGAGAAAGCATTAGGACAAGAATATAAAGGACAACCCTGCCTAACAGAGGCAAGGTCAAGAAGCACGCATCAACACCTTCTCCTCCCCAATCTGGAGCACTGAAATGGGAGGACTAGCTTTGGCTACAACACTCTGCTCCTAACAGGTGGTAGAGACATGTTTAACTCTGGCATAAATACAAAGAGTACAACTTTACTCAAACATTTCTTTTGATCTTTCTTTGGTTTATAGCATCAGATCAATGTAAAATGTAAACCAAAGACTGAGGTGCTATTTTACAATGTAAAATTTATCCTTTTTCCACTAAAAAAAAAAAAAAAAGAAAAAAAAAACTTTTCCTAAAACAAGAAAGCATAGCATCACAGAATAGTGGAGTGGAAAAAAAAAAAAAGACAGGGATTTATTAAGTTGCAGTCGTTTTTGGCTTTATTTTTAAAACAATAATAGTGTTGGAGAATAGAGCCACAGTCCCAGTAAGAATAGAATACAAGGTACAATGAAACATCTATAAACCCTCTAAACTTTTCCAGTCACAAGGTACTATAATTTTCTTCATGCCTACAATAGGCAGGATCAGCATCTTTGGGCGATAAAATGACTTTCAGGGACAGGTGAGCATTTTCTGCTACAAGGAAGAAGAGTGTGTTTGTTTTTTGCAATCTTTTCACCTCCCTTTCAGCATGATTTCTAACCTTTTCTCCACTTTCAGATATCTACCCAGAGCCTTGTGGCCAGCTTTTGGATGGCCAAATTTCCCAGTTAAAAGTCCACTTAGTTGGAGTGCCCTATATCAATGTTTCCATGAAATCAAAAATTATGTATTCTTCTTTTACACACCAATATTTAATTTTATGTGACATCAATTTAAACTCATACCGTGATTAGATTAATTCATAGCAATCTAGAAATGGTCAATTGGCCCATCTATCCATTTGTCTTTACATTTTTAGAGTGTTATGGTTCGATCTGTGTCCCTCGAAGGATATGCGAAAATTCTAATACCCAGCGACTATGAATGTAACCTTACTTGGGACACTTCATTAAGGTCTTTGCAGATTTAGTCAAGTTGAGATAAGGTCATTAGAGTGGGTCCTATGGGTCCTAATTCAGTATGATTGAGTTCCTCAGAAGAAGGTGGCCATTTGAAGACTCAGACACACAAAGATAAAAAAATCACAAGATAACAGAGGCAGAGATTAGACTGATATAGTTGCAAGCCAAGAAGTATCAAGGCTTGACAGTTATTACCAGAAGCTATGAAGAGGTAGGAAGGATGCTACCAAAGGTTTCAGAAGGATCATGGCTCTGCTGACAACTTGACTTCAGACTTCTAGACTCTAGAACTGTGAAAGAACAGAAATTCCATTTTTTTTTTTTTTTTGAGACAGAGTTTTGCTGTGTTGCCCAGGCTGGGTTGCAGTGGCACAATCTCGGCTCACTGCAGCCTCCGCCTCCTGGGTTCAAGTGAATTCTCCTGCCTCAGCCTCAGCATCCTGAGTAGCTGGGATTACAGGTGCCCACCACCATGCCCGGCTAATTTTTGTATTTTTAGTAGAGATGGGGTTTCACTATGTTGGCCAGGCTGGTCTTGAACTCTTGACCTCAAGTGATCTGCCCGCCTCGGCCTCACAAAGCGTTGGGATTACAGGTGCAAGCCACTGCATCTGGACAAAAATTCCAATAGTTTTAAGCCACCCAGTTTGTCATACTTTGTTAGAGTAGTCCTAAGAAACTAGTACAAAGAGCATATTATTAATTCAAATATCTCAATAGTTACCAGAATATGTGCAGAATATATGTTTGAGCAAGGCATCCTTGTTTTCCCTTCAGAATTCTGATATATATATATATATATTTTTATATGAACAAGCATGTTCACAGGAGCTTCTTCTTCCAGCAAATTTTAAGGGGAGATATCTCTACAAATATAGCTGTGGAAATGAATCAAAGTTAACTCTGTATTTCTACCACCTTTTCAATGACTTTCCCACGATCCTTTGTAATGTCCCTTCCCACCCCACCATCTCTCACTTGCTGCCTTCACATATAAGTTTTGTATATTCCCTTAGTTTTTCATGACACTCTCTTCCAATGTAAGCTGATGTTTATAGAAACTAAAAACAAAATCCACTGGTAATTGACTTTTATTAGCATCACTGAAGATGGTTCATTTAAGATTTAACCCTTAGTAATTAATCAAATATTAATTTAAAATAACCAAAGTAAATATTCAAAATAAAACACTTATTTGTAACTTATATCCAATTTAAGATAAAAATATTTCATACTTAAATAAATTTCTATACAAGCATGCATATATACTATAAAAAATAAGATAATTTTATCACTACTATCATTCTACTTTTAAAAATTAAATATAACTAGTGGGCATCTTTCCATAGTTTTATGGATTAGGATACTTGCTGTTTAACAGTCTTATCGTAATCCATTTATGAATACATAATAATAACCTTAGCCAGTCCCCTGACACTTAGAATGTCTTTAGTTTTTCTGTAACAGTAATGTCATATGTTCTTACATATTCTAGCACATATGTGTGAGAATATTCATACCAACAGTTTCTAATAGTGGACCTATTAGGTTTGAGAATATCTTAATATTGATAAGTATTGACATATTAACATTCAATATTCTTTATTCAATTTAAATTATAATCCTCAGACACAAAATAAGTAATTTGCATATACACATCATATACGTTGTAATATTATCCTTCAAACTCATGTATTCATATGCTTTATTAGAGAACAGACATCATGTAAATCCAGATATAATGAAATACAAATTTGGTGTGTGTATGGGAGACATCCTTCTGATATAAACCACACGTACACACACAAACTGATATTTCTACGTGTTTATATATTTATATATGCACAGAACATCTCTGGAGATATCCAGAAGGAAACATGTTACATAAAACCTAAAAGAGGAACGGGCTGGTGGGTAGGGAGAGGCAGTGGTAGGAATAGGAGTAGAAAAGAGAAATATTTTTCATTTTACACCTTCTATTACATTTTTCACTGAGTACCTTGTGCATATAATATTCTCTCAAGAAATAAGCCCCATTTTAATAAATAAATGTGAAAACCAGAATTTCTTATAAATTAGTATAGAGCATTATTCAACTAAGTTAGTGTAAATTTATTCAACACCAGTATTACATAAATTTTAAAAAAAATTATAAAGTAGCCCCAAATTATGTGGCTGATACATTTTATTAAAGCTGGTTTTCATTAATGATCTGTTTATATTATTCTTAAATACCTTAAAATCAATTTAAGAATCATCTATTTAGTTTTTGAAACATACTTTTTTATTAAAAAAAAAAACTAATACTCAAATTCAATCTTGCTTAACCAAGCAGAAAATCTATAGTTTTTCCCTTTTTTAATGTGTAAGGTTAAACCAGGAGGAAAACTCATTGGTTCCAGATGGTTACATCAGTGACAAATGAAAGTCTTTTTTTTTTTTTTTTTTTGAAAGATTTGACATTACTACACATTTTTAATAGACTCCAATTGATAACAGACTGAATTTCCCAATACATTTTCCACAATATTAGCTTAGAATGCCACTAATGAAATAGATCCCAAGTACTGAAATTATATAGTAAATGCCTCTTATGATTTAAAATGTTCAATAAAAGAGGATCTAGTCAAAGACAAATATTTCAAACGAAATATTTGGTTTGAAAGTATAGAGTTACTCTAATTTAAAATGCAACAAAACATCCTACTGAGTATTTTCGTGAAAGAGAAAAAACATACATCTACTAGAAGTAACTATTGTTTCTGGAAACACAGAAGCTATCAAAAGCAGGTGCAATACTATCTTCTGTCTCCTAACTTCTTTATGATATCTCGCCTTTTTATGCTTTCCAAGTTGACTTATTGTTCATTGAATTAAGTACACCAAAAAGTTATGTAACACACGACAGAATATAGATAAGTGTGGCATGCAGCACACGGTTTATTTATATATTACAAAACATGGCACCAGACTGTATTTTGAAATTATTATTATGATCATTTCATGTGTACAGCATCACAATACCAGTCCCCTTTAAAAAGCCCACAAATTGTTACTCTAGTGCATTCAGAGAGACACACAATGCAGGCTCAGATCTTGGCAACCTGTGAAAGTGCCCAGTCGAAAATTACTAACAGCTGGAGATGACAGTTGTTTTAACAGCTGAGCTGACAGGATTAATTTAAATGCACTGAAATCAAAAGTAGATAACACCTGTTTAGTCTTCTAGGGCCATTCGACAAGGTAGGCCAAAGGAAAAATGCAGAGCCAGAATTGTGTCGCTTTTTCTCCTAGAAGGACAGAGGGGCTTCAGAGGAGAATGTCACCTTTTTGATGGAGGTGGGGTTAGATTTTAGCAGCAGGGGGCTGGTCAGCCTTTATCAGTTTTTAACATCTGGTTTCTATAATGTATCTCCTTCCCTTTTTTCCTTCCTTGTCCAAGGTCTTTGACCCAAGCCCAACAGTGGATAAAGATCACTACATTTCAAAGCTACAGTTTCTCACTACAGCTTCCTAGAAATTCTCTTGGGTTAATTAATATATTCTTTTTGAGCTTCACAGCCACAGAAGAGCTGCTTTTTTTTCCCCTCTCTTCTTATCTTTAGTTCCAAAATATGTCATACAAGAGTTTGCATTTCAAATGGTTGCCAAAAGACTTATTCAGAGGTGGTTTTTGTGTAAGATATTTATCAGTAGTTGATTATTTTAATCTGAGTGGGGGTGAGTAAGGTATTGTGTTTTCCTCAAAAGATGCTTGTAAAAGCCTCGATTTCTGTATTCTTATGAACACAAGTGTATAAATGAAGCAAAATCAGTCTGAAAGCAGAAGTGTTCATTTTGCTTCACTTCCAAGGATTAGGCTCTAAATTAACTTGAGGAATATAAAGATTATTCACCCCCTACACAGAGGAATATTTTGGCCTAATATTAAGAATCCTAATATTCACAGATTGAAAACCATACCATTAAAATATGTTCCCAGATTGCACTCATATTGTTTGCCAGTAACACATATTATATAAAATGAATTTTTCAGCAGACATAAAGTTTGCCCTTCAAAATTTTACCAAGTTCAATACCTGCCCTATTTAAAAGAAAATATACTTCTATCCTGTCAGGCAGGGAAAGGAAATATCTTTAGGATTAAGGCTCCTTGCTTCTTAGCCAGCTCTCAATATTGAAAAGCACAAAATTTAAGGTTTTTATGTTTATTTGATTTACAGCCAAAATAAAGAGATAAGACAATAATGCTTTCCTTTTTCCCACTTGTGAGAAAATATATGTACATAAACTATGTTGAGAGGCAAAATTGTTGAATATTAAATAAAGTTAGGGCTTTTAAAATGGTCAAAAGTGGCATATATTTAAAGAAGAGCATGATTTAAAATGTTGATGAATGGTGAGAAATACTGGATGAAGTACTTTATGGGAAAGCCAAGTTCTAGGCACACAGTACTTCCAGTTTTCCTATTTCATAAAAATAAGTTCTGAATTAGAAGTAGTTAAAAATAAGCCTAATTTGTAATAAACCAGAAAGTCTTCCTGAAACACTCACTTTTTAAAAAAGACTTATCTCTTTGTTAACTTCAGAATATATGAAAAGCTTAGTCAATAAAAACCAGCTTTTAAAGTACCTTAGTTTTGCTCATTAACTTATAGTTAGTTACTATAGTAAGTAGTCACTGTAGTATAAATAAAGGCAAAATGTTCTTATTTTTTCAAGTAATTTGCAATAATATTGGGATATTTTTAAATCTTGAAGACCTATCAAATCATTGCATTTCATGAAATGAACTGAAACAACACTCAAAAGAAAAAAGCCAATAAATTAATCACTTCTGGTAGTTTCTACAACTAAAGTCTGGCACCCAGTAAATGAAGCTGTATGATAGAAAACAGCTACTAATGGTATATATTACTGTTTTTTTAATCATCTATCAAACAAGCTGCAACAAAGAAACTCATGGTCAAATAATGACCATCATATTTTCTTGCCAACATCAAAGTTATGACTGTGTTATAGACAGTAAAAGTGTGATGACACATTTTACATACTTTGGGTCAAAATATGTCTATCAGTAATTTGTTCTTCTTGGTAATATCTTAAAGTAATTTCCAAAGAGAAAACACAGATGGGGATTTTTTTTTTTCCGGAAAGAAACATTTATACTTTAAAGGACAATCTGTTATATGGTATTAGCTATTAGATCTCTTTAGAGAAAGACACAATAAAATTTTGAGCACATAAATAATATGAGCAAGGCCAAACCAACCAGGAGAATTTTAAGAAGTACAGGTTGTTTGTTTTGTTTCTTTCTTTGATATCCAATACCTGCATCAGGGGCAGGGAGTGTCAGAGGGAATACTGACTTAACCACCATTCATACTTTAAAGCCTGAAATATCAAAATCCCACTGACTGATGAAGAGCTTTGCCTAAAAAGACGAATACTGATGTACTGTATCTCAGGAACACACTATTCTCATAAAATTTACACTAATACACTTTTATTTGAAAGTATCTATATGAAGTATGTCATATGTAAAAAAAGTAAAAAGACAAGTCCGACAGTAACATTCAAGTGGCAGTTATTGTGAGAACTAAAATTGCTAAATGATAGGAAGAAAAATTCCTCAAATTACATTTCTTTTTTCTCTCACATTCAGTGCTGTCTAAACAACAGCAAAAAATCACACATTTTCAGAAAATCTAATTGTATTTCTAAACCATTCCATTCCAGAAAAATCTTTGGCTTTTTTGCCTTATGGTTATTTTAAAGTTTTCAGTGTATCGGGCATACAACAATAATTGTCACTCTATTCTGCCTAATGATAGATTCTTCAACTTTTAAAAAATAAGGAGCAGTTTCTTTCCTGCTTTTTATTTCTTTATACAACTCAGAGACTCAAAGAAGATAATTACAAACAATGCCTGAAGAATGGTTCAGTTAATGTTAATTTATACAACAAACTAATTACTACCAAATGGTAAAAATCACATGTGGAAGTCCCTCTCTCCCACGCACATAACTAAACCAGCAGCCATCTGTCTCAGCTTGGGGAAAGCTCAGGGACACCCAGAGAAGATAAGGAAAAAGGAGGGTGCAGATGCATCGGCTCATTCACCTGCATACCAATCACAAGATCTGATGACCACATTTCTGAGCATTTAGTACTTTCGGAAAAAGCAAAAAGTAAATACACAGAAAGAAGGTATTCCACATGTGCTTTAATAAAAGTATATGTTGTTCTATAATCATTATCACAGGTAGAAACCTATCTTCAGCAAGTAAGTGCTTATTTTCTTTTAGATAAAAATGACATATTTTAAAACTGTCATTCCTCATCCGTGTACCATTTTGCTACAGAAGAAAGAGCATGCATGCTTGAATTTTATTTAGGAAGTTCATAATTTCTGAGTTCTGGGAAGTGTGTCTGTATTTTAAAACAGTTAGTAAAATAATCTCTTTAAATATTATAACTATAACTTGGGAGATACTTGCCGAATTATTCTTATTGAAATAACTTCATACATTTTTAAGAGTAAAATAATGCTATCAATATTTTGACATTTAATCAGCCTGTCATATGCGGCAAAATAAGGGCGATATTTTTTCATTAATATCACAATGTGAATCTTGACATATAAGCAATAATGAATTTTCAGACGAAAGAAAAATCTAAATGAGAATTTAAGAGTATTAAAATGCTTTTTCTTTTTATAAATTAAAAGAATATTTATTTATAGATGTATTTTGGCATTCAAAATTCCAAATAGAGATTTTAGTGCTTGGTAAGTATTTTTTCAGTAATAAAAAGAATGAGAAAACTAGAAGTAGTATCAATAATGCCAATTTCCCCTAACATATATCCCCTGTGGAATTAAAAATGTCTTCACATAACATGTGCTGATCTAATTGAAATGGATTCTCTTGCATTGCCCTTCACATACTTGCTGGTAACTAACCTGATTCAGTGATAGACGCCAAAACAAACCCTGAAGCAGTGGCCTATAGGAAACTATACTCTTGCACAATGAGATGTCCCATACTGAAGGGTTCCAGACCTTCAATATGAGAGGTTCCTGTAGAAAGCAGTGGAAAAGACTGTACAACAGAGAAGCAGGACCCCAATACTGGAAGTGAGGAAACTGAAAAGTTCCCTTGAAGATATTTCTTGAGCTTATTTCATAAAAGTTGACAGATCTTCTACAAAACAATTTTTCTGAAAATTTCCCTGGACGTACACAATTTTTCACTTCAATTAACAGATTCTGAATTACTGGAAGCATTTTTTGTTTCTGCTATTTGTCAACTTCTTTTAAGATAACAGTCCCACATTTAGAAAAACTGGGAAAGATTATTGTGTTAGCCATTTCTATTAAATGAGCAATTCACAAAGCACGTTAGAGACTGAAGCAAACACTGCAAACATTGTTTTAAATTTCCACGCTGCATTTTAATATATAGGAAAAGGTAGAAAAAATGTAACTATCCATTAAAATACTTAAAAAATTCTATTCATTTTCCTTTTTCCTTTTTTATTTTTATAAGTTTTTATGCTGATCAACTTTACTCAGGCATATTCTTGAGAAAGCAAGAATATTTTAAAAGTCTAATATTTTGAAATATCTTATTGCCTTTTAAAATAGGTTAAGAACAGCTATAAACTGCAAAAGAGTTTTCATCCAAAGACTCCTTAAATAATTATTGTGATATTTTCCTTCAAGAAATCTTTATGGAAGGGCCAAGATTACAATGGTCATTCCTGTTAGAATCAAAGAAGTCACTTTAGAGTTGTAAGGACTTTGCAAATCTCATAATCTATATAAAGCATGCAGGTCAGTTACCAGCAATTTCCTCCATCTAGCTAGGGGTGGGGGCCATATAAAGGAGGAGAAAATGATAGAA
Organism: Homo sapiens; assembly: GCF_000001405.40. NCBI lineage: Eukaryota > Metazoa > Chordata > Mammalia > Primates > Hominidae > Homo > Homo sapiens. The sequence goes on from NC_000012.12 coordinate 23,815,240, forward strand.
ATAAACACCGGATAATTCAAGATTCTAGTAAAAGCTAATATTGAAAGTGTCTGTCTTTCATTATTTGGACAAAATTATCACTGAAAGCAAGGTAGACAAATTACTATATAGACCACAAATCTTACAACACGAGATCTTCTATTCCGATGTACCAACAACAACCTTTTTTAAAATTTGGATTACCACAGAACACCTAATCAACACCAATAATAAAACTGATAACTGATAAGAGTTCATTATTCTTTTCTTCTTTAGGTCCATATGTCTTAAATGGTCCATTGACTTAATAAAAACATTGATAGCTCTAGAATTTCATGCCTGAAAAGAACTACAAAACTTTTTAAAGTAATTATTTTCAAATAAAGGGAAATGAAGTACTTGTCCAAGATACAGATAATGGCAGAGAAAATGCTACCTCCTAGGTCTTCATAATTCAGTATTTTCTCTATTAAATGTCCACTAGGATCAGAGCCAGGAGCCCTTGTGTGAATGGTTCTGGTCGGAGATAGCTTATTCAACCATTTAATTAACTTGTTCAATTAGGAGTCTCTATGCTAGGAACTCTGGATAATGGAATGACTATGACTTTATTGCTGTTCTTTAGGATAGGGGTAGGCAAATTTTATCTATAAAGGGCTAGATAGGAAATATTTTAAGCTTTGCAGGCTGTACTACTCAACCCTACCATTGTAGCGTTACATTACATTAATATGTAAATGAAAAAGCATGGCTGTGTTCCAATAAAACTTTATTTATAGGCACAAATTTGAATTTCATATAATGTTCATGTGTCATGAAACATTATTCTTGTTTTAATTTTTTTCAACAACTCATAAATGGAAGAACATTCTTAGTTCATAGAACATACAATACTACGCTGAGGTAGATTTGGCCTGTGGACCCTATTTGCGGACCACTGCTCTAGGAGGTCAAAATCTAATGGAGGAGAGACACTTGGACAAGATTTCTTTTTTTTTTTTTTTTTTGTTGGATGGAGTCTCGGTCTGTCGCCCAGGCTGGAGTGCAGTGGCACAATCTTGGCTCACCACAACCTCCACCTCCAGGGTTCAAGCGATTCTCCTGCCTCAGCCTCTCGAGTAGCTGGGACTACAGGTGCGCACCACGATGCCCGGCTAATTTTTTTGTATTTTTAGTAGAGATGGCGTTTCACTATGTTGGCCAGGTTGATCTCGAACTCCTGACCTCATGATCTGCCTGCCTCAGCTGGGATTACAGACGTGAGCCACTGCGCCTAGCCAGGACAAGATTTCTTAAGGAAGGCAGGATGGAGGTTTACATCTAGCAGAAAATTCCTGGTAGAGGGGAAACCTGAACTAAATAGTAAGGATGAATGGCCATCATTCAAATGCAGAGTGAGGTAAAGGCATTGCAACCAGATATCTTAAGCAAATAAAAGCAAGGTGACTAGGAAAAACAGCAGGCAACTGAGCATTGTTAGAGCAAATGTCATAAAAGGGTGATGCAAGGAAAAGTAGGAAATGAGAAGTGGGACTGGAGAGTTACACAGGAAGTGAGCTCACTATGGCTGCAGGTTGACTATGCCCACTTTAATACAGGTCTCTGGGAGACCCAATAAAACATATAGGATGGCACAAATACCACATCACACGCCACTGAGGCTCTTTTTCCATTCTTGAGAAGATATTAAACAGTTCTACTCTCATATCACTGAGGTTGCTCCTCCATTGTCTTTCCCCTCATGCAGAAATATTTAAAAATATAGATTACATTTTAAGAGCCAGCATGACATCTGAACATGTCACTATTAATGTATTACTATTTTGTCCCATATTTGTGTTATATATTTGTGTGTGTTAGAATTCAAGCAGTTTTGGTTAAAATTGGGGTTACAGTTACAGAGCAAATAGCATTTTAATGAATTTTGGCTAAGCATATATGTTTTTATTATGGATCAGCACATGAATCAAAAATTTACAAAGCTAAGTGTATTTTAGCCCTCCGAGTAAGATTAAGGTTAGGTACCCATTATTATTATTCTTATCATAATCTTGACTCAACTTTCCAAGCATCTTTCTGCTGGTAGTAAAACAGAGTTCAAGATAATATCCTCTACTCTTTAAAGTAAGTGATGGTTAAAGATGGATAGAGGAAAATCATACATTATATGTCTAGCCTTATTAGTTGCAGCACCCAAAGGAAAGCAATTAAAATATTTTCTTTACAGTTGTAAACTTTTCTCTGGAAGTTGTGAATAAGCAGAAATGAATAGTTTGAAAATATCCAGATAAGCTGGCATGATGAGTGAAACTACTTTAAAAGAAGTTGCGTCATAGAGAGATAGATCCAGTGAATATTGGAATTGTTTTTGCATAAGCACTTAAAGCAAATTGGCTAGACCAGTCATAATAACCATATGACCTAAAAAGTGACATACATAATAAAATGTCTATCAATATGTAAATATTAATTCATTTTAAAAGATATATAATAGAATGCACTGATTATACATTCGCTTTGGTATGAGTTCCCTCCTCTCTACTTACAGAGCCTCCTGTGCTTCCTCACTCACACTCCCATTCACCAAAAATAACATAGTTACTCTCCCAAAAGACCACGAACAACTTGAGAACAGGAACTATATCTTTGATTTGTCTTTTCATTAACCTATAAAATAACTAGAATATAGTAAGACCTCCATAAATGTTTGCTGTCAGAATGAGAGAATGACTGAATAGGTGATCACACAAAAAACAAAGGTTAAAGTTGTAAAGAAAGGAGATATTGACTCCTTCTTGGGCATTTAGAGAGATTTTATACAAGTTGTTAAAACACGAATCATAAGGTAATGAACAAAATAATAGAACATAGGACAGAAGTGGGAGTTCCCATTCTGTATTGAGATCCTGATCTGTGTACAGTCATGCATTGCTTAACGACAAGGATATCTTCTGAGAAATGTGTTAGGTGATGTTGTCATTATGTGAACATCCTAGAGGATCCTTTCACAGACCCAGCTGGTATGTAGCCTACTACACACATAGGCTATAAGGTATGGCCTCTTGTTTCTAGGGTACAAACCTGTACAGCTTGTTACTGTGCTGAATACCGTATGCAACTGTAACACGACTGTAAGTATTTGTGTATTCAAACATATCTAAATACAGAAAAGATACAGTAGAAATGAGGTATGAAAGATAAAAAGTGATACACATATATAGGGTATTTACTATGAACAGAGCTTGAAGGACTAGAAGTTGCTCTGGGTGAGTCAGTGAGTGGCAGGTGAATGTGAAGGGCTAGGACAGGACTGTACACTACAATAGACTGTAAACACTCGATTCTTAGACTAAATTAAATCTATAACAAATATTTTTCTTCAATAATGAATTAACCTTAGCTTACTACAATTATTCTACTTTATAAGCTTTTAAATTAATTTTATAATTAATTAAATTAACTTTTTGACTGCTATAATAACACAGGGTAAAACACACACATCATATAGCTATACAAAAACATATTATTTCCTTATATCCTTATTCTATGAGCTATTTTTCTATTCTTAAATTTTTAATTTTTCAAAACTTTTTATACATTTTTGTTAAACACTAAGAAACAAACACACAGGGACTACACGGGGCCAGAATCTTCAATACCACCATCTGCCACCTCAGCATCTTATCTCACTGGAAGGTCTTCAGGGGCTATGAGACCCCCCTGTGATCTCCTATGATAACAATGCCTTCTTCTGGAATACTTCTGAAAAATATGCCTGAGGTTGTTTTACAGTCACCTTGTTTTAATAAGTAGGAGTATACTCTAAAATAACTATAAAAATGATGGCATAGTAAATATATACATCAGTAACATAGCTGTTTATTATCAAGTATTATGTACTGTACATAACTGTATGTGCTATACTTCCAAATGACCAGCAGCACAGTGTTTGCTTACACCAGCATCACCACAAACTTGTGAATAACATGTTGTGTTACAACCCTACAACAGCTACTATGTCACTAGGCAAAAGGCATTTTTTAGTTCTATTACAATTTTCTGGGGCCATTGTTATACATGTGGCCTGTTGTTGAATGAAATGTCATGTGGCACTTGACTGTACTTTCTTTGTGTAAAAACTTGTTCTAGGAAAATATGTTTAGTTTAGAGATTAAGAGTGAAAAAATTGCTCTCTAAATGTAACTGCAAATTTATTTTTTTTATTCTACTGTAAGTTCTGGGATACATGTGCAGAATGTGCAGGTTTGTTCCATAGGTATACACGTGTCATGGTGGTTTGCTGCACCCATCAGCCCGTGATCTACATTAGGTATTTCTCCTAATGCTATCCCTCCCCTAGTCCCCCCACTCCCCGACAGGCCGTGGTGTGTGATGTTCCCCTCTCTGTGTCCATGTGTTCTCATTGTTCAACTCCCACTTATGAGTGAGAACATGCACTGTTTGGTTTTCTGTTCCTGTGTTAGTTTGCTGAGAATGATGGTTTCCAGTGTATCCATGTCCCTGCAAAGGACATGAACTCATTTTTCTTTTTTACGGCTGCATACCATTTCATGGTGTATATGTGCCACATTTTTTTAATCCAGTCTAACATTGATGGGCATTTGGGTTGGCTCCAAGTCTTTGCTATTGTGAATAGTGCTGCAATAAACATATGTGTGCATGTGTCTTTACAGTAGAATAATTTATAATCCTTTGGGTATATACCCAGTAACAGGATTGCTGGGTCAAATGGTAATTCTGGTTCTAGATCCTTGAGGAATCGCCACACTGTCTTCCACAATGGTTGCACTAATTTACACTCCCACCAACAGTATAAAAGCGTTCCTATTTCTCCACATCCTCTGCAGCATCTGTTGTTTCCTGACTTTTTAATGATCACCATTTAACTGGTGTGAGATGGTATCTCATTGTGGTTTTGATTTGCATTTCTCTAATGACCAGTGATGATGAGCTTTTTTTCATGTTTTTTGGCCGCATAAATGTCTTCTTTTGAGAAGTGTCTGTTCATATCCTTTGCCCACTTTTTGGTGGAGTTGTTTAATGTTGTAAATTTGTTTAAGTTCCTTGTAGATTCTGGATATTAGCCCTTTGTCAGATGGATAGATTGCAAAAATTTTCTCCCATTCTGTAGGTTGCATGTTCACTCTGATGACAGTTTCCTTTGCTGTGCAGCAGCTCTTTAGTTTAATTAGATCCCATTTGTCAATTTTGGCTTGTGTTGCAATTGCTTTTGGTGTTTCAGTCATGAAATCTTTGCCCATGCCTATGTCCTGAATTGTATTGACTAGGTTTTCTTCTAGGGCTTTAATGATTTTAGGTCTTAGGTTTAAATCTTTAATCCATCTTGAGTTAATTTTTGTATAAAGTATAGGGAAGGGGTCCAATTTCAGTTTTCTGCATATGGCTAGCCAGTTTTCCCAACACCATTTATTAAACAGGGAATCCTTTCCCATTGCTTGTTTTTGTCAGCTTTGTCAAGGATCAGGTGTTTGTAGATGCGTGGTATTATTTTTGAGGCCTCTGTTCTGTTCCATTGGTCTATATCTCTGTTTTCATACCAGTACCGTGGTGTTTTGGTTACTACAGCCTTGTAGTATAGTCTGAAGCCAGATGGTGTGATGCCTCCAGCTTTGCTCTTTTTGCCTAGGATTGTCTTGGCTATATGGGCTCTTTTTGAGTTCCATATGAAATTTGAAGTAGTTTTTTTCTAATTCTGTGAAGAAAGTCAATGGTAGCTTGATGGAAATAGTATTGAATCTATAAATTACTTTGGGCAGTATGGCCATTTTTATGATATTGATTCTTCCTATCCATGAGCATGGAATGTTTTGCCATTTGTTTGTGTCCTCTCTTATTTCCTTGAGCAGTGGTTTGTAGTTCTCCTTGAAGAGGTCCATCACATCCCTTGTAAGTTGTATTCCTAGATATTTTATTCCCTTTGTAGCAATTGTGAATGGGAGTTTGCTCATGATTTGGATCTCTTTTTGTCTATTTTTGATGTATAGGAATGCTTGTGATTTTTGTACATTAATTTTGTATCCTGAGACTTTGCTGAAGTTGCTCATCAGCTTAAGGAGTTTTGGGGCTGAGATGATGGGGTTTTCTAAATATACAATCATGCAATCTGCAAACAGAGATAATTTGACTTCCTCTCTTCCTATTTGAATACGCTTTATTTCTTTCTCTTGCCTGACTGCCCTGGCCAACACTTCCAACACTATGTTGAATAGGAGTGGAGAGAGAGGGCATCCTTGTCTTGTGACGGTTTTCAAAGGGAATGTTTCCAGCTTTTGCCCATTCAGTATATGGGCTGTGGGTTTGTCATAAATAGCTAGTTTATTGAGTGTTTTAGCATGAGAAGGCCTTTTCTGCATCTCTTGAGATAATCATATGGTTTTTGTCATTGGTTCTATTTATGTGATGGATGAAACCAGCTTGATCGTGGTAGATAAGCTTTTTAATGTGCTGCTGAATTCAGTTTGCCAGTATTTTATTGAGGATTTTCACATTGATGTTCATCAGGGATATTGGCCTGAAATTTTCTTTTTTTGCTGTATGTGTTGTTATTGGTCTATTCAGGGATTTGACTTCTTCCTGGTTTATTCTTGGGAGGGTGTATGTGCCCAGGAATTTATCCATTTCTTCTAGATTTTCTAGTTTATTTCCATAGAGGTGTTTATAGTATTCTCCGATATATATATATAGTTTGTATTTCTGTGGGATCAGTGGTGATATCCCCTTTATCATTTTTTATTGTGTCTATTTGATTCTTCTCTCTTTTCTTATTAGTCTGGCTAGCAGTCTATCTATTTTGTTAATCTTTTCAAAAAACCAGCTCCTAGATTCATTGATTTTTTGAAGGGTTTTTGTGTCTCTATCTCCTTCAGTTCTGCTCTGATCTTAGTTATTTCTTGTCTTCCGCTAGCTTTTGAATTTGTTTGTGCTTGCTTCTCTAGTTCTTTTAATTGTGATGTTAGGTTGTTGACTTTAGATCTTTCCCACTTTCTCCTGTGGGCATTTAGTGCTATAAATTTCCCTCTAAATACTTGCTTTAGCTGTGTCCCAGAGATTCTGGTACATTGTGTCTTAGTTCTCATTGGTTTCAAAGAACTTATTTATTTCTGCCTTAATTTCCTTATTTACCCAGTAGTCATTCAGGAGCAGGTTGTTCAGTTTCCATGTAGTTGTGTGGTTTTGAGTGAGTTTCTTAATCCTGAGGTCTAATTTGATTGCACTGTGGTCTAAGAGACTGTTATGATTTCCATTTTTTGCATTTGCTGAGGAGTGTTTTACTTCCAATTATGTGGTCAATTTTAGAATAACTGCTATGAAGTGCTGAGAAGAATGTATATTCTGTTGATTTGGGGTGGAGAGTTCTGTAGCTGTCTATTAGGTCTGCTTGGTCCAGAGCTAAGTTCAACTCCTGAATATACTTGTTAATTTTCTGTCTTGTTGATCTAATATTGACAGTGGGGTGCTAAAGTCTCCCACTATTATTGTACTATTATCGTGTTGGAGTCTAAGTCTCTTTGTGGGTCTCTAACTTGCTTTATGAATCTGGGTGCTCCTGTATTGGGTGCACATACATTTAGAATAGTTAACTCTTCTTGTTGCATTGATCCCTTTACCGTTAGATAATGCCTTTCTTTGCCTTTTTTGATCTTTGTTGGTTTAAAGTCTGTTTTTATCAGAGACTAGGACTGCTTTTTTTTGCTTTCCATTTGCTTTGTAAATCTTCCTCCATCCCATTATTCTGAGCCTATGTGTGTCTTTGCACATGAGGTGGGTCTCCTGAATACAGCACACTGATGTTTCTTGACTCTTTACCCAATTTGCCAGTCTGTGCCTTTTAATTGGGCCATTTAGCCCATTTACATTTAAAGTTAATATTGTTATGTGTGAATTTGATCCTGTCATTATGATGCTAGTTGGTTATTTTGCCTATTGTTTGATGCAGTTTCTTCATAGTGTTGAAGATCTTTACATTTTGGTTTGTTTTTGCAGTGGCTGGTACCCATTTTTCCTTTTCAAATTTGTGCTTCCTTCAGGAGCTCCAGTAAGGCAGGCCTGGTGGTGACAAAATTTCTCAGCATTTGCTTGTCTGTAAAGGATTTTATTTCTCCTTCACTTATAAAGCTTAGTTTGGCTGGATATGAAATTCTGGGTTGAAAATTCTTTTCTTTAAGAGTGTTGAATATTGGTCCCCACTCTCTTCTGGCTTGTAGGGTTTCTGCAGAGAGATATGCTATTAGTCTGATGGGCTTCCCTTTGTGGGTAACCCTACTTTTCTCTCTGGCTGCCCTTACCATTTTTTCCTTCATTTCAACCTTGATGAATCTGACGATTACGTGTCTTGGGGTTGCTCTTCTAGAGCAGTATCTTTGTGGTGTTTTCTGTATTTCCTGAATATGAATGTTGGTCTGCCTTGCTAGGTTGGGGAAGTTCTCCTGGATAATATCCTGAAATGTGTTTTTCAATTAGGTTCTATTCTCCCCGCCACTTTCAGGTACACCAATCAAACGTAGGTTTGGTCTTTCACATAGTCCCATATTTCTTGGAGGCTATGTTCATTCCATTTCATTCTTTTTTCTCTAATCTTGTCTTCATGCTTTATTTCATTAAGTTGATCTTCAATCTCTGATAGCCTTTCTTTCGTTTATTTGATTCAGCTGTTGATACTTGCGTATGCTTCACGAAGTTCTTGTGCTATGTTTTTCAGCTCCATCACGTCATTTATGTTCTTCTCTAAACTGGTTATTCTAGTTAGCAATTTGTCTAACCTTTTTTCAATGTTCTTAGTTTCCTTGCATTGGGTTAGAACATGCTCCTTTAGTTTGGAGGAGTTTGCTATTACTCACCTTCTGAAGCCTACTTCTGTCAATTCATCAAATTCATTCTCCATCCAGTTTTGTTCCCTTGCTGGCGAGGAGTTGTGATCCTTTGTAGGAGAAGAGCCATTCTGGTTTTTGGAATTTTCAGCCTTTTTGAGCTGTTTTTTCCTCATCTTTGTGGATTTATGTACCTGTGGTCTTTGATGTTGGTGATCTTCAGATGGAGTTTTTGCATGGTTGTCCTTTTTGTTGATGTTGATGCTATTGCTTTCTGTTTGTTAGTTTTCCTTCTAACAGTCAGACCTCTCTTCTGCAGGTCTGCTGGAATTTGCTGGGGGTCCACTCCAGACCCTGTTTGCCTGGTTATCACCAGCTGAGGCTGTAGAACAGCAAAGACTGCTGCTTACTCCTTCCTCTGAAAGCTTCGTCCCAGAGGGGCAGAGCCAGCCGGATCTCTCCTGTATGAGGTGTCTGTTGACCCCTGCTGGGACGTGTCTCCCCGTCAGGAGGCACAGGTGTCAGGGACCCACTTTAGGAGGCAGTCTGCCGGGAGATCCACTGCTCTCTTCAGAGCCTGTAGGCAGGGAACGTTTAAGTCTGCTGAAGATGCGTCCACAGCCTCCCCTTCCCCCAGGAGCTCAGTCCCAGGGAGAGAGGAGTTTTATATATAAGCCCCTCGCTGGGCCTGCTGCCTTTCTTTCAGAGACGCCCTGCTCAGAGAGGAGGAATCTAGAGAGGCAGTCTGGCTACAGTAGCTTTGCCGAGCTGTGGTGGGCTCTGCCCAGTCTGAATTTTCCGGCAGCTTTGTTTAAACTGTGAGGTGGTTTAAACCGCCTACTCAAGCCTCAGTTATAGCAGATGCCCCTCCCCTCACCCAGTTAAAGTGTCCCAGGTTGACTTCAGGCTGCTGTGCTGACAGTGAGAATTAGATGCCAGTGGATCTTGGCTTGCTGGGCTCCATGGGGGTGGGATCTGCTGGGCTGGACCACTCGGCTCCCTAGCTTCAGCCCCCTTTCCAGGGGGAGTGAACGGTTCTGTCTCTCTGGCATTCCAGGTGCCACTGGGGTATGAAAAAAAACTGCAGCTAGCTCAGTGCCTGCCCAAACGGCTGTCCAGCTTTGTGCTTGAAACCCAGGGCCCTGGTGGTATAGGCACCCAAGGGAATCTCCTGGTCTGCAGGTTGCGAAGACCATGGGAAAAGCATAGTATCTGGGCCGGATAGCACTGTCCCTCACGGCTTCCCTTGGCTAGGGGAGGGAGTTCCCTGACCCCTTGCAATTCCCGGGTGAGGCAACGCCCTACCCTGCTTCTGCTCACCCTCCGTGGGGTGCACCCACTGTCTAACCAGTCCCACTGAGATGAACCGGGTACCTCAGTTGGAAATGCAGAAATCACCCACCTTCTGCGTTGGTCTGGATGGGAGCTGCAGACGGGAGCAGTTCCTATTCGGCCATCTTGCCCGGGGGCCCCTATTATTTTTATTTTATATGTATGTGTTTGTATGCGTGTATTTATTCAGAAAAATTTCGGAGATCCGACAGAGTTGGCAAAATTTTGTCCTGTGGATAGTATCCACATAGATATAGAAACAGCTATAGGACAGAGATAGATTTAATACTACTTTAATTCTATGTTTTCAAAACAACAAATAGATAATATTTTAGAAGGTTTCATATTGTTTGCAATTTAGATAGAACATTTCAAAAGGTATAGTGTATAAATATCTATATTATATGTATACTTTAAAACTGACCAATTATTTTTTATTCAAATAGTTTTAATTTAAAAAGCAAAGAAAAAAAATCTGGCAAAAAATTAAGAACTCTAAGATTTACTATTCCTTTTTACTTAACTAATATTCTTTATTAACTCCTAATTGTAATCCGGTAAGTGAAAAGGCTGTGTCAAAGAAAATGAACAATTTCAACTTATCTTGAGTTACACTGTTTCATTTCTCTTTTTTTTTATTATACTCTAAGTTTTAGGGCACATGTGTACAATGTGCAGGTTAGTTACATATGCATACATGTGCCATGCTGGTGTGCTGCACCCAGTAACTCGTCATTTAACATTAGGTATATCTCCTAATGCTATCCCTCCCCCCTCCCCCTACCCCACAACAGGCCCCGGTGTGTGATGTTCCCCTTCCTGTGTCCATGTGTTCTCATTGTTCAGTTCCCACCTATGAGTGAGATCATGTGGTGTTTGGGTTTTTTTGTCCTTGCGGTAGTTTGCTGAGAATGAGTGTGTGAGTTACACTGTTTCATTTCTAATGATTCCCATGCCACCGAAGGAGAAAAGAATAAATAAAGCAACAACGGCTTGTCCTATTGCAGCCCAGAACAAGTATGGCTATAGTTCTCCTTCAAAACTTAAGCAATGAGAAGGTAAAACATGAGCAAACACGTCTAATTCCTATCCCATTTACTTGGATATGGATGCTTTTCTCTCCCTGAAAGCTGGAGAGCTATACTATATAAGGACTGACAACTGACCTCCCTTATTTATACTGCACTGCTCCCAATATGGCAGCCTCCCCGTTTATGTGTTCACTAAGACATGGTATCTTGACACTAATGAAAAATCCTAAAGTACTGGAGCAAGGACTGATGCAAGAAAATTAGGGCTTAAAAAAAAAAAGTAGAGAAGGAAAACAGAACTCCAAATGGGAGAGGGTGCATTTTGTTCATTTATATGGCTTTCTGCTCCCAAGTCTTCCACATGACTAATGTCACACTGTGGTATGCAAACCTCTCAGGCAAATTTTTACAGACAAAGCATAACTTATCCGAAAAGAAAGGTCTAAGCAACAGAGATTTAATTCCGTGAAACAGTGAATCAATTCTTAACTATTAACACAGTAAATACCATAATAGGAGCACTGTCCTGCTATAATAAACAGACATGCTCAATTATTGTGTGCTTCTGCAGCTACTGATCTCTTCAGTAATTATACCATGCAATGAGCTCTACGTTGATATTATGTTAATGTGTGGGGAGGAGACAACTTAAATAATAATTAAATCAAGACTCAGTATTTCAGTGGAGCTTACATAAGGCCTGAGAACAAATGGTACATTTCTTAGAAGGAGTTAAAAAAGACATCTCGTTATCTGCTTCTAATTAAAAAGTTTACATATAAAAACTATCTTGAAATTCTAGTCTCTTAACTGTCCATTTCAAACAAATTAAACTGTCTATCATGTTTCATAATCACCTGTATTTGTCATATTCATAGCAATAAAATCTTCAAAAATTATTTTACATAGAGAATTTACAATAAAAAGAGAATGGTAAATTGAAAACTTTTTCTACAGAGACAAACAAAAGGATAAAGTTCAAGAAAAGTTCCTTACCCCTTTGCAGAACTGTCAAACAACTTCTATTGACCAAGAATAGCACACAGTAAACACACCAAACAAAAGAAATGATGAAAGATGTATTTACTTGTTCAGGGCCTTTATTTTTCTTTCTATTTCATATACACCCACACTGAACAGTCTGCATTGTGTTAATAAATAACCAGCAGCAACTAAGTGAACAGAGGAGGGTTTCGATGTTGCTGTCAGGTACCAGACAGTTGCTTGGCACTGCGGATACAGTTCTCTACATATGAGCTGCATGCTCACATAAAAGACAGAGGATATAGGTTAATAGATGGATCCTTTAAAATACTAAATGTGATGGAAAGAAAGGGATAAAAAGCAGAAAAGCAATAGCTTTTTTTTGTTTTTGTTTTTTGAATTGTCTACCTCTTTCAATTTGGGAAGGAGCAAATGAATTTTAAGTACCATGTCCTGCCAGAGCAATATTTCACCAGATTACTGGCTGTGTTTATTCAGAAATTTGCTGAACTATAACCTCAAACTCTTCAACATTTGGGAATTTATTATTATTTTCAAATGGTTTCTAATGTTGGCTCTATGATTTATTCCACATATAGTTAACTCTACACATAACAACATGAATGTCAATGACAGACCACGTATACATCAGGGGTCCCATAGATTATAATACCATATTTCTACTGTACCTTTTTTATGTGTAGATACACAAATACTTACTTTTTTGTTACAATTGCCTACCATATTCAGTTCAGTAACATACTGTACAGGCTTGGAGCCTAGGGGCGATAGGCTACACCATCTAGTTATGTGTAAGTGAACTCTATTACGTTTGCACAAGGGCAAAATCACCTAAGGACACATTTCTCAGAATGTATTCACATTGTTAAGTGATGCATGACTGTGTGTGTATGTGTGTGCACACACACACATGTATGTGTATAAAATTCAGATCTAATTATAAAATTCTAAATATATCTTTCTATATCATTTTTTAAAATACAAGAAGAGTGTGAATAACACACATGAATTGGGAATAAACTGCACAAACTCAGAGGTCAGTGTTTTAGAATTTACCTTATTTATGACATTTAATACACAAATAAGAAAAATATTGTGTTGTGTCAGTCTGTGCCATTTTCAGTATTCTGAGCTTATACTTCATAAAAGTTTGTGTTCAAATGTCCTGTGACAGCCCAGAAACAATCACAGTAGAAGTGAACTCATATATATGCAGTTATTATATCATACATGACTTCTATATAATATGTAAATAACCTTGGAAGCAATTAATATAAAAGATAGATGAATAGAAGTTGCTTTTCAAATTCAGGACATCAAAAAAAAAAAAAAGCACTTATTCTTAATTTCAAACAAGTTCTTCTCCTAAGCCTCCAAAGTTGGTCATCCAAAAAATGAGAGCAAGGAGCACAATCTGGCATTCAAAGATTATCAACATGTAAGATGGGCTATCTTAATCATCCAAAATGCCCAGGTCATATGCTCATCCTGTTCTGCCCTAGCCTCACTGCTCCTTCACGATGCTGGCCATATTTGTCCTCAACATCAAGAGTAGTTCAGATGGGTACACTGGGAGTCCTTGAGGTGTCAGAACTCTGGGAGCAGGTGGCAAAGGAAATTCTGAGTGAGCTCTCCACTGACTCTAGTGCTGTCCATGCCTTTCCCATAAACAACTCCTATTTAAAAAAAAAAGACCAAGCATCCACTAGAACCAACCCAAACAGGCCTATTTAATTAGGGCAAATGCTTGATATCCACTTCTTCATGTTAAACACACAGCCACACAGGCCTAGGAGGTCTGATTAATTTTAATATGCACGGTCCTGACAAGTGCCTCAAGGGTAACTGAGTGAAAAACACACATGCACGCACAGACACACAAAATCCTCCAGCTAGTCTTGACAAATCTGTTTCAGAAAAATGCTATGTATGCTGCCCAGATTAGAGTGTTACTATTCAGCAAGGGCCTGGACCTTTAATGTGAGGGAAAAGAGGCCTCAGAAACAGGTGGCTGGCTCTTCACTCTTGAATAAGTGATATCCCCAAAAGCTGTGGCACATAAGCAACAAGAGGGACTGGCACATTCTCCTCATGTTTATTTGCAAATGTAGAGTCTGGGTCAATGGGCCTTCTTTAAGTGATCTATGAATTGAAACTGAAAGTCTGGATATGCTAGTTTCAGTGAAGGACAAGAAAACAGGTACACCATTTATCTGAGGGACTTAAGAAGTACCAGAAATGCTTGGGTAAAGAGAGGTTTGGAATGACTTACATAGACCTGATAGTAGACAAACTAATGTATCAGCAGGAATCAAATAGATTCTTTTTTTATTGAGTCAAATAGCCAAATAAGAAAAGAATGATGGCTTGATTATTAAGAGAAGATGAAGAAAATGAAGGCTATAATCTTAAATATCATTACATTTTGTTAGCAAAAGTACAAGCTCTAGTTAAAAAGAAAAATAGAAGCTTTCTGGGACAAATGATTTTCTTATAAAGACAACACTGGTACTCAGCTCCAGGACCTGCTATATAAAAAGATTACCAAGCAGAATTTCTGAGCCTTTACAATCCAAGCCAGAGGTATTTCAGGAAAATATAATTTCCTATAACACTAATGAAATAAACAATATCAGCATAAACTGCTATGATGGATACCACTTGAAAAGGAGATGACAGTGAACAAGTTTCGCTTCAGTGTTGAAAAATTATGAGGCTTCAAACTCAGCTAACTCAGTGCTAAAGTTAAAACACTTATTCCTGAAGAAATAGGCTCTACAGCATTTGAGGGTGTCTTCTTGTCCTGACCTTTAAAAAATAAACTCTTTTCTTTATCATCATTTTATGAGTGTCGATTTCCATACAGTGGTGCTTTTGAAAAGGGTGCCTGGAGGTTAGACTCTAGCTTGCTCAACAAGAAGAGAGACATTTTTCAGTGACAGACTGCATAGATGAACACATAGCCACAATGCATTAGGAGTAGCCTCCAACAGCAGCGGGAGTGTGAGGAACAAAACTTAAAAGGGCTCAATTGAAAAGTACCCTTGTTTGTCCTTCAGTGGAACAGCACTTACAAAGCCTCTTCAACATGTACTTTGTCAAAAGGACAGTGAGTAACTAAACAAAAGCAACTCAAACCTCTGCCAATTAAAGTATCTTTAGGCTTTTCCCCTGATCCGTTCACTTTTTATTTTTCCCACCCCATCAAATGCGATTTTAAAACAAGAGTGAATTTCGAAGTGCCCCCTTTGCCCAATTAATGGATGCTTTGGGATTTTGAACTTAGGAAAGCCGATCTCCATAATTTCCCCATAAAAATAGTAATTAAAAAGTTGGTAAGATTAAGGGGTAAATCTGAAGCTCTAGTTTAACTTGCCTGTTGATGTAATATGGTTCAGTTTAATTTCTAAAGGGCTGCTCAACAACAGACATTTAAATTATAAGAACAAGCATTGTGATTTATAATGTAAACTCAAACATCAAACATGCAATGCCTGTAGGGATGTTCACAAGGCCAAATATCATGCACCAGGGGCCTGTCTTTGCTACAGAATAATTACATGTAATTCTGTAGCACAGCACAGATGAAAATATACTGCTAATAATACCTTCTTTAGCACCCATAAAATAAGTCTTAAAACAGGGAAATAAATTTTATATCTATTTAGAGGATCTAATGGTCTTATAGGTCAAAACATTTGTAAGAAAAATTAAAAAGACATTAACATAATTTCTGTAAAAAATACAAGTATCATAGAAGGTGCAATCAATTAAAGTGAATTATTTTTGTGACAGATGCAAATATCAAAACGATAAATGAAACAATAATGTTGATTTTTTTCAAGTTTTAAAAGGATAAATAATGAACAATGGATATGTTACTGTTTTGTTCATAAACATCCAGGAATAAACATAAAACTGTCCAATCCAGTCCCACAAATGGTACAGGTGGGATTAAGTGGGTGTTTTAGGATATTTGACTCCAAGAATTTGTATTGCATTGCACAGTAGGACAGAGAGGGACGGATGGGGGAATGTGAATGAAAATCCTGGTATTTCCTTTACCCAACAACGGTCTATAGTCTATAGATGATCCTGAGGGTGAAGGCTTGAGGTCTGCCACCATACATACCTTTTGAAACTCATTGCATTATTTGCATTAGTTCTCAGAAGAGAACTCTTTTTTTAAAGTCCATACTAAAGGCAATGAACTGCTTCATGTAAAGTAACACTAGGTAAGTTTGGTAATAAGTTGTGCCTTTAGGGTCTTGAAATATAAAATTGTGAGCAAAGATTATCTGAAGAAGTTCAGGGAAAAAGTTCTAGTTGTTTAAATAATGATAAAGTCTAGTTCTAGTAGAAACAAAAATTTCACAAATAAATGCAGTTTCTCACACACAAGGAGCACACTCATCATGGCAAAACAATTTTGGAGGTGTAGGCGTCCTGCTCAGAAGGAAGAACACTGACAGATACAGATGCTAAATAAAACCAAGCATATGTAGGATCTGAAAGGGGAACTACACACACACACACACACACACACACAGAGGCACATGCGCACACTCAGGCACACAAAAGGAAGGAAAAGAAAAAAAGTAAAGTGATGGGGCAGGGGGAATAAACCACGTAAAGGAAAGCTAAAATCTTAGAAAGTATGAAAATGTGGGCTTCAATTATATTTGTCTTCAGCTCATATTCACATTTACTGTGGAAACAGAAATATCACAAATCCAATGTTAAAACTGCCCCTCCTGGTTTCACACTGGTCACAAGTTTCAATTTAATCCCCATTAATTAAAAAAAAAATTTTGGAAAGTTGTTGTTCATTTAGGCAACTGCCCAACTACATATTTATTTGGGGAAATGTATATAAATAAACTTCAAAGTAACTACCTGTCCTAGGATTTTTATGACTGTTGAGTTCATTATTGTTCTTGTTCTTGACTACCTATCCTAAATTTCCAGATATTTGCAGCTCTGAATCCGGTGTTTCGGTATATAAAAGTATTCTGGGAAAGGAGCAGATTTTAACTACATAATATTAAAAATGTATAAAGGAGAATTATATTGAAATACATAATGTTTCTGGTATATCTAAAGTAACAATGTTTCAAGGTAGCCAGGGTGAAATAATGACAATAACTGGTACAATTCCAAGTTGTTTATAATTTACAAAGTACTTTGATATACATCACTTCATTTGTCTCCTTCAACAATCCCCTGATGAAAGTAGGGCAGTTAGCATTGCCAACTGAGGGCAGATATTTATTATATTAATACAATTATTATAGCAAATTAAAGGCAAGTAAATATATTTTTTTACAACGTAAATTACAAGGTAGATGCTCACTTTTAGGCAAAAAAAAAAACCCTTACTTTAAATTAAAATTTGCATTTCCTGCAAATGATGCAAAATTCAAGAACCAAAATAGATAAAATTATACCCCAAATATTGCTAAATATCTGTAAATTATCCCTTCAAAATTGATCAGAGACTAAACTACATAGATGTTAAACTATAATCACTTAGTAATCAGTGACAGACTCAGGACTGAAACTCAAACACTGAATACTAACAGTCTAATTACTCTTTTTACATTGTGGATTCATTTGAAAGCCAAAGTTGTGGATTATCTCCCCAAAAATGTACAAATACATATATTTTCATCATTTTGCAAACAATTTCCAGGATCTATAAAGCCTCTGAAGAAACTCATGAATCCTGAGTCTGGAAACTCTGCTACCTCTGAGGGAAGCTTGGAAGACTAGAAGGAACAGGAAAGGTCTTAACAGGAACGTTACATTTCTCTCACCGTATCCCCTAAGAAGAACTAGGAAAGGAGAGGTTGTGGAGGGAAAGATCCAATAATAAAATTGCCCCAATCTGGAGCCCATCATAAGAAATACAAACTGTCTCCCATACCAGCTCTATTTACCTAGAAAAGGGTGCTTGTCTCCATTATGTTGAAACACTATTAAAGAACAAGTTACAGCTTTAAATTCTAGAACATTTTTCAAAAATCAAGCCAATTCACTTCTCACTTTACCTATAGCAATTGAAGAGAATTATTATCTATGGCCACTAATCCATAGGTAACGTTACCATATCTTCTTAGAGAAGTATGCAGTATTAAAGTCATTTAAAAGATTAATGTAAATATAAAGTTTTCACTTGTATAAAAATCACTTCATGTGTGTATTTCAATTTTATATCTTGGGTATTAAAATATCTTGCTTTATGACCTAGGAGAATATTTTAACCTCTAAGTCACAGAAAAAAATGAAAAGAAATGATCTTACAATTCAATAAGGATAGGGGTATACATGTCAGAAGATTGGAGAAGATGGAATAAATGAGTCAAATAGGGAAGGAGGTAAAAGAAGAGTGTGAGGATATATTTAAAAAGAGAAAGGCAGAAATTGTTTAAAAAGACAAATTACACCTAGTCAGTTTGTAGGGGAGAGTTAGCAAGGCTACAAAATGTCAATTAGTAGGTTGACTGTCATCCACAGTTAAGAGAAACAAGCACCTCCAAAGTCCCCAAGTCAAGAACACTTTATTTAGACAATCACATGCTACTGTAGAAGACAGAATGTAAATAAACAATAATAATGTGGTAAGAACTATAGAGATGAGTTAGCATTAGCAGTGTAGACTGACTCGAATTCTGACAAAGTTGTTTGAGGATCATTGAGTCTTAAGAAGTGAATAAAAATTCATCAGGTAGGTAAGACGGGAAACGACATTTAAGGCAGTGGAACGGCATATAAAACAGCACAGTAATATTAAAAACAAAGAGTGTTGAGAGAACTGCACGTGATTTCACAAGATTGCATGACAACATGTACTTTGAAGAGTGGTGGAAAATAAAGTTAAGGGAGAACAATAGGGTAGAGTCAGATTACATATGATTTTTT
Organism: Homo sapiens; assembly: GCF_000001405.40. NCBI lineage: Eukaryota > Metazoa > Chordata > Mammalia > Primates > Hominidae > Homo > Homo sapiens. The sequence goes on from NC_000012.12 coordinate 23,834,357, forward strand.
AGTCAATGCTAAGGAATTTTTAGCTGATAGTACTTTTGTTCTAATTCAAGTTCCTCCATATAATAACACGAGCAAATCAGTAAGCCTCGTTTACTCATTTTTAAGATAAGAACTTATACTAATTTAAGTGTTTTTGAAGATTACATGAAACAGCCCACATTAACACCTGGCAGGAGAGTTGGACATTTGTTAAGGTCTCTCCTTTCCTTTACCCAAGGCAGCAAGAGGGCAACACTGAAGCAGTAGAAACATTCTTTTCACAAATATTTCACTTCCCTCAAAAGTAAGGAGTTTAACACTGCAGAAGACACTGACAAATAAATGGACAGTTTTATCTGAGTAAGGATAACAATGGAGGCAAATAACAGTTCTTAAAGAGGTAAGAAGGTGAAAATAGCTTGGAGGCAAGAAGAATAGACTTGTAGATAGAAGGGATGGAAATCAATGAAAAGTGAGTTGTGTCTGTTGTGGTTCTAGGAGGAAGAAACTTAACTGTGTGAATAAGCTGAAATGGCCATTTCAAAGAGATGCTGAAGGTGACAAAGACATGAATATAGAAAGATTAAAATAAGCCAGTTAAAATATTGTATCTGTAAGGATTTTATTTTAATTGAGATTTCTAACGTTCTTGACATGGTAAAAATTATTTTCACCTAAACTGTAATTAGCCTAAAGTTTGAATGAAAATCAAGTTTAAATCAGACTCCTCAATTTAACTGCTGATCCACATTTATGACCACTGCTGGACACCCGGAAGTAGAGAACACAAGACACTGAGGGATAGTCATCTACCTTTACTTATTGGCAAAATTAAGATAGTCGGTTGCCTTCGATTTGTTTAAATTTAATGAAATGGTCTTTAAAACTAAGATGGTAACACTATTTCTAAAATATAAAAAACAAAAGCGAGAAAAGAATATCTGAATGTATGATGTAACTGAAAGGGAAAAAAGGAACCTGGACCCATAAATCATGAAATGGATTCTTGCTTTAGATTTAACATCAACTGCTGTGTGATCTCAGGCATATATATCTCTGTCTTGGTCTCTCTCTTTCTACAGTGAGAATGGAGTCCTAAAATGTATCTATGTTTCACCCAAATATTTAATTCCTATTATTCCACAATTATTTCGCCCTCAGACATTTTTCTAAAATGAGTTTTTTCTTAAGGTACCCTCCAAGGCATTATTTTTGAGCAGTAAAAACTGAGTTAATCTCCCATTAAAAGTTTTCTGGAAAATTGATCTCTATTGAGGCATAAGAAATTTACTTTAGTAGAAAACTACTGATCACTACTATTATTCAATACTATTAAATATTTCAGATAATATATTATTCAATATTTAAAGTTTAGATACACATGTGTGAAATGATAATAGTAAATGATTATTTGGCAAAATCTCTCATTGGAAGGAATAGCAATAAGTATTGGTTAAGGGCATAGATTCTAGTCTAAGGTTGACTTTAGGCTGAAAAGTGACCCTGACTTGGTCACTTTAAAACATATTTAATTATCAGTTGCCTCATCTGGAAATGGAGATAATAGGAATGAGGATATTGAGATCATGTGAATGGTATTCCCTGAAACTGGAATGGCTATACACAGGAGCCCTGGTTATAAGGTTTTCATCGAGATTGAAAGAAGCATTTTATATAAATTATTTAATATTGCAGTTAATGCATAATATACACTTAATACATGGTAACAATTTATATATAGTAATTTATATATTTTAATGCATTTCCCTTCAATACATAATTATATATTCAATGTCTTGATAGAGGAATTATAGAAATTATGTGTCACATAACGTCATATTAAATTTCATTGTCACTCTTAACTGTTAGGTTTAATTGCTGAAGACCAACCGATAGACCATAATTATCACAAAATATAATGTAACTATGTTACATAGGCCAGATATTTAAAACCATGAATAGACCATGCACTTTAGCATCCCATTCAGTTAGAGTGACACTGGATAAATAAGAACAAATAAGAATCAGAGCTTTTTGTGTAATGACAGGGAAAACTTCTGATAGAAAAAAAGATGCAAGCCAAATATATCAATATATTATTCTCCTATTTATAAGTTGCAAAATATTTTAATTAATCACTTGAAAAATAGGCTGGCTAAAATGAAAGAGAGCTGTCTCTTCTTCAACCCATATGCAAATCTAATTTTCTTTGTAACCATTTCACCTCAGTGGCCTCCTTTTGTATGGTGCACTATTCTTTTCTAACTTCTGAATTTGTGTTAGTTTGCTGTTGGCAGGGGTAAGGTCGGAAATAATATGGACTTTCTATTGAAATCTGTGTTCCCCACCTCCATGAAAGGAAGCAAAGACATGAATATGGCACCCTCATAATGATTTAGCTGGGGCTTAATGAAATTTTCATCACAACCTGCTGTTCATTTTAATGGCCTTTGAAAAACAATGGCAAAAATAGCTTGAGGGAAGAAAAGATTTTTCTGTGGCATATATTTGTGAGCTTAACATTTAGTTACATTCACTCTATCTTTGCTTCCCTCATAGTCATGATGTTGTTCCCATTACAGAGCTATGAAAATATTTTGTAGTTTTTAGAGTATAAGTTTTTTAGTTATTTTGTCAGATTTACTCCTAAGTATTTTATTCTTTCTGATACTATGTTGCATCACAGAGCTTTGGAACATTTGTGCTGTACATAGTGTCACTGTCCTGATGCTTAGATGATGTAAGGTTTTGGTGACTATTCTCAGGTCAAATCATACCCTTTGATTAATGAAGTCATTGAAGCCAATGTAGCTTACCAGTTGTTGGAAGAGTCGTATACATCTCCATATATACATGTGTATATATAATATATTTATATTTATATGATATATAATATATATTTATATAATATATATTTATATTTATATAATATATAATATGTATTTATATTTATATTTATATAATATATAAGATATATTTATATTTATATAATATATAAGATATATTTATATTTATATAATATATAAGATATATTTATATTTATATAATATATAAGATATATTTATATTTATATAATATATAAGATATATTTATATTTATATAATATATAAGATATATTTATATTTATATAATATATAAGATATATTTATATTTATATAATATATAAGATATATTTATATTTATATAATATATAAGATATATTTATATTTATATAATATATAAGATATATTTATATTTATATAATATATAAGATATATTTATATTTATATAATATATAAGATATATTTATATTTATATAATATATAAGATATATTTATATTTATATAATATATAAGATATATTTATATTTATATAATATATAAGCTATATTTATATTTATATAATATATAAGCTATATTTATATTTATATAATATATAAGCTATATTTATATTTATATAATATATAAGCTATATTTATATTTATATAATATATAAGCTATATTTATATTTATATAATATATAAGATATATTTATATTTATATAATATATAAGATATATTTATATTTATATAATATATAAGATATATTTATATTTATATACTATGTTTATATTTATATAATATATATTTATATTTATATAGTATATGTTTATATTTATATAATATATATTTATATTTATATAATGTACATTTATATTTATATAATATATATACATTTATATATTTTTATATAATATATATTTATACTTATATATATTATATTTATATTTATATATATTTATACTTATATACTATATATTTATATTTATACAACATATATTTATATTACATATATTTATATTTATATAATATATATTTATATTACATATATTTATATTTATATTATATATACCCATTTTTCTTTCTTTGTAATTTAGAAAAACAAAGTTCTGTCAACATTCTACTATTCTTTTTTATGATACAATTTTTGCTTTGTTACTGTTTTTTTTGGTGATTAAGATCATTGCCTTACTCAAATACATAAATTACTCCTTGATGCATCTCTCCCATCATTGCAGTTATTAAATAAACGTTCTTGTCATAGCAAATTCTCAATAAAAGTGAGTCTATTTATAGTTTTGTATATTCAAAGTACATGTCAAAGAATCTTGTGTATGTAAACATCAATGCATCTTAGTGGTTCTATGTTTATGCTAAAATTACCTTTCTGAAACTAACACTTTTAGATGCTTGCTTTGTGCAATTTATATTCCAATCTTTCATAAATACTACCTCTGTATTTTCTCTTTGTCTTTATTTACCAAGTCACTCCTCAGCTCAGCTTTTAATATATTTGTAGAGAAGAAAGTACAAAAGGTACATTGTCGTAGGAAATAAAATAAAAACATTCTCATGTTCAGGTACAATAGTGACGTTTCTTTGTGTCTACATTTCCTGCTATGGACGCGCTATTGCTCTATTTCTTCTTTTATACCCAAGTTGTTCTTACTAGATATTACCCTTTTCTAATTCCCAGTAGTTCTTTTTTTTTGGGGGGGGGGGGCGGGGATGGAGTCTCGCTTTGTCACCCAGGCTGGAGTGCAGTGGCACCATCTTGGCTCACTGCAACCTCCACCTCCGGGGTTCAAGCGATTCTCCTACCTCAGCCTCCCAAGCAGCTGGGATTACAGGTGCCCACCACCACACCCAGCTATTTTTTTTTTTTTTTGTATTTTTAGTAGAGACAGGGTTTTACCATGTTGGCCAGGCTGGTCTCAAACTCCTGACCTCAGGTGATCTGCCCGCCTTGGCCTCTCAGAGTGCTGGGATTACAGGTGTGAGCCACTGTGCCTGGCCCCCAGTATTTCTTAATGTCTCCTGCTAAGAAAATTAGGTGGGGGAGGTATCTATCTCCTGTGCTCTTTCCTGTTGGGACTTACTCATGGGGATTGGCATGTCATACACTTCCAAATTAAGAGTCTATGTATCCACTTAGAAATCAATATGATACATTGGGGAATACCAAGGCCATATACCATATTTCCATGGAGAACATCATCTAAAGCTGAGCCCCCAAAAGCTACTTTTAAAATACAACACATACTCTCACAAAGCTGGTTCTTGGTAGACCTTAGCCCTGAACTCTAAAGGCATCTCAAATGAAAATCAAAAATTAACATGAGAGGGAAACACTTCCTAACTCATTCTATGAAGCTGGCAGTAGCAACAAAAACAGATAAAGACATTACATAAAATGTAATGGTATATCTCATAAACATAGATGTAAAAATCCTCAATAAAATATTAACTGATCAAATCCAACAATCTATCAAAATAACTATAAATCATAACCTGGTAGGATTTATTCCAAGTTTGCAAAGCCTGGTTTGGCATTTTAAAACCATATCAACGGTCTAATGAAAAATAAGCATATATCATATCAATAGATGCAGAAAAATATTTGACAAATTCTAACAATTACTCATAATAAAAACTCTCAGCAAACTAGGAATAGAGTGAGGCCTTCTCAACTTGGTAAAAAAAAAAAAAAATTACAAAAATCCCGCAGCTAACATCATACTTAATGGTGAGAATTAGATGCTTTCCCCTTTATAATCAAGAACAAGGCAAGGATGTCTCCTCTTACTACTCTTACTTACTCAGCATTGTACTGAAACTCCTAGCTAACTCAAGAAGACAAAAAAAAAAAAAAAAAAGAAAGTGCACATCTTTAAAAGGAATAAGTACAACTGTCTTTGTTTGCAGATGACATGATTGTCTACGTAGAAAATTTCAAGGAATCAGTAAAAACTACTAGAGCTAATAGTGAGTCCTGAAAGGCCAAAGGATGCAAGGGGAATATACTACAGTCAATTTCCCATATTTCAGCAACAAACAATTGAAATATAAAATTAAAAAGACAATATAATTTATATTTACATTTAAATTTTTACATCAAAAAAGAAATAGTAGGTATAAATGTAACAAAGTATGTTTAAGATCTATATGTGGAAAACTACAAAACTCACCAGGAATCATTAAAGATACTCATAAATAGGGAGACATTTTATGTTCATGAATATGATAACTTGGTATTTTTAAGGTGTCAATTCTTCCCAACATGATCTAGAGGTATAACACAATCCCAATACAATCCAAGTAAGTTATTTTGTGGATATCAACAAATTGATTCTAAAGTCTACAAGAAAAGGTAACAGACCCAGGACACCAACACAATGTTGAAGAAAAAGTAGAAAGTTGGAGGGCTGACACTACCCAACTTCAAGACTTATTATCAAGCTACGGTAATCAAGACAGGATGATACTGGCAAGACGATAGACCAACTGATCAATGGAACAAAATACAGAGGGCAGAAACAGATCCACACAAATACGTTCAATTGATCTTTAGCAAGGAAAAAGGCAAGTCAACGAAGAAATAATGGTCTTTTGAACAAATGGTCTTGGAATAATTGGACTTCTATATGCAAAACAAAAACAAATTGAATGAATGCAGACACAGAACTACTTTTTACAAAATTTAACTCAAAAGGGATCACAGACCTAAATTGCAAAATGAAAAACTACACTAACTTCAAGAAGACAAGATAGGAGAAAATCTAAGCGACCCTGGATTATGTGATGATTGCTTACAGACATCAAAAGCATAATCCATGCAAAACAATTAATAATTAGATTTTATTAAAATTAAAATGTTTATTCCTCAAAAGACAATGTTAAGACAATGCAAACACAAGCTGCAGACTGGTAGAAATATTTGTAAAACACATTCCTGACAAAGAAGTTGTATACAAAATATACTAAGAACTCTAAAAACTCATTCACAAGAAAATGATTCAGTTAAATCAAAAAAAGATCTAACCAGGCACTTCATTAAAGGCATATAAGCACACAAAAGATGCTGAACATTTCTTAAAATTAGAGGACTACAAATTAAAACAAGGAGATACTACTACACACCTATTTGAATGAATAAAATAAACTGACAATATCAAATTCTGATGAGAATGTGGAACAATAGAAACTTACATTCATTCCTGGTGGGAATGCAAAATCTGATAGCCACTTTGGAAGATAGTCTGGCAGTTTCTCCCAAGGCTAAAATATAATCTTCTCATAAATTCCAGCATTCACATTCCCCAATTGGGTTGAAATCTTATGTCCACATAAAAAGCTGCACATGAGTATTAATAGAAGCTTTATTCATAATAACCAAAAGCTGGAAGCAACCAATATGTGCTTTGATAGGCAAAAAGAATTGATAAAATAGTGGTATATTCATACAATGGAATATTATTTACTGATACAAAGAAATGAGCTATCAAGCTATAAACAGCCATGGAAGAACCTTAAATTACTAAGTGACAGAGCCAGTCTGAAAAAGCCCCATGCTGTATTATTCTGATTATATGGTTTTCTAGGAAAGGGAAAACTATACATGGTAATAAGATCAGTGATTACTTGGGATTCTAGGGAAAAAAGCGGGATGAATAGGTGAAACAGGATAGTTTGGAGTGGTGAAGGCTATTCTACATGATACTGTCAGTGGTAAATGACAATATGCATTTGTCAATGCATACTGCATTATACATTGTACATTTCTATGCATTTGCACATATAAATGTATAATACAACATAATAAGTGAGCCTTAACATAAGCAAAATTTTAAAAAATCATAGAGGAGTGTGAGGGACACCAGTAAAGAATACAGAACTAGTTTAACTGTGTTAAAAATACATGAAACAATTTCACTGAATGGGGTAGGGGAAAAGTAAGTTAGTAAGTTACCTTAGTAACTTTGGAAATGAATGGAATCTGTAAGACTAAAAGCAAAAGGACACATACACTGTTCTCTAGTTGAGAAAGATATTTCCTATGGTAGTAGCAGTTAATTATTCTGATACTCTTCTACATGTATACTAGAACTGAACAATTATATAAATTAATGGTGGTTAGTAGGAGCCATATTTCTCACTGTTGGGGTGGAAATGTACAGATCAGTAAGAAATGAAGCTGCAATAATCCATGCAAAAAAGGATTCCAGTTAGAGACATTAGTAAGAACTCATGTTCAGCTTAATATAGACAAATATAGAAATATTTATAGATATATACATATATAGGTTAGTACACACACATGTATTTTCATTGCTCTGTCTGCTCAGAGGCCCTCAAAGGAACGATACGTCAGAAGCAAGGGATATACTCTGCATTCAGATCTTGCATTCTAATATTCTCCAATAAAAGGAACCAGAGATTCTTGGAGATATGGATGATTCTAGCACTGGAGCAAGAAATATACAAAATGAATCCCCAATATCTTACAGAGTCAGAAAGAAAAGAAGTGCTAAACTAATAATAACAATCATTACCACAAGCACAATAGTGGTATTAAATGACACCCAAAATATAAAATAAATATTCGTGAATTCATACTGATGTAAAAAATGATTGAATGAAACAATAAATGGTAGAGAAGAGATAAATCTCCCATGTAGAAAAATGCAAATATTATGTAGACAATCCAGCTCTAGTAACATAACTCCCTATTCCGTAAGTGTGGCTTGTACAGAGCTCCTCCGCTTCAAACAGTATGGTGTAGAAAGGGGACAGAGAGCAAGTTTATCGTGGAGAAACTTGCAAAACACTACTTGAGCCAATGATCAAGGCCAACACCAACATTCTTAATTACATAGAAAGTATGTAACTGACATGAGGTGAGAAAGATGGTATTTTACTTCTGTGGTCTTCCTCCCAAATCTCCAAATCTCATCTGATTGAGACAAACATTAGACAAATTCCAATAGAGAGATATCCTGCAATATATCTGAACAGCACTCCTCAAAACTCTGAAGGTCATGAAAAACAAGGACATTCTGAGAAGCTGTCACAGCCAAAAAAAGCCTAAGAAGACATGACAACTAAATATAATGTGTTACCCTTGATGGTATCTTAAAACAGAAAAAGCACACTTGGTGAAAACTAAAGAAGTTTAAATCAACTCTGGACTTTAGTTAATAATAATGTATCAATGTTGGTTCATTATTTTAACAAATATACCATACTAATGTAAGATGTTAATAAGAGAGGAGACTGTATACGGATGGAATACATGGGAACTCTGTACTATCTGCTTAATTTTTCCGTAAATCTAAAACTGTTTTTAAAAAAAATAAAGTGAATGTATAAATTACAATAGCAAATCATGGCCATACTTCAGAATATTTGACAGTCATTTCTCCTTTTTTTTTTTTTTTTTTTTTTTTTTTGAGACAGAGTCTCGCTCTGTTGCCCAGGCTGGTGTGCAGTGGCCCAATCTTGGCTCACTGCAACCTCCCCCTCCCAGATTCAAGCTATTGTCCTGCCTCGGCTGCTCAAGTAGCTGGGACTACAGGCACACACCACCATGCCTGCCTAATTTTTGTATTTTTAGTAGAGACGGGGTTTCACCATGTTGGCCAAGCTGGTCTCAAACTCCTGAACTCAGGTGATCCACCTGCCACGGCCTCCCAAAGTGCTGGGATTATAGGCATGAGCCACCGTGCCCAGCCTTGGCAGTTATTTCTTTTCAAAGTATATTACTTGGCAGAAGACACACTCATACTATAATTCTAAATGAAATAGGAAGCACAATATTTTAAAAGTACAGATGCTCCTAGACTTATGATAGGGTTATGTCCTTAAGCCCTTTGCAACTTGAAAATATCATTAAGTAAAAAATGCACTTAATTCAGCTAACCTACTGAACATCATAACTTAGGCTTGCCTACCTTAAACTTGCTCAGAACACTTATGTTGTTAGTCCACCACAGGGCAAAATCATCTGGCAACACAACGTACTGTGGAGTATCATTGTTTACCCTCTTGATTGCGTGGCTGACTGGGAGCTATGGCTCCCTGCCGCTGCCCAGCAATGAGAGAGAGTATCCTACTGCATACAGGAAAATATCAAAATTCAAAATCCGAAGTATGGTTTTACTGAATGTGTATTGCTTTTGTACCATCTTAAAGTTGATAAATCTTAAGTGGATCCATTGTAAGTTGGGGACCATCTGCATAAAGCTAATCATAAAAAATTAGCAGAATATATGAAAATAAACACTAAAAAACACATCCTAAGGTTAAGAATCCTATTAACCTCATATTAACATTATAAGAAAATAAAAATCACCTGCAGCCATGACTTCATGCAAAAAATTACAATGCAATCAAGTCTATTAAAATATCAAAAATATCAAAAAAATTCAGATAAGATATCCCACTTTGTATGTCTGTAACTTCCTACACCTTTCAAAGAGGAAGAAAAAAGTTTTTTAAGTTTAGCATATTTCACAAGTATTCTAAACTCAGTTACTGAAGCAGTATAAAAATAATTAAACATTATTGCTGTTTCACACAGGAATAGCTATGACTTCAGGTGATTTTTATTTTCTTCCTTATAATGTTTTATGTTTTTAAAATAATTATTATAAAACTGTCTTATTTTTAATATTAGGAAACAATCCACCATTTTAAACACATAAGGTTGTCTGGATCCCCCTCAACACTGCATTTTTATCTCCATGAGAATAGGAGGACATGTAACAAAATATCCAAAATCTTTGGCTGACAAGAATATCTCTAAAATTCTTTCCAATTCTCAGATCATGAGAACTGCATAAATTTTAACCAAAATCCAGGTCCCAGTTATGCACTTGGTAGGGAACCAGAAATATTTAATTGTCACATGGCTGTCACATATACAGGATAACAGAATTTTGTGTCAGATATCCTGATAATTTACCAGTGTCCTAACAGACTAGAAATGAGCCCAACTTATTGTTACACGGTATACACGCAGTGTATTTTTGTTATAAAGTATGTCTGCACATCATTGTTTATTTGTTTTAAATTTCCATCTGATTGAAACAGGAGGCATGTTCTTGTGTGCAGTATGGCACCCATGCTTAGGATGGACAGAGGTTTAAATAGGAGTTAGTAAGCATGTGTAACATAAAGGATGATTGTCAATTATGCATAAGTTTGTACAATTTGCAACAGTTATTTTATTGGCTTGTTTGCTTTAATTTTAAGATTAGTCCATTTGCCTATCACCTGAAGGTTCCTATCAGGAACTATTAAAGAGATTTAGAGGATAAAATCTTAAAAGAAAGACTTTCTGGAAGTTGAACAAATAGGAACTTAAGCATATCTAAAAGTTAAAGAATCACTAATTTGTAAGTATATAATAGTCCTAACCATATTAATTTTTGACTATACAAGAAACAGGATAAGATGTATTAATGTGTAAAGGTTACAAAATGTAGTGAAATTCTACATTAATCCTCAAGGGAAAAAAAAATGGAGAGAAACAAACTAGGCTGCAGATATTTGACAAGCAGGTGACTATTCCCGGCTCTGCTGCCACATTCTATTCTTGAATCTTTTTCATGCAACTAATTTACTCATATGTGAAAATAACATCACAACATAAATTAATGATTTAAAAAATTGAGATAGACAGGGCTAAGTGTTTCTGAAAAAAATATACCAACCGTCTTCATAGCAATAGGTTTCCATCTTGCCCAATTTAACTTTAAGAGTATAAATCAAAAAACAAATCAAGAAATTAAAATCAAAGTATTAAAATCAGGACACAGCATCAACTTTGTTTTCTCTTCCAGCCTTTACCTTCCGGCTCGTTTTTGATGAGCTCTTCCATTTTCCTCTGCTTCAAGGTGTCAACAACATCAGCTAAACTGCCCTTGCGCCGTTCAGGAGTTCCCAGGGCTGTACTAGACAAGGACTCGCCACTCTGTCGCCCACCTTCTTCTGCCTTCTGAGGTGAGGTAGATGAGTTGTGTGGGGCAAATGAAGACATAACTTTATTGCCATCAACTTCCTGAAAGAGAAAGCAAAATGACAAATAATTGTTTACCTGAAAGAGAGAGCAAAAGGACAAATAATTGTTTACCTGAAAGAGAAAGCAAAAGGACAAATAATTGTTTAAAATTCAGTAACTTTAAAAAATTGGTTATATGGCTTATTCAGCTGAAAGATTAAAAAGTGAAATGTCACTCTGCAAGAGGCAAAGAAACCAAGAAATTTCAAAAAAGAATAAATTCAGTTTTCATGGTAGTACTAGAGTAAGTCAAAGATCTATTCAAAGGAGAAACCAAATATGGAGATTCTCTCCTTTAAACTGAGTATAAATGACAATATAGTCCTATACGAAGCCTATATTATTAGATTTGTTTATTTTCCTGCTTTTGTTTGAGAGCCTCAGATTTTCTTATGGGTATTAAATGTAGTGATCATTTGTGTTAAACTTCCTGACTTTGTAATATTTAAACAAATATCATTACACACAATTTATGTTCATTTTCAGTAGCTGCCTCTTCTTGATAATACTCTAATAAAGTTTTAGTTTTTCCACCTCCCTCTCCTTCTTTTAAGAAAGCATCCATCACACAGGTTATTTGACATCAGACAAGAATATTCCAAGTTCAATTCTGCCTATGATGAAGACATTTTCAACTTCATTTGTTACATGAAGCACAGTTTGTCAACACTCTTTGCTATTTTGTATTTTAATCCTCATTTGCCCTATAAAATAAGGTTTGTTGCAGTTTTTGCTTCTTCATAGTCATGTGGGTATGTGAATAAAAATAATTTATTGTATGGTTCTAAAATGTAAATATCTTTTTATAGTCTATTGTCATTTTCTCACATATTCTAGCACAAATCTGGTAATTTGTATAATATTTGGGGAATATTTTGTATAAAACATATTAAGGTGATTTTTTAGAAATTATCAGGAGGAGTGATAATGAAATGATAAAGAAAAATTAATTTTCTTACTTAAAGATTTTCCTTGTATAGTCTCTTACTTCCATAATCCTTTACCTCTCACAAAACAGACATCTTAAACATAAAGCTGTATCCTAAGATCTTTGAGACTCACACTAAAAATATTTCTTAATTCTACAACATTAAAAGTTCGCATTAAAATATATTTGAATGTGTGCCTATTTAATATTCAGGATATTAGATTATACCTGTTTGCACATTTCTTCTCTACCTATTTGAGACACAGTAATACAATCTGTTGACTTCCAAAAAGTAACAAATCACACTGATTGATACTCAATATTTTTAAGGTTAATGCAATATTTTGGACTAGCTTAAAAATATGCTAACATACTTGGTTTAAAAACCATCAGTGTAATTTTGAAAAATAGATTAAAAATAGATACGTCAACACAAACATAATCTGTTAATATGTTTTTTTTTGTTGTTAAGATATTAGTGAGTACAGGGACAACAGGCTATGTTACAAACATCAGTTTGTTGCATGTGGCTGAGGCATGTGGGGAAGGCGAAAAAAAAAATGTGCACAACAGAATCTTCCAAATTATAATTCTAAACCTCAAATGGCTTTCATTTCTCACAAACATTACAGAATATGCCTCTGACTAGCACTATGCCTTGAGTGAATATTTTATGGACAAAGTAGCTTATAACATACTTGGATTTAGAAATCAATGTACAAAATGTAACAATTACAAACTCCCGCACGTTAAGTGAAGGTACACTTCTGGAATTATTAAAACCTACATAAATATACAAACACATAAACACACACACACACAGAGCCCTAAAAAGAGCAATCACAAATTCATTCAGTAAATTAATAGGAATGTTTTTATGAATGGTCCATAACACACATTAGCTTAGTTTCATGTGCAAACAGAATATTGCGAAACCTCTGTACTAATTTTCCACAGAAGATCTTCCTTCTTATTTCTTTCCAGGACCAAAAGCAGAAACATCCCAATGTTAGCTACACTTTGAACATTTCTGTCTGTACTCTGCTTTCACATTATATGATGACAAACTTTAGAAACAATAATTGGGCAGCTGACCTTTAATTGCCATAATTGAAAATTACAATGAAATCAAGTCTATTAAAATATCAAAAATATCAAAAAATATCCAGATAAGGTATCCCATTTTGCATATCTCTAACTTTCTACACCTTTCAAAGAGAAAAATAAATGTTTTAAAGTTTAGTATATTTCACAAGTATTCTAAACTCAGTTGCTGCAGCAGTATAAAAATAAATTAATTAAACATTATTGCTATTTCACACAGGAATATTTATCTTACCACTATTTCACCTGCCTGATTACATTTCAGCCTCTGGCACTGTTAATCTCCTTAACAGTTTTATGTAGTTAACAGCTGTTTCAGTGTGGGACACTGTTGTTCATTTGCATGGTGAATAGCTTGTTAAGGAGTGCTAGCACAGTCTTCAGTCAAGGAAATCCTATCTTTTTCAGAGTTCCTTCCCTGGGATTGCATTTGTCATACATGAAGTAATGATTCCATGTGTCACTTCACTTTGCTGGCAGGTGAAATCAAGAGAACCAGCTAACATAAGCATAAGTGGTCCAGACCAGCAATATCTATTTAATCAAGTTTTGTGAATTCTAAGGGCATACCAGTACTTTGCAAACAAGTTCCCCAAACTGTGATATACGACCTCTAAATTCTAATCATAAAAGAGGTCTCTAAACTTTCAGAATAAAGTTGATAATCTTCCTTTGTTATTTTTGAACAAGTTTTGCTTAACCTTACCCCTTTTGTTATCTTTGCAACCAATAGAAAAAGGATCTGCCTAACATAGCTGTCCTCATTAAAATATCTTTTTAAAACTGAATTCTTGTTAATTCATTTTAAAGACAGAATATTGCTATGAACACGTCGAAAGAAATATTATTTCAACCTTAATATTTAAACTCTATATGATGTGCTAATTAAGAAGAATTAACTCATTTTATAAAAGAAGAGATTATATGAAATAACCAGATACATGTGTTTCTTTTATTATTCAAGTGACATTTCATCCTTGACTTCTGGCCTTAAGAAACATGTTATTATGCTTACTTATTGGCCTTATAAACTGAAATTAAGTTCATACTTAGAAACATTACATTAATATTCAATCTATCAGACAGTAATTGATAAGAATGATAGCAAATATTTATTGAATACTTTGTATTAGGCACTGCGTAAAGTGCTTTACATGTATTAACTCAATCTTCATGGCAAGCCTGATTATAATTTCCATTTCATAGCTGGATAAACTGAGGCAGAGAGACTGAAGCACAGTATATGCTCAAGGTCACATAACTACCAAAAAGTAGAGTGAAAAATCAGCCCCAACCTATTGGGCTCCAGAGCCCTCATTCTTAACCATAGTGCTATTATACCTCTTTCATCTATGTCTGTATCTACCAATGTTAAGGGTGAACAAGACACTTGTCTTTTTAATAAGTATGAAAATGAGAGGTTTCCACTGAAATACGTTCAAGTCCTAAAGAAAACAAATGAGATATATGCATTTAAATTAATTAAATCAACCACATTCCAGACTTATAAAGCTCTGTCCATCCAAATATCTACTGGTTCATGTCATATTTTTTAAAATAAATTTTAATGTTTAAAGAATTATTTAAACCAAATATATAGATTTATATTTCTACATGACTAATCAGAGTAATGGTACTCAGTAGTCTATGTTTTTATAACTATCTTTATAAAATTTGTGAGCATCTCCAGCATCCTTTCCAGTAAAATTAAGTTTTCAATTTAGAAAAAAGCTAGTACAGAAGATCTGGACTATCATCAATTAGATTCTCATGAATGCATGTTCAGTAATTTGGGTATTGCATAGAGGTAGCATAAGATGAACTACAGATACACAGAGAACGTACTTTGGTGCTCAACAAGTTTTGACATAGTCATGTTCCTCTTCCAGCAACGGGTTGTGATTTATAAAATATCACCAGGATGGCTGGGCATTGTGGCTCACTCCTGTAATCCCAGCACTTTGGGAGACCAAGGTGGGCAGATCACGAGGTCAAGAGATCGAGACTGTCCTGGCCAACATGGTGAAACCCCGTCTCTACTATAAATACAAAAATTAGCTGGGCGTGGTGGCGCGCACCTGTAATCCCGGCTACTCTGGAGGCTGAGGCAGGAGAATCACTTGAACTCACAAGGTGGAGATTGCAGAGAGCCAAGATTGCGCCACTGCACTCCGGCCTGGTGACAGAGTGAGACTCTGTCTACAAAAAAAAAATAAATAAATAAATAAAAAAAAAATAAATAAAAAATAAAAAAAAAATCACCAGGAGAAGGTAAAACAAAACTTCAAAAAATATCTTGAAAGCTATAATATTTGGCTATTCCTTAAATTCCATCAAAAGAGGAAAAAAATATACCTTATAACAAATGTTGAAACTAAATTTCACTACTTGTAATCTCTTCTGCCAAATTAGGAGGTACCAAATTGAATTTAGTTATAGAAAAAATATAATTATTGTCTAAAGAGCTCTTTCAATTATTTCTCAGGTTATCTTGATTAAAATAATTTTTCATAAAATGTCTGCACGAAACCCTAAACCACACTTACTCCTTTGGGACTACCGATCCCTTGAAGATAGCTATAAATGCTATTTTAAACACATATGCACATGCATAAACACACAGACACACACTCATACAATTGCACGCACAATTTCATATAGTTTTACAGAGTTAATTTTATATGTTCATAGTTCCAGTTATGAACCTCCCCTAGGAAATTCGCTATGAACTCTTATGAACCATGGATTCCAGGTTAAGGAATGTATACCTGACCTAAATATATACCTTCATAGAAAAATAATATCAGCTCATCAGTATAGACAATTAGGTTATTTTAAAAAACCAGTTGCTTGCAAAAGAAAAAAAAAACCTTATCAAGATAAAAGTTTACCCCTTATCAAGATAAAAGTTTATTTAAGGTATATATGTTAATATCTTAAAATTTTACTGCTCTAAAGATAAGCATTTAGAAAGAGATACATATTTTAGTTATTCTTTAAAGAGAAATAAATAGGGCAATCATTGTTTTCTTATTCAGCAATCATCTTGTGATAATATGCACAGAAATCTGAAATACAAGACAGAATTGCTAACTTCTACAAATGAAGTTTGCAATTTTGACAGCAAGTTTTATCAGCTCAATTTTCCAATATTAATGTTCCTAAAAATGAGATGTAAATATAAAAGAGATACATTGAGGCAAAACCAAGTTTAAAAAACTCGATAGAAAACACTAAGAAATTTTCTTTCGTTAAGATTATCAAATTAAATACTCTGGGAACAAGATATTGTCAGTTCCCAATACCCACAGAATACAAGTCAGCACTTACAGACAGACCTCTGAAGAGTGTTTGTTATAGTAATGATTATGGATCAAGTCATCCAATTTAAAGCCTTTCCTTTTGTCTGAAACATAGCTAATTGTACTTAGGTCCAGTAGTTCAAAAAATGAAAAATAAGAGAGGTACTTTTGTTTGGGCTATTTCAGTAGTTCACCGAGAGAGAGAGCTTATCACAACTGGTCATCCTTCTATATTTGAAAAAGCCACTGATAATACCTTTGTAAAACTGACAGATCAGCACTTACAACATCAGGGATCCTTAGTGCCTAAACAACTATAAGGTACACAACTTAAGATTATATATTTTAGATGAGTGGGCCTGGAATCTATCTTGGGATAGGGTCAGAAAGCAACATATATGCATTTTTTAAAGTTCTCTAAAGAAGTGTGATGATCAGCGGCTAGGTTGGTATGTAGTGGCCTAATCTAGACCACTTACAAGCAAGTTAAGAGCCAAGTTAGTTTTTAAGGAATGCTTATATTATATATATTCAATATTTTCATATGATTGAAATTCTCTGAAAATTAGTATTTTGAATCCTTAGAAACATTTATTCATCACAATATTAAAAATGGATAGAAATTCTAAAATACTTAAACAGGCATCTGCAACCTTTTTTCTCTATGATCTACGGAAAGCTCTAATTTCCTGAACTAATGAGTTCTAATTTTTTCTAACTTTTAAAGAACATTGGAAAAACCTTACAAATTAATTTGTGTCTTTAAGGCAGACATAGCACACTCTCGGGGCAGACTGAATATTCTAGACAGTAACAGTCCTCATCAAGTTCAGGTAAAAAGATTATCATTTTATAAAAATGGCCCCATTATACTTCAAAAATATAATCCAGCCCGTATTTCAAACATTTCTTATGTATTTTGGGACAGTGCAAACAGAAGTGAGAACTCTTTAATGTTTTTTTCAAAGCCTAAAAATATAGACTCTTTTAAAGATTGCTATTCAACAGGATGGAAATTCAGCAGAAGTCTAACTTGGTTTGCATTTCTTTGCCAAGCATTGAGATGAAATGTTAGTTTAGGCTTTTATTTAATTACTAATTAGGAAACTAAATAAATATTTAAAAGTGTGTTCTTTAAAAAATGCATTCAAATGGTACTAAACAGCAATAAAGAATGATAGCATAGTGACAGGTGATTTTTATAAACATGATTCGCAAACGGTGGTCCTCAAAATAATGTCATTGGCATCACCGGGGAACACTTTCAACATTTTTCTCAGGCCTCACCCCAGACTTCCTGAATCAGATGTTCAGGAGGTGGAGCCCAACCAAATCTGAGTTAACAAGCCTTCCATGTGAGACTGAAGTTTGAGAACTACTGTCATAGGAAAAACTGTTAAGAGCTAAGGAGAGAAAAAGAGGCAGAGAAGGAAAGGGGGGAATGATTAAAAGCTGCAGTGGGGAAGAAAGACATCATTAAAGTAATGGGACAAGAATTTGAGAAGAGTGAGAAAAGGTAATATATTCCAGGGAGGAAAAGAAGGATAGTGGGGATGGAGAAGAGTCAGCACACATGCAAAAATTATATATATATATACATATATATATATATACACACACATATTGTAAAAGAATGACTTTGAATTTTTTAATAGTCATTTTGGCATTTGTTGAAACACGCTTATGTTTCCTGATGTCCTACTAACTATATAGATTAGGAAATCTCAGATTTCCTAATTCACAAAATTGAATTGTGAAAATAGATTGTTTTTAGAAATGCACCAACATTTAGTTTAAATTTATTAATAATTAGATCTCATTTACAATATGAAAATATTATATTTTGTTTTATAAATCACTATCAGATTTACCATCTAATTTAATGATGGTGAATGAAACTGCAAGTTAAGGGCAAATTTTCTGATTATCAATAAGAGATGCTATAAATAGGAGAAACAGTTTTAAAAATATCTTTATTTTCATGTAGATGCTGCATGGGCAAAAGTGTCTAACGTGTTTTTTTTTTTTTTTTTTACCCCAAATGCTCCTTCAGAGTATTTGAAAATATTCCTTCAGAATCACACTTGCTAATAATCTCAGAAATGCTGCATTCAAGAATAAAATGTATGTTTTCATGTGCTCTCAAAACCTCTTAATAAGCAAAAGTGGCATTTAGAAAATTGCTAATACATTAACTAATAGAACCCGTAAAAACAAAGAACATTTTGTGCTGTGACAGCCTCATTATCTTCCTGGGGATGATATGTGCTCTGTGTCTTAGTTATGTTTAAACATCTAGCAAATACACTTTAAAACGTTTGATGATCTCTTCCCTGAGTGAGCAAAGACCAACCATAAGAGGTGTCTAAACAAAAGTTAGACTACAAATCAAAACATTTTCCTTTTAACATTTGTAATAAATTTAACATGTATTGTAACTAGCCACTGATTAGATATAATTTTTCTGTCATTCTCCTAAATCTCTAGAACCTTTTTATTGTCGTTTTTAGTAAACTTGACTAAATATCTATTCACTCTATGTGTCTGAAGGAAGAAATAAGATATAAGGAATTTCTCAAATTTTCATCTGTATTCTGTACCAAAATTTTTAATAGAGTTGCTTAAGTATAGAAAATTGAGGAAATGACTTACTTTTATCCCACATAGCAATAAATGTAGTTTTTTAATACAGAGCATTCATTCAGTGAAGAAGCTAAACGTTTGCTAGCACTGCTTATAACTGGAAACTGACTATGTCTTCACTAATAAATAAAATAGATTGTGGTCCTCCCATGCAGTAAAATATAATGGCAGCAAAGCAGTATAAAGCAGTTGTTAAGAAACTGGAGGCAGAAGTCAGGATATTTGGGTCAAGGACAGGCTCTGTTATTTATAATCTGTATTATACAGTTATATTATACAGTTATATATAATTGTATAATCTAGGGCAATTGTCTAAACTCTCTAAGCCTGTTTCCTCATCTAGAAAATGGGATAAGTGAAAATTAATTTATATGTATATGATTTATCTCCAAAATTTAACACTAACGAAAATAAACTTTTTAAAAAGGAAATATTATTTCATTCACTCTATTTTCTCTTTCATTTATATAATAAAATGTTTTGAACACTAACTTGCAGGGCAGCATAAAGATGGGTTAAGCACAGAGAATTTGAAGCCAAATAGCTTTGGTTCAAATCCTGGTTCCATCATTCACCAGTTGTGTGACCTTGGACAAGTCACACACATACAAGTCAATCCTTGTATGCCTCAATTTTCTCATCTGCAAAATGGGGATAATATTAGCATCTAATACCTCACTGGGTTGCTAGAGGATTATAAGTTAAAATATAATGAGTTATATGAGCTGGGGTATTACATAAGTTAATAATATGTGTTATGAGCTATAAAATTCATAAAATGGCAACAAATATTACAAGAGCTATATAAGTGTTTGTTAAAATAAGTGTGCTTCCAGGCATATTAGCCTATAAAGATGAATAAAACATAGAATATACAAAAACAAATAAAGAAAAAAAATAGACCCTTTACCAGAAAAGCAAAGAAAAAACATATTAGGAGGAGAAAAGCCCTTTCTTTCATCCACTCTGCCAAATATAGAATATGCCTATACAAGCAGTTTTTATAGTTTTTTCTGCTAAAATCAAACTGTATCCAGGGAAAGATTTTTTTAATAATTTAAAATTTATTTAATGTGGCCCATTTTTAAAGATAACCTAATACAAACTTTTCTTTTGTTTTTAAGAGAATAAAAGGTATTCCACAAAATGCCATACAGCATTAGTAGGCTTTTACCTCTGTTGCATATTCAATTTTCAAATTTCACAGTTTCATGGTTCTCTACAAAGTGATAACTCAGGGAAACAATCAAAGAAAAGATGTTCAGTTACTACTCATTATGAAATAAAACTATTAAAAGTGAAAGTTTGAAAAAAATGAAGAGTAATGGATTGTTTGTGATAAATACATGACACCAATTACTTTTTATGTCATGTTTCTATCTTTCTCTTTCTTTTTCTGAGATGTGCACATCAAGCTTTTTCTTTCTTTGTGAGGACATCAGC
The DNA here is from genome assembly GCF_000001405.40 of Homo sapiens. Classification (NCBI taxonomy): domain Eukaryota; kingdom Metazoa; phylum Chordata; class Mammalia; order Primates; family Hominidae; genus Homo; species Homo sapiens. Next base: position 23,855,614 of record NC_000012.12, read on the forward strand.
ACCACTAGACTGTCTGGCAAATAAATCCTTATTTTCTTACAGGAAAAATATGAAACAACAATAGTAATACGAGGAAGGATACTATCAAGTACAAATTCTCCATTTTTGCTATTTCTCTCTGCTATGCTCCAGCAGCACCTTGAAACACATTCTTCAGGGAATTTCTCTGAGAATTATAAAAGAAAAAGTCTGTAAAACATATGCCTTCTCACTGTATCAGGCTAATTTCATAGCCTAAAATCAGTCCGCTCTGTTACGCCACCACACTAGTCTTCCCTTTAAAAAAGAGCTAAAGACCTATTTTTCTATACTAATTAAGACTCTCAATAGAGAACTATGTTTAGGGCAAAAGAAGCTTTTTGTGAAAGAAGCCTTTAACATGAACTGACATTAGGCAGTGAGTTGAGAAATAAGAAGCACAAGTTTCAGTTCTCAGTCTAAAAGTAATGGTGAGGTATTAAACAGTCCACAGACTCTTACAAAATTTCCCAACTAGCCAAATTACTTATTCACACTATAAAGCAGAATTTCCTGAACCCACTTTAGCGGGCCCATAAGGACCATCCCACAGCACACACAATCACTGAGATAGTCGTTCTTAATGTAAAATATTAGGTTCTCTGCAAAGATTATATTCATGTAGTTTACACGAGCAATGCTATACACAGATTTTGTCAGTCTTAGAGTTTTAAAGGACATAAAAAGCACCTTTACATTATTAGGCATTTTCTTGATGAGATACACAAAATCTGTTTATTCACTAATGTTTCAGTCAAAATATAGCTACCAGTTTTGGAGTTCTTAAAGGCACTGTTGCAAATGTTCTATGGGCTTTTAACAAATAATTCTCAGAGAAATTCCCTGAAAAATGTTATTGCTATTTAACATATGATGAAATTAAAGTTCTAAAAGTAGTTTACCCAAAATAATAGTAGGAAATGGTAAATTGGAGAATTAAACCTAAGATTCAATTCTAAACTCCTTGCTGTGGTCATCATTAAGCTTCCTCAACTGATTCAGGTGCTGCAAGATATGCCAAAGGTATAAGAAAATAAAGCTGGTTTTCTCTCTCTTCAAAGAGTTTAAAATTAAATTTGAGAGGCACTGAAATGCACCTGAAATAATTAGTAATCATAACAACTATAATAAGTACTAATTTTTAGAGTAGCAAATTATACATGCAAGAGAAGTTTAGAGAAGAGAGAATGCTAGAAATCAAAGAAAAATGGAAAACTTCTTATCATAGTACTAATCACACTCTTTTAGGATTGTTCATTTAATTTTCTTTCTATACCATGAAGACAGGGAACATGTCTGATTATTCACACACACACTATGCCTTGTTATTAATGTTCCATAAATTCATATTGAGTTAATTATTAATTTATTAAATCTTCATGTATAGAGAGTCATTTAGTTTAAGCCTAGAAGAAATAAGTGAAGAGGAAAAGATACAGAGCATTCCCAGAGGCACCACCCAGGAAATTTTACAGTGCATATACACACACACTACAATGAAGGAAGTGGCTTAACCAAAAGAAATGAAGAATAATAAATAGAAGACTAATATAGGAGAGTCATTTCATGAAGGGTCATGAAAGTCAAGTAGGGTAGTTTACATTTGACCTAGCAGGCAATGGAGAACTATTGTTGATCTACAGTGAGTGATTCTATTAAAGTAGCTTGTTAGGAAGATTAGTCTAGCAGTGGTATGTAGAATTAATTGGGTAGAGGAGAAAGTAAAGATCTCCACTGAATAGGAAACTGTTACCATGACACATATGTGACAATAAAAGGCCTTCCACTAGATTGTAGCAGTGGGAGTTGAAAAGAACCATCAAATCTATCTGTCATCTGTGATTATCAACTGTTTTGGAAAATAGGTTACACTCAGAAAGGAGCTTTTCCAAACCTTATATATTCAGATTATTTTTGTTCACATTCCAGAGTACATTGCCCTTCCCTCTTCATCCATAGCCTGGTGATAGTTACTTCTATAGGGACAATGACAGGAATGTGTAAGGCATATGGAAAAAGGCTAATAGCCACTTTTAGATGGTTAGATACTCTATACACAATGTGTGATAATCGATGACAGTGTACTTAGGAAGTTTTTTCTTTCTTTTTTTTTTTTTTTGAGGTGGAGTCTTGCTCTGTAGCCCAGGCTGGAGTGCAGTGGCACGATCTTGGCTCACTGCAACCTCCCCCTCCCAGGTTCAAGCGATTCTCCTGCCTCAGCCTCCTGAGTAGGTGGGATTACAGGTGCCTGCCACCACACTTGGCTAATTTTTTGTATTTTTAGTAGAGACGGGGTTTCGCCATATTGGCCAGGCTGGTCTTGAACTCCTGACCTCAGGTGATCTGCCTGCCTCGGCCTCCCAAAGTGCTGGGATTACAGGCATGAGCCACCATTCCCGGCCAAGAGTTTTTTTTATTTGTAATTTAATATGCCTGTATGTGTGTGTGTGTGTGTGTGTATATGCAAGGCAGGTACATATATGTGCACTTTGTTGTTTTTTTGTTTGTTTTTTTACAATGTATGTTACTTTCCTATGAGAAGCGCTAAAAAATAATAATAATAAATCACTAATTAAACTTAAGAGCCTCTGCACAGCAAAAGAAACTATCAACACAGTAAAAAGACAACCTACAGAATGGGAGAAAATATTTGCAAACTATGCATCTCACAAAGGTCTAAAATCCAGCATCTATAAGGAACTAAAATTAACAAGAGAGAAACAAACAGCCCTATTTAAAATTGGGCAAGGGACATGAACAAACACTTCTCAAAAGAAGACGCACATGCACCCAACAAGCATATGAAAAAAAGCTCAATATTATTGATCACTAGAGAAATTCAAATAAAAACCACAGCGAGATACCATCTCACACCAGTCAGAATGGCTATTATTAAAAAGTCAGAAAGTAACAACAGGTGCTGGTGAGGTTGCAGAGAAGAGGGAACCCTTATACACTGTTGGTGGGAGTGTAAATTAGTTCAACCATTGTGGTAAGTAGTATGGTGACTCCTCAAAGAACTAAAGCCAGAACTACCATTTGACTCAGCAATCCTATTACTGAGTATATACCCAGAGGAATATAAGGCATTCTACAGAAACCTGCATGTGAATGTTCATTGCAGCACTGTTTACTGTTGCAGAAAGTCAGGGACCCTGAACGGAGGGACCAGCTGAAGCCATGGCAGAAGAACATAAACTGTGAAGATTTCATGGACATTTATTAGTTCCCCAAACTAATACTTTTATAATTTCTTATGCCTGTCTTTACTGCAATCTCTGAACATAAATTATGAAGATTTCATTGACATTTATCACTTCCCTAATCAATACTCTTATAATTTCCTGCACCTGTCTTTAATCTCTTAATCCCATCATCTTCATTAGCTGAGGATGTATGTCACTTCAGGACCCTGTGATGATTGCGTTAACTGTACAAATTGTAAAACATGTGTGTTTGAACAATATGAAATCAGGGCACCCTGAAAAAGAACAGAATAACAGCGATTTTCAGGGAACAAGGAAAGATAACCATAAGGTCTGGCTGCCTGTGGGGTCGGGCAGAATACAGCCATATTTTTCATCTCACAGAGAGCCTATAGATGGACATATGAGTAGGAGAACTATCACTGAATTCTTTTTCCAGCAAGGAATATTAATAATTGATAACCCTGGGGAAGGAATGCATTTCCAGGGGTAGGCCTACAGACGACCGCTCTGGGAATGTTTGTCTTATGCAGTTGAGATAAGGGATGAAATACGCTCTGGTCTCCTGCAGTGCCCTTCAGGCTTACTAGGATTGGGAAATTCCAGCCTGGTGAATTCTAGTCAGACCAGTTATCTGCTCTGGAACCCTGTTTCCTGTTAAGATGTTTATCAGGACAACGTGTGCCCAGCGGGACATGGACCCTCATCAGTAATTCTAATTTCACCCTTGCCTTGTGATCCTGCTCTGCTCCTCTGCCTTGTGATCTTTTATTGCCCTCTGAAGCATGTGATCCCTGTGACCTACTCTGTATTCATACACCCCTCCCCTTTTGAAATCCCTAATAAAAACTTGCTGGTTTTGTGGCTCAGGTGGGCATCACGGAATCTGCTGATATGTGATGTCACCCCTGGAGGCCGAGCTGTAAAATGTCTCTCTTTATACTCTTTCTCTTTATTTCTCAGACCGGCCGACACTTAGGGAAAATAGAAAAGAACCTACATTGAAATATTGGGGACTGGTTCCCCCAATAGTTCACAATAGAAAAGACATGGAATTAACCTAAATGCCCATAAATGACTGGATAAAGAAAATGTGGCACAAATATACCATAGAATATTATGCAGCCATAACAAAGAATGAGGTCATGTCTTTTGAGGGAATATGAATGAAACTGGAGGCTATCACTGTTAGCAAACTAAAGCAGAAACAGAAAACCAAATTCTGCATGTTCTCACTTATAAGTGGAAGCTAAATGATAAGAACTTATGAACACAGAGAAAGAAACAACAGACACTGAGGTCTTCTTGGGGGGAAACGGTGGGAGGAGGGAGAGGAGCAGAAAAGATAACTATTGGGAACTGAGCTTAATACCTGGGTGATGCAATAATATGTACAACAAACCTCCATGACATGTGTTTATCTGTGTAACAAACCTTCACATGTACCCCCAAACCTAAAATAAATTTAAAAAAAAAAAGAATGCTAAAAATATGTTCCCAATCCTAGAGACAATTTGAAAGAAGCAATGATAAGATTAAGCAACTTGAAAATAATAAGAAAAAAAAGAGTCAAAGATAAACATGGTTTTTGCTTGGGAAGTTGAAACAATGATTATGGTATTGACAAAAACAGATTTGTTAGCAAACAGAGATAATGTTTTAAATAGAATTGGTATGTCTAGTAAATTTCAATAAGTCCGCCCAACTAAATTAGTTTATAGCTTGAGCATTAGTCCTGGTTTCTGACCCCAGGACTTTAAGAGATGCCATACAATCTCCCTCAGGAAATTCAATTGTTTGAGATCTTTAAATTTGTATATGGAACATCTAAAGGTAGATGTGCCTACAAAAGGCAGGTGAAAAAATAAAGGCTGTAAAATAATGACTTATGAAGCATTTATTTCCAGTGAATGATTAAATGCACTTCAGGTCATAAGCTCTTCAAGAGTATCCACAGGGAGAAGAGCAAATGGCCAAGCCCTCTTCACCTATGCCTAAAAATGGCAGTTATAAGAGAGTAACACCTTCTCCTTCACTGACTTGGGTCTGCCCTGTACATTTTTGAAAGTTTATCGTTATTTATAACTAGATTTTGAAACACAAAGTATATTTTGTAAAAAAAAAAAAAAAAAAAAAAAAAACCCTGCCAACATAGAAATAATAATGAGCACCTATAGAATATGTCAAACAGAGAGAGAAGTAGGAAAATGAGAAGGCTCTAGAACAACAAAGTAAGAATCAAAGATTTTAGTTACTCCAGGAAGACTAAAGCGTGACAAAAAGATATCATTGTAAAACTAAGGGATAAAATGAGAAACGGAAGCAACTTTCCCTTAGTGACAATGAATGGGCTCTCAGAACGCTGAGTTCTTGGTGCTGTGTGTCCTGCCTCTAAAATCCCTGCCACATAAATGTTAGAATAAAGGGAGAAAATGAAATGTGTCAATATAAAAAAAGTTTTTCAGAATCCTACTGCTGTTTATTGCTTTATTGAGTTGTGACTACAGGTGACAGTATTTTCATTCCCATTAAGAAATTACTTTGTCATGGAAACTTGATGAAGTTACATATTGGTGAATATAAAAATAAAATTGCATTTAAGTTATACTAAATCCTATGGAGTATAAAGAGGAGATAAATAATTTTGAATTTTGGACAGATGTTTCCACTTCTACAATTCTACTGGAATTCCTGTTTTCTGAATATCTTTGGATATTTCTGCTATCCCAAAGTGCTCTGGCTTGGTGCTCAATAACCCTTAAAAATGCCGATTGATAATAAAAGTATTTACTCTTTATATTCCCAGATTCAAGAGAATACAAGCTCTATTTATGTTATAAAGCTACATTGTTTGACTCATGGAGCTCAATTTAAAGAGTCATTTTCTTTAAGTCTCAAACTTACTGAGTCTCAAGATGGGAAACAACCAGGTACTGCTATGCCTACCAGCTTTGAGGTGATTCACATTTACAAGCTCCTTACAAAAGTCCTTTGCTATCTATTCATTATACTTAGCAACATCAAACGGGAAAAATAATTAAAAAGATCCTATTGAACACCTACAGACCTTGAACATAGACAGGGGGTAAACACAAAGACAGAATATTTGGTTACAAGAGTCACACTTCATCTTTTTAATTAATTATACATTTTTGGGTTTTCTATTATTTCCCTTCTATTCCCTTGGTTCTAACAGAAGTATACACTTACATGTATATATTTCATTAAGAGGAAATGAAAGGGTTGTCTTTAGTTAAGATGTTTCCATTCACAGAGACTACACATTTAAAAAATAAATTGCCTGAATAAATTCAATTATCTAGAGAAGCAAAGGGAATCACATGCAAATGACATAATATGAAGAGGCCATTCCAACAGCTTCATGTTTATTTTTATTGTTTCAGTCAGTGGAAGGGAAAAGCTGTCAAAAATTTAACATCTCTTCCTTTTTAAAGGCCCCATGTCTCTGGTACTGAAAATTGCATGAGCAATAATATTGAGAGAAGAAATTTGTCTACTATTGAAAATAGGAGCAGGTTCAGATTCTCTCCAACTTACCGCCAGCACACAAGTGGGCCACCATACTCCTTGGTTGTATTTTGCCTACGGAAAGCAAAGACTACTTAATCTGAAAGTAGTCCAGATCAATCTGGCCAACGAAGACTGGCTTTAAAAAACAGTGTATCTTAAAAGCAACTAATAAATCCACTTATGTTAAATTTGCCTAAAACATGACTGTTCTGTCTCTGACATCAGCATTGAAAGTAGTAGGTGCCATATATGACTTTATCAGAAGGGATTCTAGCCTTGTACATTCCAACGAATAATAATTTACGTTTTGCCTTATTCTTTCAATCTGACAAAAATAAATGAAGATTTAGGCTGACTTTGTAATAGGTTCTTACTGAAAATCTCTGGCTTTTTACACTGAATTTACGTGCTACCTGAGTTCTCTTGAAGCGTGAATGTACCAAGTAAATGTGGCATATGTTTGTATTTTCTTGCCAATTCCAAATTCATTCATTCAAATCACTCACTGTAGGCCAAATTCTTATCCAATTCCACAGAGCCACCGATTTTCCTAGAAGTGAATAACAGCTTTGTGCAAGGAAACAGGGATGTCAATAGCAGGTCTGTTGGAAGAACTATGCAACTAGTAGACAGGATAAGAATTTGACCACAGGGTTTCTTGAGTGTGGTAGAATAGAGTTTGAAATGATCTAAATGATGAAGCTTTCAACACTTTCACTTGGGGGTCAATCCCAAACCCTGACAATTTGAATACTGCGAATTTTTCATTTTCTACTCAGTATATGTCTTTCTTTTTACTTTTTCCATGGCAATATTGTATACTACTTTGACTGTAACATGGGTTAGCTAATTCTTTCCATCTATATATGTGTATTACAATGCTCTTTATCATGATTAACCTCAGATTGCATTCAGAACCTAAGAATATATTCTGGAAAAAAATTACTAAATTTATTAATGTGACAATCACTATATGATATTTTAGAACGCTATTTCTTTGATTCTTTCTAACAGACCTATGAGGTAGGAAATATGATCAATGCTTTTACACACAGAGAAAATGAGTTTAAGCCATGGCTTCAAGTTAAATAACAAACAATTTCAATCCACATCTCTGATTCCTTTGAATGTGCTTTTAACTATTGTGTCATATGGCTTCTCATCGGAATAAAATACTTAATTGTTTTAATTTTACTAACCTTACTCAATTTTCTCTTTAAAGTTTGTTTTATCCCTATATATGTCATCTCTCAATACCATATGATGTTTCTGATACTCTAGTTTGGTTTCCTAAGGTACTTAACATCTTCAACTTTCTATACTACTTATAATTGGCTACATCTTACATTTCAATTTTCTTAACTTGTACTTCCAAATGAAAATTGAGCTATTTTGTCAACTCCTAAATAACATTTTAAACACACTACACACACACACACACACACACACACACACACACACACACACACACACTCTGAAATAAAGTATGGTCACAAAATATGTTAATCATGTCCCTACTTTGTGAAAAGCACTATCCTGAGTCCTAGAAGGAATAAAAATACAGGCACCTTGTTTTATGGCACTCTGCTTTACTGTGCTCCACAAATATAGCTTTTTTTTTTTTGTTAACAAATTGAAAGCTTGTGGCAACTGTGCATTAAGCAAGTTTATTGGGATCATTTTTACAGCATGTCTCTGTGTCACATTTTGGTAATTCTTGCAATATTCCCTATTTTTTCATTATAATTATTTCTACTTGGTGATCTGTGCTCAGTAATCTTTGATGTTTGTATTGTAATTGTTTTGGAGCACCACTAACCGCACCCATATAAGATGGTGAACTTAGTAAATGCTGTATGTGTTCTGACTACACCATTGACTGCTATTTTCCCATCTCTCTCCCTCTACTCGGGCGTCCCTATTATCTGAGACACAATATTGAAATTAGGCCATATATTAACCATACAATGGCCTCTAAGGGTTCAAGTAAAAGGATGGGTTGCACGTCTTTCACTTTAACTCAAAAGCTAGAAATTATTATACTTAGTGAGAAAGGCATGTGGAAAGCAGAGATAGGCCAAAAGCTAGGCCTCTTGCACCATAGTTAGCCAAGTTATGGATGCAAAGAAAAGGTTCTCGAAGGAAATAAAAGTAATACTCCACTCAACACACAAATGATAAGAAACCAAAACAGCCTTATCCTTAATATAAAGTTGTATTGGTCTGGAGAGAAGATCAGAGCAGCCACAAAATTCATTTAAGCCAAACCCTAATCCAGAACAAGGCCCTAACTCTCTTCAATTCCATGAAGGCTGAGAGAGGTGAGGAAGCTGTAGAAGAAAAGTTGAAAGCTAGCAGAGGTTGGCTCATGAGATTTAAGGAAAGAAGCAATCTTCATAAGATAATAATGCAAAGTGAAGCAGAATGTGCAGATATATAGAAGCTGCAGCAAGTCATCCAGAAGACCTAGCTAAGATAATTGATGAAACTGGCTATACAAAAACACAGATCTTCAGTGTAGACAAAACAATCTTCTATTGGAGGGAGACACACCATCTAAGACTTTCATAGTGAGAATGAAAAAGTCAGTGCTTGGCTTCGACGCTTCAAACAACAGCCTGGCTCTCCTGTTAGGGGTCAGTACATCTTAAAGTTAATGGTGACATTAAGTTGAAGCCAATGTTTATTTACCATTCTGAAAATGCTAGGGCCCTAAAGAATTATGCTAAATCGGCTCTGTCTTTGTCTATAAATGGAACAATAAAGCTTAGATGACAGCATATCTGTTTACAACATGGTTTACTATTTTAAGCCCACTGTTGAGACCTACTTCACAAAAAGAGAGATTCATTTAAAAATACTACTGCTCATTGACAACGCACCAAGTCACCCAGAAGCTCTGCTGGATATGTACAGGGAAACAAATGTTGTTTTCATGCCTGTTAACACAATATCCATTCTGCAGCCCATGGATCAGGAAGTCATTTTGACTTTCAAGTCTTATTATTTAAGAAATACATTTTGGGGCCAAGCACGGTGGCCCATGCCTGTAATCACAGCACTTTGGGAGGCTGAGGTGGGCAGATCACGAGGTCCAGAGATCAAGACCACCTTGGCTAACATGGTGACACCCCATCTCTACTAAAAATACGAAAAATTAGCTGGGCTTGGTGGCACGTGCCTGTAGTCCCAGCTACTCGGGAGGCTGAGGCAGGAGAATCACTTGAACCCGGGAGGCGGAGGTTGCAGTGAGCCGAGATCACACCACTGCATTCCCGCCTGGGTGACAGAGTGAGACTCCGTCTCAAAAAAAACGAAAAAAAATACATTTTGTAAGGCTATTGCTGCCATATATAATGATTCCTCTGATGTATCTTGGCAAAGTAAATTTAAAAACTTCTGGAAAGGTTTCATCATTATAGATACAATTAAGAACATTCGTGATGCAAGGGAGGAGGCCAAAATTTCAGCATTAAGAGGAGTTTGAAAGAAGTTGATTTCAAGCCTCATGGATGACTTTGTGGGGCTCAAGACTTCAGTGGAGGAAATTATTACAGATGTGGTAAAAATGGCAAGAAAACTGGAATCAGAAGCAGAGCCTGAAGATGTGACTGAATTGCTACAATCTCATGATAAAACTTGAATGAATGAGAAGTTACTTCTTATAGATGAGCAAAGAAAGTGGTTTCTTGAGATGGAATCTACTCCTGATGAAGATCCTGTGAACACCGTTGAAATAACAACAAAGTATTTAGAACATTCCATATCTCTGAGGTATACCTGTGTATACAAACATTTACATACACATGTACACTATGGCATAAGTATAACATAATAGCTATACACACATATGCATATACAAAGGAAAGGTAACTATGTTAATTTCAGTAATATATATTTATGATTTGGGCTATGAAAAAAGATTCTAATATATGGATTTTTAAATATATGGAATAGTCTAGATTGTAACTAAAGAGTTTTAAAGTACATATAATTTGTTATGAACAAGTAGATGTTAGTAATGCGAAAGTGCCCAAAACAGCTCTGTGAGTGTTTTGCCACCAATCCAAATTTAGGAGTAAGCCTCTGTCACTAGGAGAGGCATCCAGGTCATCTTTAAAACTTCTGACTAGTTAATCTCTTGAATGATGCCTGTTAACACTTCATTTCTTGTCCATTGCCATTTCATATCCAAAGCAATATTCTCTTTATTGTGGTAGTGTGGAACTGAGCCTACAACGTCTCCAAGATATGCCTATAATCTAATAGTGAAATCCAAAGTTTTTAATAACCTCCTCAATACATTTGAGACTACTGAACAGTACTTTTCCTAGCTTTCTGATGGCCTACCGTCTACTGGTTTTTCATCCTTCTCCGAGGCATTGCCAGTTTTCATCTTCAATCCTCTAAAATAAATTTAATGGCCATAACAAGTTCTGATTTGAGCATATAAAGACCTCATTTCTTTCTAATTTCCCTTTTGGGGATTTGATCTTGACATTGTGTTGCTGAAGATGTTTCTTCAGCTTCCACCTAGCTTTCAGGAAAAACTTGGAACTCTTTGAACAATGTGCACACTCAATTTATCTTCACTCTCCACTCCACTTAGTAATATAACCATAAGTCCTTGCTTTCCCCTGGCCATGCGTTCCTTATTTTCTCAACTCCACGCCTCTCCTCAAAAAACTTCAAGCTTTAAAACATGGCATAGGTTTACTTCCTTGGGGAATTATATGTTCTCAATAAATATGTGTGGAATTAATGACTCTTGAAATTTACAATTTCAAATCTCATCTCATATACACAGGTAAGTCTCACATTTCCATCTCATGGAAGAAAGGTTTTAATCACATAGTTCCATTAGTCCATTTTCCACCTAAATATCTCCTATGTCAAACCCAACAATGATAATGTTAACTCAGAATTCTGTCACACAAACCTGTTGTTCTTTTTGGCTTATGTTTCCCCTCCTTAAAGTGCTACCAACATTTTCCCAGTCACACAAGATTTAAGCAAAAATCACACTTTTGATCTTAGGCAAGTCTCTTATCCTGTCTGAACTTTAATTTTCCTATCTCAAAGTAAGAGATACGGACTAACAGACCTCTAAGACCTAATGCCAAGTTTAAAATTCTATGGATCTGTGAGTGGTAAATATATAAAAACACAAGCTGGTAATTGTGTTACTATTGGTCTTTAATCATTCTAAAACTCTTACTAGAACTTCTTTCTTTAAATACCCCAAATTAAAAAAATCTAGATTTACAATAAGATGAATAAGGAATTTGTACTACTGCCTGACACTGAAATGAATTAAGTGGGTTGGATCTATCCCCATAGAAAAGAATAGGTCTTTCCTACACACTATGCCACCAAAATGAACAGTGATGCCTCTTACTTTGAAAAGCGATCTGTAAATTAAGCTCTAGCTGTGTATAAACAACAAAGATAGTAAAAAAAAAAACAAAAAAACTTCCACATACAAAACACTATTAACATAAAAATTATTACCTTTATTGCTAATAATATGAGTAGATAGATTTAAGTAAATACCACCTAGGCAGTTTAACCTCAATCAGAAAAAAAAATTTAAGGATGTGAAGAAATGACAAAAATCATAACTACCTTTTAATTTCCTTCATTTCTTCCTTCCTCCCTTTTTTCTTTTTTCCTTTCCTCTTTCCCTCCTTCTCTCCCTCCCTCACTCCCTCTCTCCCTCCTTCCTTCCCTCCCTTCTTCCCTGCCTTCCACTTTTTTTTCTTCCTTGGTTAAAAAATGTGTAAAAACATCACCTGCTTTTAATATTAGCTGGTTTAATAAGATTTCCTATTTGACCTTTTTGTACATGCAATGAACTGTTCTATTTCACGGCTCCACTTCGTATTTCTAGGGAAGATAAGAATGTTAAGATTTCTTTCTGCTGATTACTCCAACATGCTTAATTATTTATCTAATTTTTCCACCTTCTAACTGGCCTGGGAAGAATAAACAACTTTAAGGTTCAGAAAAGAATATCAAGCATTTTGAAGCAAGAGCAAATTCATTTTCATACCTGAGTAAGAAAAGTAGCAATATAGGTACTCATTGTCATTTCTCATACTCTTCAGAAAACCCACTCTTACTTTCCATTCACTTTTGCTCGTGGTAATCTCTATAATTCAACCCTAAGTTATATGTACAAGTATTTTTCTGACACATAGCAGACCAAAAAATTGTCTGGTCTTAATTCACAGAACTTACTTGACAATTTATGTATTTCACTAAAATACAAATAAGCCAAGTACCAGCCAACATCTTGGAGGGATTTTCTTAAACAGAACACCCATATCCCTTCATTCCCACCCTACCCTCGCCTGAACCATGGTTCAATTTTGCTCCCATGGATTTGGTCTGGAAACAAACCAGTATTAGGCTTTTTTATTCAATGTTTCCTAAAGATACATATTTTGAGTATAAACTAAATAATAAATTGAGTTCATGAGATAGGATTTTTATTAAGCAATTCGCATACTCCAAACCTCTTATGACTCCTCAACAACTGTAGATTATAAAGTCCTAATTTTTGATAGCATTCAAGGCCCCCCAGAATCTGCCCTTCATCTACCTTTTCAACTTTTTCACATTAAAACATAATCTTTCAGGTCAGGCCCATTCTTATAGGCTGCGTAACTTTATGCTCTGCACTTCTGTATTTACATCAGTAAAATGGAAATAATGATAGCTTTGCAGAAGGTTGTTAAAGATTACATGACATGATGAATATAAATACTTAACCTAATTCCTAGCCTACACTTACATTTAGCTAAATGTTATTTCCTTTTTACTAGATTCCTTGAAAGTACACTCTTCATCAAATACATTAACTTGCCTAGTGTTCCACACACATACCCAGAAGTTCCCTGAAAAGACAAAATGTAGTGCAGGTTATATGCTACATAATTTTCACAACATACCTAGAATATCTGTTCCTTATTATAAGCTCTTTTCCCTCACTTTGCTTGGAATATCTTCCCCTCAATTTCTCTCCACCTCCACACACATTTTCAAATCATATCTATCCTTCATGACTTTGCTTAAATATCTTAGTTTTTAGGAAGCCTTTCTTCATTTCTACCCTTTCACTGAAACCCCACCAGCCTACCGCCCTACTTCTGAAATTGATCTCATGCACCTCTGTTTTGTTCTAATCTGTACATGTGTATTGGATGTGTGCCATGGTCCTCTAGAAGGATGGTTCTCAAAGCACCAGTCTACAAGATAAGAAGCAGCCCCAGAATGTAAATCAGTTCTATCACTAAGTACCCTGCTTAGTTCAGCTGATGTTCTTTTCATACTAAGACTTCCCGATGAAAGAAGTAGCTCAGACCACATTTGTGAGTAGTACTGCTCTAGAATCATATGCCAGAAATTTTCTATTCTTCTTCTGTCAGAAAGTATTGTTCTTCCCCCATATACTCCCATGACATATCTTATATCCATTCATCTGTAATACTCCCCACAATATTATCACAGCCACAATTAAGACTTTTATGTGTATCCATTTTCCCCACCAGACTGAGTTTCCAGGAGATAAAAATGTGCTTTTCTCATGTTGAAATCCAATATATTTTATACATAGCAGATATTAAATATTAGCTTAATTAAAATGAGTTCTCTCCCATGTCACTACATTAAAGGACAAAACATTTAAGATTTAGATAAAACACGACCTCATTCTTTCCCACAATTTTTTCCTATCATACTGTTACTCAGAATGCCCCTAGGGTCCAAATAGCATTAGAAAAAGAGTACTGAAGTGAGAGCTAAATATAGGTGATCAGAAAAAGACTAGGGAAGGTAATTGAAAATAAAATAAAGAAGAAAAGGGTACACAGAAGTCTAGGGTCATAAGTAAAGGAAAAACTGATCTATTTCTCATTGATTTAACACAGTATTGAGAAACCATCTGAAATTCAACTAGAACATTATAGGGATACAGGAATGGGGCAAAAGCATAAGTAAGAGTGAAGATTATACCTAATTTCCAAACCTTTCCCCTAAACCAAAGGAAAAAAATATTTTTACTCTCCATTATAAACCTAGAGGCCTTTCAAATTCTTAACACATTTCCCCAATAAATACCAACTCTATTCTTTTTTCTACACAAGAAAGCACTTAACAAGGCAAATTGTAAGGAGTAATGTTAGGCTATACCAGATAAGCAATATAGATCCACTTGTATGATCCAACACTGCAGCTGAGTCTACTGAGCTACAAAGTCTACAGTTCTTATCACAATCCCATAATAACTATTCAACCTATGTTTTCCCTTTAGCTTTGTAGACCAGGTATTTGCACATAAAAACAAATCTTGGTGCTAAATTGTATTCTAAATTGGATTTGTGCCATTCCAAGTGGTTTTGAGGTGTTCATATTTCTTAACTAAAACTTCTGGTTGTACTGATCGTTCAAGTTTTTTTCACTATTTCTACTTATGTAAGATTTACTATGATGTAGTTTTTTTTCTTCTTCTTCAATAGTTCTGCATAAATGAGACACTTCACTCACTAAGGAAATCTCTTTATAATTATAGGGATCATATGAAAATCCCGTTATCCACCATGAAAATCTGGTAGCTATTTCAATGTAACAGAAATACTTAACTATGAAGAATTAGATGAAAGGACTACTATCTTTTTTAAATTATAAAATAAAACTTTTAAGGTGTATATTTTTCCTCAAAAAATAATGAGCAATAACTGTGAGAAAAATATTTAGAGAAGTTAAATGCCTATGTGCAGCTCACATATTAAACTAAAAGCATCTCAATTACAAATAATCAAGTTTTCTTTTTGATATTAGCTTTTGACTCTCTTACTGTCTGAATGAAACCACCACCTACCTATATGTGTAATTGCTACATTTTATGTAACACACAAAATGAATTAACATAGGTCTAAAATGAAAAATAACTTTATCTTTGTTTTGGTCTAGGCAGTAGATGAACATGAAGATCAGTTGTTCAATATCAATTCAAGCTACTAAAGGATTGTGATAACAAACTGACCTGTAAATATGAATGAAATGCCAATTTCAGACCCAAAATGATTAAACATGAAGTGTAAAATAGTGGGTAAGAGGACATGAGAGGAGAAAAAAGGAAACTGGTAGGAGCTACATATAAAAGACAACTTTGTAACACTTTTTCAAAATTGTTTGTGTTTTATATTACTACCAGGGTTACATCATTACTTTCTTTGGCCCTAAGATTTTTGTTCTTGTAAACTCTTTTTTCCGTAAAAATAAATAAATAAATACAACAAAATATTTTAAAATTATATTTTATGACTCCGTTGGTATAAAAACTAATATATTAATATTATGTACCAATCAAAACATTTTCTTCAACCTCAATGTTCACTTGTTTTCTGTTTCTAAAAGAAATCAAAACAGGATCATGAGACCCTGAAAGTATTATGGGTTCCGGCACTGTGCCTACAGTTCTTAATGGATAAGTTGGCCCTGTCTATAACAATAGAGTTTCTCCCCAACTATCTTTTCTTTCCTGTGATTATTCTAAGAATACTTGAGAGTACAACATCTTTGCAAAGCTCCATTTAACACAAGCATTATATTACATTTATTCTTTTTTTTTTTTTCTTTTTTTTGAGACGGAGTCTTGCTCTGTCTCCCAGGCTGGAGTGCAGTGGCGCCATCTCAGCTCACTGCAAGCTCCGCCTCCCGGGTTCACGCCATTCTCCTGCCTCAGCCTCCCGAGTAGCTGGGACTACAGGCGCCCGCCACCACGCCCGGCTAATTTTTTTTTTTTTTTTTTTTTTTTTTTTTAGTAGAGAAGGGGTTTCACCGTGTTAGCCAGGATGGTCTCGATCTCCTGACCTCGTGATCCGCCCGCCTCGGCCTCCCAAAGTGCTGGGATTACAGGCGTGGGCCACCCCACCCAGCCCATTTATTCTTACTGAATCTTTTGTACATGTTACATTTATCTACCACCATACCTTCAACTTACTGACTAACAATTCTACGAGCTTTCACCATCAATACTCAAAAATACAAGCACACATGTCACCAGACTGCTTCCCATTTCCCAGAAGTTATGGTGTCATTAAAAGATCTGAAAATGTAGTCCCTCTTATGGTTTGATATGAGATAAAGCATTCAAAAAATAGAAAACTATGTTTGTTCCAGGTAGACACTGGCAGTAAAAATATAAAAAACTAGTTAATTAATTCACATTTAAATATTTGTTTTCCCATGATTTTCTTGGACTGTAATATCACAGAGACTTAATATACACTTTTGCAAACATAATAACATTTAGCCAGACCATTTGGTAACCATTTAATATATAGGTTGTGAGTTTTATCAAAGTGACTAATATAACCTTGATTTTAGATAGTTGGGAAGATCGATGTCTTTGAAAGGATTTTAAAGATTGCATATGGAGAACTACGCAAGAAAAGGAGGCAGCAACTTAGGGAGCCAGGTTAGCCAGATACACCCTGGATATTAAAAGAGTGATAAACATTCCTGAAAGATCATCTTCATATTCAGTGACTAATTAAAGCTGGACTAGGGAAATAAAATGTTTTTCTCTAATTGCGTCGTCAAAATGACCATTGTTCTCAAACTCTATAAACCTACAAAATACAGAAAAGTTTACTTTAATACCTTACTTTCCTTATATGAGACAGCCTTCGCCAAGAAATCATTCTTAAAAGTTACATTATTTCTAGCCAATAAGCAAAAATACTTTTTTTCACTATAACTCAGGCTTAACATTAGAGTTTTTCATTAAATCATTATCTCTGATCACTCGATTTAAGGGCCAAGAAATGACTGTAGGCTGGGCACCGTGGCTCATGAGGCAGACAGATTGCTTGAGCCTAGGAATTCAAGACTGAAGACCGGCCTGGGCAACATGGAGAAACTGTCTCTCCAAAAAAAAAAGCAGAAAATAAACCAGGCATGGTGGTACACACCTGCAGCCCCAGCTACTGGGGAGGCAGAGGTGTGAGAATCATCTGATCCCAGGAGGTCAAGGCTGCAGCGAGCCAAGATAGTGCCACTGTACTCCACCCTGGGTGACAAGGTAAGACCCTGTCTCAAAAGAAAAAGAAAAGAAATAACTACAGTGCCATTGCTGACACCAAAAATAAACCACTTGTTTACATGTTTATAAACTTTTATTATAAAATACCAGTTTCTGTGTTTTCAGTGCCAAGTATATCATTCTCACCAACCGCTCAATTGTAATTTCTTTTTCATATACACTAAATGTCCATCCTATATGCTTCCTTAAATCAAACAGTCTCTATTATTTTTGCTTTAGATTAGAGCATTTTCTTTTCTTTGCCGCAAAGGATATGTAGGAGACTACAGGTAAAGAATTGCTACCACTGTGAAAAGGGGTATATAAAGATCATGTGAATGATTGTTGTTTAAGAGATTCACAGAGCAGGTTTGAAAAGCCACATGTGGTTAACTGGTCATTGTGCTATAAATATTTACCTTCTTTTCAGATAAAAAATTTTTCCAATACTTTGATTATAAAAAACTCACCAGATGGACTTTACTATTGAGTTACAGGTTTTCTGGTAAGAATACGGTTAACTGTGAGACTCCTTGCAGTGGGTTTTCTGAATCAAAAAGATATTGAACATTAGGTGCTTCAAAGATGGTGATTCACAAAAGTATATTCTCTTGTGTAATAAATCAAGGAATAAAAAATAAGCATGAGAAAATGTATAAAGCCAAATCATACCAGAAAAGGGAAAGATGGGAATCATTTATCTCTGGCCTGGAAACCTGAAGACAATTCATTTTCAGTAAGATTTAAAATGGTATTTCCTCATCTAAATTCTTAGGGAAACATTCTCATTAAAAATAAATTCTAACATTCATTTATTTATGCCTAATAAATTGGCACTATAGCTATTCAAAGAGGAAATAAATCCCAGTGCCATATTTTGTCCTTGGGTAGTTACTGCTGATTGTGGACTTGAGGCAATCAAGTTTAGCGACGCACCATACGCAGACCACCGCAACCTTGGTGCTCTTAGAAATCTCTGTGACTTTTGAGGGAAGCCCAATTAAAGTATTCTCTTTTTAAAATTTCCCTAAAATGAAAGGAAAGGGGAGAGAAAATTTAATGAAAACATAATAGGTTCCATCCAGTAAAGACTTGTCATGTAATAGAGACATCGGAAATAGTACGGGCAGCAACTTAAAAGAGAATTTAGCCCAAAGCTAGAGTTATAAGAAGAGAGAGAGAGTGAATAGATGATCCCAAGATGATGCAGATCCTAAGATGAATTCCAAGAGGCACAGGATGAGGTCATGGAATCTACTGAGTACAAATATACTCTCATGGAGGGATATTTAAACCTGAACCGGGACTGGGGAAGTCCTGAGAGAAAGGATTAGTCTCATAAATCATGAAAAACTACCACGACAGATGCTACCTACAGCAAAGTCCTCGATATCCTGTATCCATACTGTTTTCCACCTCAAACCACTGAGTACCATAGAAGAAGGGGGAAAGGCAATAGGAATATGCTGAGTGCATACTCACTTATAGCTCAAAAGACCTCAGGCTTTAATGTGGCCTACGTGGATATTTTAGAACAGTGAGGAATTTAAGAATAGGTCTTCAACTTCCATTGTGTTTCCTAGTGCTGGCCCAAGGTTATGACCACAAGACAGTGGATTTTCTCTGTGCATCTTAAGACTGTGTGGTTTACCTAATGTCACACCTGTAACTAATAGTTGAGGGGGAGTTTTACTCCTCTGTGGAAGTAAAACTAATCTTATAACGAAGCAGGAAGTTTTTCTTCAATAATCGTGAAGTGGAATATTTTGATTCAAAAACAGTAACACATAAAGAGGCATTATGAAGAGAAATTGTATATTAAACTTGCTAAAAAAATTCAAAGATTAAAGAGAAAACTGTTTGTTTGTATCATTAGGAAAGTTGGCTGCTGAAAGGTTTTCATTAGAATACCCAAGGACTTCAGGAGATCATTTTAAGTTCCATAATTCTGGCCAAATAACCCCACTGTGTTTTTCCTGATTAAAATGTGTTACAATTCTGCAAAAAATCCTTACTGTTTTTTCTTTAGTAAAAAAGTTTCATTATTTTTTCTTCATAGAAAGGAAGGAAGAAAGGAGGGGAAGAAAGAGGAAGCAAAGGAAGGAAAGAAGGAAAAAAAGGAGGAGGAAGAGAGGAAAGAAGGCAGGAAGAAACCTGATAATATAGTATCACATCAAAGTAATGATAGCAAGTCTGAATTACCACTGACTTTAAAGAGAACCAGAGATTTTTACCATTAAGTTTGAAGCAATGCTAGGTTGAGATTACACTACTATTACTCTATTAACTACTTACAAGAACTGTTTAAGCAGTGGATGCTGAATTTTATCAAAGACCTTTTTGAGAATTTTCATAGAAGATTTCCCCTTCAGGCAGTGAGAATATAAACCAGAAGTCTGCAAAGACTTTCTGTGAAAGGTAATATAGAAAATATTTCAGACTTTACAAGCTATCGGGCCTCTATTGGAAATACTGTAGCACAAAAGCAGCTATAGATACTAAGTAAATGAATTAGTGTGGCTCTGTTCAATAGAACTGTATTCACAAATTTACAAGCAGTGGGCCAGATTTTCCAGCAAGTTGTAGTTTGTTGACCCCTAAGATAGATGATGCTAATATACATTTCTTGGTATAAACTTTCCTGGCATTCCCTAAACTAACTCTTTTTAGGCATGGTCTATTAAAAGTATAGTAAAAGGCACTGATAACTTTCTCATCACAGTGAACAGGCAACCTACAGAATGGGAGAAAATTTTTGCAATCTATCCACCTGACAAAGGGCTAATATCCAGAATCTACAAGGAACTTAAACAAATTTACAAGAAATAAACAAACAACCCCATCAAAAAGTGGGTGAAGGATATGAACAGACACTTCTCAAAAGAAGATATTTATGCAGGCAATAAACATATGAAAAAAAGCTCATCATTATTGGTTATTAGAGAAATGCAAATCAAAACCACAATGAGATACCACCTCATGCCAGTTAGAATGGCAATCACTAAAAAAGTCAGGAAACAACAGATGCTGCAGAGGATGTGGAGAAATAGGAATGCTTTTACACTGTTCGTAGGAGTATAAATTAGTTCAACCATTGTGGAAGACAGTGTGGCGATTCCTCAAGGATCTAGAACCAGAAATACCATTTGATCCATTTGATCCAGCAATCCCAATACCCATTACTGGGTATATACCCAAAGGATTATAAATCATTCTACTATAAAGACACATGCACACTTATGTTTATTGCAGCACTATTCACAATAACAAAGACTTGGAACCAACCCAAATGCCCATCAGTGATAGACTGGATAAAGAAAATGTGGCATATATACACCATGGAATACTATGCAGCCATAAAAAAGGATGAGTTCACGTCCTTTGCAGGGAAATGGATGAAGCTGGAAACCATAATTCTCAGCAAACTAACACAGAAACAGAAAACCAAACACCTCATGTTCTCACTCATAAGTGGGAATTGAACAATGAGAACACATGGACACAGGGAGGTGAGCATCACACACTGGGGCCTTTTGGGGGTCAGGGGCAAGGGGAGGGACAGCATTTGGAGAAATATGTAATGTAGGTGATGGTTGATGGGTACAGCATACCACTATGGCACCTGTATACCTATGTAACAAACCTGCACGTTCTGCACATGTATCCCAGAACTTAAAGTATAATAAAAAAAATAAAACTTTCTCTAATTTTATTTAAGATTTTTGCATCTCTATTCAAAGTGTTAAAGGACTTATTTTTTTCTTTTCTTTTCCTTTTTTTTGGAGGAGAGTTTGGTATTGCAGTTATGCTAATTGTGGAAAAGTTTAAATATATTTTTGTGCTCTGGAAAACAGCCTTATTCAGAGTGGATATTCTCTGTTCTTTAAAAGTTGAAAATACCTGCATAGTTACAGTTGCCATTTTTGGAGATTATTCTTTGAATTTAAAAAAAATTGTTCATGAGTCCAGTCTGTTTATGTTTCCTCCTTTCTATGTAGTCCTATGAAATCATACAATTCATCAAGATTCTCAACCTTATTAATAAATAGCTTTATATAGCCCCATTTGCCAGTGTGTATTCAATGCGATATTACTTCCTGGTAATTTATTTAATAAGAGATATATCAAAGCAAAGATCTAAAATTAAATGTGGAAAACATGCAAGATTAAACTGAACTACAGAACTGACTTCTCAAAACCTTCAATATTCCATATGGAGTGTGAATACAAAAAATTGGGATATACTATGAATTGCTTTCTAAATTGATTTCACTGCAGAACCTTTTTCTTGGACATTATATGAAATGTGTATTCTTTGGAACAAAATTTTGAAAATGCTAGTATATATTATAATAATTTATCATATTTCCATAACTACAATAACATTACCCTTTATCACTTCTAATTTTGTGCATTTGTGTTTTCATTTATTAGTATATAAAAAAGTTTATCTAGTTTTCTCACAGTTCATTAATTTATTTTCTTATGCTTTTCGGGTTCTGTTTTATGACTCCACTGAGGTTGTTTTATTATATTTTTTCTGCTTCTAAAGTTAAATACTTAATTCTTTTTTCCCATTTATTCTATTTAATAATGAAGGCATTTAAAGTTATCGCTATTAGAACTTCGATCATTTCACATGAGTTTTGGCATATACTCTTCACGCTGTTATTTTTAAAGCATGTAATTAATTTTGATTCTTATTTTAAACACAAGAATTAGTAGTATAGTTTCTTAAAAGCTTTCAAGTGATCTATATATAGACATATAATAGATCAACCTTATTAACTATATTTACCCAATCTCCACATCTTGGTGTTCCGCCTCATCCATTTGTCAAAGAGAAACAGATAGTTCCAAATATTTCTGTATAATTTTGTTTCTGTCAACACCTCATATTTCTAACACTTTTTCCTTTCTAGACTTCAGTATACTCAAGTACCTTTTTCTTTATGTAGTTTATTTAGTGTATAAATATTTATGATGTTTTATCTCTATATAACAACAAAAATATCTGTTCCAGGAATTTCATTCAACTTGGTCTGATAATAAAAATGCTACCTCTGCTTTCTATCTGTGGATGCCTATTACATTTTTACCTTTCTTTTACTTTTAACATTTCCATGTTATTTTTCTTTTTGCTTGTCTTTTTAAATAAGTATGAAACTAGAACAAATCCATAAAATATTAATCTTTTAAAAAGACATTTATCCATTTAGTGTGATTATGGACAACTATTTTTATTATATTAAGCTATTTTTATCTGTTCATATTTTTTATTCTCTCTTTTCCTTAAATTTTCTGCTTTGTTGGTAGAAAATACTACATCATACTGACTTTCCAAATATTAAAGAACTCCTCAAAAATAATCTGTAATATTCATATATTCTATTTATTGCAGATATCCAGTTCTAGGATAAGACTCTCTATCATTCCATGTTTCAGGTGTCTGTGTCTGCCTGCCCCTGAAGTTACTCCTTTTAGCTCTGAGTTAGGGGGTAGTAGTGAAGTTTGCCAGAATCTTCTCCTGTTTATTTTTTGACATGTTGCTGCTTCATAAAATATAAAACTGTGTCTGTCCTTTACGGCTTCCTATATCAAATACAATATTTATTTGAAAGAAATCCTTTCATGTTTTAATATATGAGTGTTCACAATGCTTACTAAGTATATGTATTAAACAAATAGGAATTTGAAATGAGGAATAAGGAAAAGCTTAATGTTTCTGATAACACCATATCAACTTACCTCTAAGTCCTGAACTTAACTGAAAGAATTAATTCAGTGCTAGAAATAAGTAAATGTAGGAGGTAGTGGCTACTTAGTGACTCTCTATTTTAATTAAAAGAGTTGCTAATGTATCTAATCTGATGAAAAAAAAACTAGAAAAGAAATTAACAGGAAGAAAAAGGAGGAAAATACTAATTTCAATAATCGCTCTTTAAAATTAGTTCCCAAATAATACATAGCATAGAAAGGCAACTTGGCAAGGTGTTTTTAATTTTCTTTTCTTTGAAATAACCCCATGTGTATGAACATAAGCAAATACTGAACGTAAGCAAACTGCCTTGACATTAAAAATCCTGTATTAGTTAAGCAGCATGGTACCAGGGCATCATAGGACAGATGTAACTACTGAGGCCAATCTTAAATTAATGTATGTTTTCTTTTTCACAGTCTCACAACATGCTGACTTGGGGAAAAGGTGGGAAGGAGACAGTGAGTAGGAGAAAACAACTTATCAAGAAAAATGGAAAAAATACATTGCACTTGTTTCATATACCTCACAAGCTAAATAGTCTTTTTGTATTTCTAGAGTCTGGACCTTGAATCCAGGGCACTGGAGAACTGAACCCCACTCTTATTCTAGAATTATAGTGAATCTATGGCTCAAAAAGTGGGTTAAAAGGATGCCATAGGAAGAGTTTTAAGTGGTCAAGAGCAGTAGGTGGACTGTAGGACTACTTCCAGCATGGCAGCCTTGTAAAAAGTCTCCAAGGCAAGCTAGGTGAAGATATTTCATGATAACAAAATAACCAGGATCATAGCTGTGACTGCAAGTCAGTTGCCAGATATATAGCCCCAGTGTGAGGATGCACCACAGCAGTACCCTAAGAAAGAATTAAGCTCTAGAGGAGCAATAATCTATTTCAATTGCTCAGGCCCCTTAAAGAATATAATCAAAGCTGTGGACACTCTCCCAAGAACAATATGTAAGTGCATATATCACACAGTTTCAGGGGGTTCACAGGTTTCAAAAAGCTCATCCTTCAACCCTTAAAGTGATTTAACACCTAGGTTAAGAAACCTTAACTTTAGAGATTAGTGAGGAAGCAGTTCAGTCTTGAGCTGAAGACATAAGTGAATGGACACCCATATTATGGTATTATGAAGCTTTAATTCACCCCTTCCTTTGACTCAAATTCCAATAGCACTTACTGAGTAAGAAAATTACATATTGGATTTTGATTGTTTTATGAACATTTTAACATAGGAGAAAAAAAATTCTTACCATATTTCCTATATGTAGATTTCAGAAAACACAAGAAGGGAATATCTGCATCCTGAAGAGGGGTGAGAAATTAATCTCAACTTTCTCTCTCTTTTCTCTCTCATTCTCCCTCTCTATCTCCCCTTTTAATAAGTAAAAATAATACAGGGAATGAAGTAGCACCTGGTAAACTTTGGGGAAAAGCAATAACCTGGTTACCTCTATATAAGGCACAACCCCCTTTCTAGTTTTCTTGGGCTATCCCCCTACCTGACCAGTGGGACGGAACAAGTATGCCATCTTGCTTTCCCCTATAGAGATCATCACCAAGCAAATCTTACGGAAAGCAAAGAAATGAATTCTTACACAAATGAATAGACTAACTGTAGAATAACATAAGATTAAAATGAAATGCTCACAATCATATTCTTAATTCTGATATATAAACATAACATTTTTAGAACACTGAATAAAATCGTTTTTTCTACCCAAAGTGGCTATTTGATCTAACTGAAACCTATCTATTGTCTCCTTGATTTAAAATTTTTTTCTATAATTATTTAAAAACAGCTACTGTCTAACCCCAAAATGCTTTAAGCCTATAGAGGGGTGGGGAAAGGGAGAGAGCATCTTAAATACCACCTATCTTCTAGGCAGCAGTTTCCCCAGATGAAGAGGTCACCACTGTTTAACAGTGTGCTGCCATGTTAATTTAGTATGACAAGATAAAGCCGTAATCTCAGCTCCTGGAGGCTGTAAACCGCCTGCTATCCGGGGACATGCTCAAGTCGATTTGCACTGTATATCACTTTATACAATTGCCATGACAAAGCCCCCTGAATTCTCACATGTAAATCTCTCTATCCCTCTCTTCCTTTGGCCCCCTCTTTTTCTCTTTCATTCCCTCGCAATTTCTTTCTCTTTGCTTCATCATGCACAGGTAGACTACATCCACTCAGCACTAATCTCTGAAAACTTAATGCTCTGCATATGACAAGGGACATACAATACACACCCTCTCACAAACACTGTCAAGTCCCCCAATTTAAGAGAAGATGTTCAGGGACTTAGATAATCCATTGATCCCACTTGCATCGGCTTTTATATTTCAATCTGTCGTGTTAAGTTGTCAAGGGGAGCGATTAAACTGATGTCTCATGATTTGAGATTTACTTTCCTAGGAAAGATAGTTTTCAAAGCTTCTCTTACTAAGTAAGTTCTGCTTAAAGATTATCCCTAAGAAAGCTGGTGTATTCCTACCGGCATAAATCTAGTAATAAAACAATAAGGCATTTTAGGTAAGGACATTTTGGAGATATTCAGTGTTATAAGCATAAAAATGTAAAACTGAATGAAGTTTGGATTTTTAAAAGTGTCATCTGTGTAGTTCTCTCTGTGTGAAGCAAAAACACCATATGAAAAAGGGGGGGAAACATGTGTCTATCTATGTAAAACAAAAATAATTAAAGAATCACTGAAAAGGACATAAGTGAAGAGGGAAGAATTTATATGATAGGAAATAAAAAGATCACATGAAGTACATTAGGAAAGTGACAAGTCAAGGTTTTACCCTCCCCACTAAAAACGGCAGAGATATATGTTTAATCATCAAGAATTAGCAGTTGAAGATATACACATCCTCAGTAGGTGTGTCAGTTTGAGACGCAACATGTCAGATTTCTAACAGGCGAGCTGTTATATTATAAAAATCCACATGTATTGTGGCTTTCTCCCATATCATATCCTTTTTAACATCATTTTAAGCCCCTCTTGCTGGTAACATAGAAGCAAGATCAAAGGCCTAAAAAGCAATAAACACGATAATAATAAATGAAGGACTGAATCTTTCACAGTACCTCTAAAATCCCTGAATGAAAAGGAATTTTAAGTGAAATGAAATATTTAAAAAGTAAGCGGATATACTAAAAAAAAAAAACCACGGTAATAAACACAAACCCCCGAACCATGTCCTAAAAGAATATCATCATGTAGCCTTTAGGATGTTCATGCAGGAAAATTAAGCAATTTTAAAATATATACCATTCCAAAATATTGTTTGGTATTGTGTTATTGTGTTGATATTGTTATTTTTCTCTGGTAAATGGTTTGGAGAAGTATAGTATATGAAGCTACAGAAGAATGATTCGATTTATTGGAGTAAGTTGCAGAGCAATTGGGCTGAGAGGATTACAAGCGCGATGGAAAAGGGAGTTCATACTAACTGAAACTCACTATACAAAAAGTACTATGTTAGGTGATTTTCTCATTTAATGATTATATCAGCTGCTTATGAATTAAATACCATCATTTCAAGATTTAAATAAGGAAAATTACAATTAAAGTGTCTTCCGTGCACACAGGCTTTGGAGACATTCATGAATTCATCCATTAAACTACCTTGAAATACTTGCTGTGTGTCAGCCACTGTGCCAGATTCTAAAGATAATGATAGGGCGGGCGTGGTGGCTCACGTCTGTAATCCCAGCATTTTGGAAGGCCGAGGCAGGTGGATCACAAGGTCAGGAGATCGAGACCATCCTGGCTAACACAGTGAAACCCCGTCTCTACTAAAAATACAAAAAATAAGCCGGGCATAGTGGCGGGTGCCTGTAGTCCCAGCTACTCAGGAGGCTGCGGCAGGAGAATGGCGTGAACCCGGGAGGTGGAGCTTGCGGTGAGCTGAGATCGCGCCACTGCACTCCAGCCTGGGCGAGAGTGCG
This sequence comes from Homo sapiens, assembly GCF_000001405.40. Taxonomy (NCBI): domain Eukaryota; kingdom Metazoa; phylum Chordata; class Mammalia; order Primates; family Hominidae; genus Homo; species Homo sapiens. The sequence goes on from NC_000012.12 coordinate 23,883,169, forward strand.
AGACTCCATCTCAAAAAAAAAAAACCAGATACTGATAAACAGACAAACATTTTATCCCAATAGAACCACAGAGCTTTCTACTTTAAATGAGTTTGCATCTCATGTTCAAGGTGAATTACATCCGAGGATACTGACAGACCTTACCAGTAAGACTACTGAATCACTTAAAATGGGGAGTCAGGTGAGTAATATTCATTTAGGTTATTAAAAGGAAAACATGAATATTAGAAACCTACAAGAAAATACAGTCTTTTGTTCTGATAAATAATCATAATTAGTAAAAAGAAGACAAACTATTTAAGAACTATATCATCTATTCAGTGCTCGCTATGTGCCAGGCATGGTGCAAAGCCATTTCTGAAAATTCTATTGTTTAATTATCTTAACACATCTACATATGGAGAAGTTCTTATTACTATCACCATTTTAATATGAGAAAACAAAGGCACAGGGATCCTGCAAAACTTAGACAAGATCACACACATTGCATGATTTGGAACCCAAGCAGTTTAAGGGTGAACTTAGGCTCTATACTGCTTCATTATATATCTCATAATCTTAACAAAATGTGGTTTTTGACTTTACTGAGGTAGATATTGGTGTGGTGGTGTTAGTGGAGGTGGTTGCTATTGCTGACTAGCCTTAACAGCATTAAGCAAAATAATGTCTGCAAATAAATAATATTTTTAATAACTGAATCTGTTATAAATATTTGACTGAGAGATAATATCTCAGATTGAATAATGATCTTTCAATGACAAGAGATTGAGACTTCTACAGTGTTTGATTTCTCATTTCAAATTTTTTTTTTCTCTAGCTTAAGGTTTTCTTATAGGTTACTTAAATTTATAAGCATTGAAGCCAGCTGACGTTTCATACAACATACTCCTAGATCACAGAACTTAAACATTTCTTTAGGCACTTGTTGAACAACTGACAATTACTGAGTACCTGCATATGCCAGCACCAGAAAGTTTTACGTGTCTTGACTACTTTAAACACTGTACGCACCCTCTAGGTTAGATGCCATTTTTATCACTGCCATTTTACAGATGGCAAAAATAAGGTAAAACCATTTCCATAATTTGCCAAATGCCATACAGATATCAAACGGATCTTGGAATTTACCCAGTAATTTTGTCACTGAGGGTCATGGGCTTAACTAATACCCTATGCCAACTCTCTTATAGCCAGAACACAAATTAATATATTAATACTAATTATTACATGAAAGGTTTAACAAATAGCCTTTTAGAATCTCATATATTGCCCAATAGCCTATTATTCTAAAAACAGTAAAATTCCTGGCCCATTTAAAGCCAGCTAAAAAGATTTTAAAAAATGAAGTTAACCCGAAGTTAGGGTAAAATAAAAAATCAAGTAAAGATTGTTCTACCTGCCTCCCCCACAAGTATTTCTAAAGGCTGTTCAAGCTATTTATTCTGATAAAATATTTTTAAAAAGATTTTAACATTTATATGAGTGCAGAAACTGAGCAGAATTATTAAGTGCTTGGGTTCTAAAACCATGAACCCAAACTGTATCATTTATTTATTAGGCAAGTCATTTTAACTATCCAAGAATGTTTTCCATCTGTAAATTGGGGATAAACGTAGTTGCTGAACTCACTGGGTTAATATACGATTGGCTAAGATAATCAATGTAGGGTGGCTGGTACACAGAAAACATTGAAATATTATGCATTGCTATTAATTATTAGATATCTTATTCTGAGGAGCACTGACTGAAATCTTCCATATTTGAGTTGCACCTATCAGACTGAAGATCGGCTATAAGATATATTCAACAAGGCTTTCAACATTGCTTTTTATGTTCTATTGATGACCCTGGGGAAATCAGAATCTCAGATACACAAGCATGTTCTCCAGCTCCCATGTCCCTAGCGGTGCAAAGCATGCCAGCCACTGTCACAAGGCCTGAAGATGAATACTGATAACAGCCTAGCAATCTCTCCTACTCCAGGATGTGTGTTTATGCAGAGGGAAAGGTCTAGTAGTGGCTGGAGAGGTGGTTTCAAAGCTTTGTACAGTAAGTGTAATGCTAAAATTAATGTAACTTATTTTTCTTATACTAACAATAGGTTTTGAATTTTTACGTGGCACCTAGTTTCTATTTTTTACATAAATTTATAAAGCTACATTTGGAGCTATACCCCTATCATCTTTTTCATATCCTATCTCCATTTTAATGTTTTTATTAACCCTTCAAATATCAGTTTGTAGTTTAGAGATATCGACAAACAAGATTAATTGTTTTATCTCAAGACAGGCTGGATTTTTAAGAGCTAGGAAGAGACACTGAAGTAAACACTGCTCCTCTATATAATGATAACATTGTTTGCCCTGCTGCCACAGAAGCAGCCTTGACTAAATAAGACACAAAATCTAGTCACTTGTGTTCATTTGCTTTATCACGTGATGTCAGTGTCACAGAGCTGGCCAAGGCTGCTCTCCTTATATCACACCTCATCTGCTTACATGGATCATTCCTAAAAATGGTCTAGGGGAAAATTTTAAAAAGCATTTTGCACACAAAGGAGATATGTAACCAAATGGGCCATTTACAATTGTCACCTTAAGTTAGGTTTACATTTATTTCCCATTTCAAACACCAAAGAATGTTCCCTCATTCTCTCTAGTAAAATACAGGGGAAAAAAAATTGCTTTCCAAAACAAGAAATAGGAAGAAAATGGCAAAAAAAAAAAAAAGATCAAAATGGGTAGCATACTAAAGTTCTATCATGAATTGAGTTTCAATGCCAGCTTTAATGCCAGTACAAATTATTAGTATCTCAGGCCTGTGAAAGAAAGGAAAGGGTTTAGATACACTGAATGCTTTTAATTTACCTAATGTACCACCAATAGTGTCCCAAGCATTTTTAGTTCTGATTGTATTCCTTAAGGAGTCATTTTTTCTTGAAAATGCTCCCACTCATCATTCTGTAAGATTTTCTTTACTATTGAATTGTTTTAATATTTCTAATTTATCACCTCAAAGCCCAAGTGTTTGTCCTTGTATATACTATTAATTGAAAGCCATATGAATATGATTGTCAAAATATGTGAAAAAAAGAAAATCCAATACTAGACTCCCTTATGTTATTTTTAAGACTTGACTTTCTTAAGATCCAAATGAAGTGTTAATGGTTGTATTTTTTAAATAGGTTGTTATACAAAGATCCCTTTTAAAGTACAATAGGTAGTTGAATCTAACTGATGTGGCCAAGAAGAAATATGGTGTAAGCATTATGTGATACATTTGAGGTCCCATGGACAAATGAGTTACCACGTCTTACAGATTTCATTCTAGTTTCTAGAAATCAGGCACCAACATACTGCAAGATTTTTTTTTTTCTTTTTTGGATTCTGTCAGGTGGCTGTCATTTGAAAGTGTAATAAAAAATAATGACTAATGCACTGGTATTATCACTTATATTAAGTTTATACAGTGACACTAACATTAAGATTACTTTCTAGTTTTATAAATGATCTCCTTCCCTATTTCTTAAACTTTTTACCAATCTCTATAAAATCTCAAAATTAAAAAAGAAATAAATTTGAAGACAAAAAGATTTTAGTTAAATCAAAAACTGACTGGAAATAGTGACACATGCTGTCAAATAACTTAAAGTGAAAGTGAGTAATAGGCACATAAAGAACACCAGTATCTGCTAAAGCATAAGCTCATGGACATTTGGATTTACTTAGGTAAGATTTTGAAACATAATTTGGGAAACAATACAGGGTTTCAAGTGTTGTTTAGCTAAGTACGGGCACTGAAAATAAAACTATCATTTATTATCAACACTGGATCATCAAAGAAAAGTAAAATAATACAATCTCAGAATAAATTGAAGAAATATACTATATAGTTTTGTGAATAACTCACTACATTGTTTCTGTTACTAAAAACGAGTTAAAACTTAATCATAAAACCAACAGATCTTTATTAATCACATGCAGTAAGAGAAACCTAGACTGACTGCAGGAAGGTCTGGCAAAGCCCCAAGAGGCAACATATAAGAGGAAGGAAGTATATATCAGAGCACAATGGTGCTGATTCTCCTACCCTGTCTTCCTTTCTAATAATGGCTCTATTGAGATCCACAAGAAGATCCATTAAGAATGTTTTCTGATAGAGCCAAATTGAAAGAAAGAGGAAAAAGAGAAGCAAAGGATGAAAATAATCAAAGGAAAGATGAAGAATTAAAAACAAAATTATATAATAAAGTGCAACTGCAAAGAAACTTTTAATTATTTTTAACTTCCAAATATAAGTAATCCTTCCTTAATGCATGTCTGAGAATAACAAGTGAGATAAAGATGACCACCTATCCATGCCACAAAAATCAAGAATTCACGTAAGTCTCCGGCATTGCTTCTTAGTGTCCTGGCTATTTCCAGTATCCCAGCCAAGTATTTCATCATTCTCTCCATTGCATTCAAGGTGGTCACCCAGATAAGGAAAGGAAACATTTGAAACTTCAATATCTAAAGTAATTGTTTTTATCCCTATTAACATGAGGTGCATATTTTCCTAACTTTTCTACATTTTATATTAAAAGCTTCATAGTACATTTTGTGGTCAATTTTTTTCCCTTTTTTTAACTTTCTTTTTTATTCTTCCTGAGTTATTTCTGTTGGAAAAAAATCTTTATGGCAAAAACAAAACTATATTCCAGTACAAAGTAAAGACCTTGAATTGATGGTAATTGGTCCAGTGTGTATATGTGTGTGTGTGTGTGTGTGTGTGTGTGTGTGTATTTAATATCTAGATGTCAAGTAGTTATTTTCAGTGGAAACAATTTCAAGTTAATTTATTTTGATCACCACAAATGAGAAACTTTTCAACTGTGAGGCTCCTGTATCAGGGTTCTAATATTTTATATTACATTATGGTGATTTTGTGCTTCTCTTACCTTCATACTACATAACACACAAAAACTACATGAGGGAAGAGACTAGTTCTTATTCATTTCTATACCTCCACTGATAAATATTCATTGTATATATTTGAGTTGAATCTTTCTGCAGCACTCCCTATTAAATGAAAGTCATTAAATTCCATTAGACCAAATCTTTTCAGGCTAACACATTTCCCCCCATTACCACGGCATTGGAAGCTCTTGCCTGTGCCCCTAACCCCTATCACTGCCTTACACTGTGTGGGGATAATAGTAGACATTCATTAAGTGTCCTGAACTATCTCACAACTCCCATAGCACTTTTTTTTTTTCATGTGAGAGAATACTCATTAATTTCTCAAGGTCCAGTTAACTTTACTCTCAACAGAAGTACTTCAAATACTGTGGACATCATATGAATGAATCAAAGTTTTCTCAGTTTAACATTTGACTCCTTCTCCCACCACTGGATTGAATGGAATTTTATGGCAACAGGACAAAATGATCGATTGCACAACTTATCCAGTGGCTTTGATGGACCCCAACTGATTGTTTTTCACACGTCCCCATTCCTGCTAGCCCTGGGGGTAATTTCCCAAAACAATGCAAGTATAATGATTGAACCACTTACACTTAAACACAAGCCTGGGATTATATCTAGATAAACAGCTTCGTGTGGTATTTTGTGACAACATTTACAGAATAATGTTTGTAACAATGTAATTTCATTGTATGATAAACATCAATTTACCATAAAAAACAAATACTCGCTTGTCAGCATTTTTACCTTGTTTCAATTGAATTAGCCTTGTTCAGATAAGCAAGCCTATCTCCTACAGAAACAACAGTTTATAGATAAACTGTGTGAAATCGGGTATGTGTGTGTAGAATTATACTGCCTACTATCATAATTTTATACTGCCACACTGCACATATGGCTTCCAAGCTTACTTTATCTGAATGTTTCTGAATCTATTCTCCATGCTATTAAACTGAGCACATTCCACATCGTTCAAAAGTAATTACACTTTTGTTCAGAGTATAGGAGAATGCTCTCCCTAAACAATGAAATTCTCATTATTAGAACTGGCACAATAACCACACTGGTTTAACAACAATATGCATTATAGCATCACAATAACTTATGCTAAGTTTGACGTACAAAGGTAACCAGAAATTTTAAAGCTTATAAAAAGCACCATATAAAAATAGAAATCTTTACCATACCATAATTAAGGCCCTATTCTGTGACTTATTTTTAAGTAACACATGCATTTTTCTCTTTTCCTTGTTAAATTTTCTGAACAGTATTACGCGCATAACACCATCCTAGTCAAACATTGAAAACACATAACTAACTGTTAGATTGTAAGCAAAATTTATATAAAGGGTATTTCAAGACATAGCTATAATACAGCAATTAAAATTATTTTGGGTAAATAAAGCATCCCAGGAGCTGACAGTGAGCCTGAGCAAGTAAAAGCCTCTCTATCATGTGCATTGAATGAATTCTTTCAGTGTTTAAGGTTGGATTTCATATGGTGGAGGCTTGCTATAATGTTATACTTAGGATCTCAGGTGTATTTCCAAACTCTACAGAAGATCAACTTTAAAAGACAGTTTTTTCTTCTTTTGATGGACTTCAGGAAGAAAACTGACTCACGGTGAATGTTGCTTTATGATCATTAGTGTATGTGTAATGTTTAAGCATATTAACATTAAGATATATGACAAAATCAAACTAAGAGATTATATATTCAGATTTCTTTAACAATTCCAAGAAAATGTCATCAGTATAAACAATAAATTAGATACTAGTAACATATTTTCAAATCCAATAGATCTTTATATGTTAAAAAATATACACACACAGTATTTATTTCATAATAAAATTCAGCTGTCTGTAGAATGAAAAACCTAAATTATTTTTTAAAATAAAAATATTGGCTAGGCATGGTGGCTCACGCCTGTAAACCCAGCACATTGGGAGGGCAAGGCGGGCGGATTACCTGAGGTCAGGAGTTCGAGACCAGCCTGGCCAACATGGCAAAACCCCATCTCTACTAAAAACACAAAAATTAGTTGCGCATGGTGGCGGGTGCCTGTAATCCTGGCTATTCGCAAGCCTTAAGCCAGATAATCACTTGAATGTGGGAGGCGGAAGTTGCAGCGAGCCAAGACTATGTCATTGCACTCCAGCCTAGGCAACAAGAACGGAACTCCATTTCAAAAAAAAAAAAAAAATTACACTGTTCACTCAACACACAAGTATTTTAAGGAATCAAAAGAGAATTTGGCTAAGATAAAATATGCTTTTTATTTAAAAAAATGACAACTGATTATTCAACAACCACAGGTGGTCAAGACTTTCATTTCACATCACATTTGACACTGGAACAACAATCTAACCAACAGAAGTAGCAAAGAAGTAGCATACAACCAGACAGAAAACGGGCACCAAAACGGTCACCAAAACGGTCACCATAGAGTTACCCCAGCTGCTTCTGATATTGCTACTTGATTTCTCCTCAGAGTACTCTATTCCCTTCTGGTGCCCACAAATACTCATATTGATTGACATGAGGACGCATTCTGGAGAGTCCTTTCCATCATCAAATAAATCCATCTGTATCCAAACTATTATTAACAGTGACCCCAAAATTACAGTGATTCTTGCTTGTCTCTGAAATTTTGAAGCAACAGCCTCCAAAGTCAAGTTGAAAAAAAAAAAAGAAAAGAAGGAAAACAATAAAGGAGACAATTGGAGATTTAACTACCAATAAGAATAAAGCTCAGGACTGCCTTTTCACTAATGTCAGAATCATACTTTCACATTGCTTTCAACTGTGCGAAGATTATATGAGAATCAAATGTTGCTCTTAATTGCTTGGCAAGATTATGAAAGCTTCAGAGAAGGAACCAACAGAATCAGTCTTTTTCATAGACTTATAACAATCTGTGTCTCAGTCTTACATTGATTAGAAATCTGACAATATTTTGTGAATATATGTATATGTATATAGTGTGCTTAAGAAAGCTCATCTGTAGTGCACTCTGAACACTGAGTGAAATATTCCAGGAATAAATGAACTTTAAGTATTTATACCACTTACAGCTGTTTGTAAGTCGCTCTTAGGCATTTGTTTCTCCAAAATAGTGAGGCAATAAACACAATTTCAGAAAGGAAGAATTACATCTTTATCTGACTCAGTTTCAAACCGTAACATTTGCATAACCTGAAACCGAACAAAGCATCCTACTTCCTCAAAGTCTTTATATGGGAATAGTAATTAAGTGTACAGAACTTCTATCTCAAGAACTCTTTCCAACTTAAGTTTTATACTGAAAGCATTTCTCCATAACTTCAAGCCAGCATTACAGGGATCACTCAACAGTTGTATCTTGTCTCTAACCTATTCAGGCAATACAAAATATATACCTCCCAGCATCTCTCTTCTTTATTTAAGAATGGAGTATGAATGTCACACACAAATACACAATGAAAAGCTGCCTTCTTTTTTTTTCTTAAATTGAACTCTATGATATAAAGACTATGAAGCATTCTCTGTTTTCAAAGATATGGAATAGAAAAAAAGAGAGAATGTATTTCCTTACAGAAATAAAAGAACCTATTTTGTGAATATGACAATGGCCTGGTAGCCAGAATAAAAAGAGAAATTATTTATATTGAAGAATACTACAAATATATTCAATAATTTTGATACATGAGTAAAATGTATCTTAATCAGTTTAATAATTTGAATATATCATGACTTTCTGCTTTCTGGATATATTATACATTAGTAGATTCTACTTTAGTTCTAAAATTGCTAGAAAATGAAATCACTATTAATTACTGTCCTTCACTACTCTGCCTAAAACATATTTACTCATCCATGTAAACTTAGTCAATAATCGTAAGTTGAATATCTAGTATATGTTAGATCCCAGAAACATAAATATACATATATATGACTATGCCTTCAAAAAGGAATACAGTATATAAAAAGGCAGACATGTAAATAAATAAATTATAATGTAGATCATGAGAAAATATATAAATAATTCTCATGGATGAAATAATAATGCAGTAACCATTTTGCCTTGGGAGGTCAGTGAAAGCATCTAACCAAAAGCAATTTTTGAACTGAGTCTTATGGGAGAAATATAATTCACCAGGAAGGTAACATGTGAAAATAGAGAGTTTTCCAAGTAGAAAGAATAAAACTGTGCCATTCAAAGGCCATCTGGTATGCTCATGAACATGTGTGAAAAGCTTGGCATTACCAGGGCATTGTGTCCACAGTAGGATGTGTTAATAGAAGACACTAAAGCCATGGTTTGATGCTAGTCTATAGAGATTTTTCTTTTGCTAAGAAAAGGTGTTTTGGACTAAATCCTATGTGCAACAGAGCCCACATTAGCTTCAAAAGTGACATAAACAATCCAAGTCATTTATCAGGAAACAAGTCTTGTGGAAGTTGAAAGTAAGTTTGGAAAGAGGTTGAATGTTTGAGATCATATAGGTAACTCTTCCAACTATTTACTCAAGACAGAAAAAAACAGCTGGAATCAAGAAACATATGCAGCAGAAACAAATTTAGAAACTAATTAAAAATATAAGAGAAAAGTATAAGTGCTGATGTCACTAAAACAATCATTTGTATCCAAACTGTACTAACTTCTAGAATAACGGATCTTAACCTTTTTGGGTTACAGATCTACTTAAGAATCCAATGGAAACCATAGTGCTACTCTGATATGCTGACATATAGAAAAATTCTCAATTCGTTTTTAGGAGAACTATAGACCCCAGTTAAGAAACTCTTGCTTTAGAGCCCAGGAGTTCAAGGCTACGGTGAGCTATGATTGTGCCACTGCATTACAGCCTGCGTAAACCTGTCTCTAAAAAAATTAAAGAGAACTTCTGCTTTAGATGAAGTTCACTGAGGAAAGAAGTTTGTGTCTTACTCAAATCTATTTCCGTAGTGTCTAGCACAAAACATGGTACAGTGTAGGCAGTTCATCGTTTTTTAGTTAGACTGAATTCACCATTAAAAATGGAATGGTTTTGGCCAGGTGTGGTGGCTCACGCCTGTAATCCCAGCACTTTGGGAGGCCGATGTGGGCGGATCACAAGGTCAGGGGATCGAGACCATCCTGGCCAACATGGTGAAACCCTGTCTCTATTAAAAATATAAAAATTAGCTGGGCTTGGTGGCGGGGGCCTGTAATCCCAGCTACTTGGGAGGCTGAGGCAGGAGAACTGCTTAAACCTAGTAGGTGGAGGTTGCAGTGAGCTGAGATCGCGCCACTGCTCTCCAGCCTGGTGACAGGGCGGGACTCCATCTCAAAAAAAAAAAATAGGAATGGTTTCATTTGTATTAACTACCTACATTACAGCATCCCCTCATGAAACTACATTATGTATGTATCAGTTTAATATACTTCTCTCATACCCATCCTTCAGTATACTTAAAATCATCTTCCATTTATCTTTCTGGTATTCTTCTAGTCATAATTATCTACATTCATCTCTGCAAATGTATATGTTTGTATTTATGGTACTATCACAACATTCCTAATTAGATACTTTCTGAAAGAGGACAGTGATGAAAGTATTAAAAGTGGAAAAGGCATAAGGAGTGATGTAATGCCAAATGGAATGTCTGACTTTCTTACACTACTGACCTGTGTACTACCCATTGTCTCCTTTTCCTAGTTTAACCTTTGTAAGAGGAAGATAAAAAGTTTCATCATTGTACATAACTTACGTAAGCTCACAGTAAAAAGGAGAGGGAGGAATGATGTGCAGTAAGATTTAACTTGCAAAGAAATAGATAATCAGAATATGAAATATGCCTGTGCTCTTGTGAAGCAGCAGCATGAATAATGTTTGTAAGCATGGACTCCAAAGACAGAATGCTTGGTTAAATCCTGGTCCTTCCATGAATTAGCTGATCCGAACAAGTTATTTAACCTCTCTTTGCGTCAGTTTTCTCATCTGTAAAACAGAATTAATAATAATACCTCACTGAATTACTGTGAAGGTTAAATGAGTTATTATACCATCAAGAAGTGCTATCAACACCACTTCTATATGTCTGACATATGAGTTAGCTAAAACATTACTATTATTATTATTATTATTTTTGAGATGGAGTCTCACTCTATCACCAGGCTCGAGTGTAGTGGTGCGATCTCGGCTCACTGCAACCTCTGCCTCCTGGGTTCAAGCGATTCTCCTGCATCAACTTCCCACGTAGCTGGGATTACAGGCATATGTCACCATGCCCAGCTAATCTTTGTATTTTCAGTAGAGATGGGGTTTCACTATGTTGGCCAGCTAGTCTTGAACTCCTGACCTCAAGTGATCTACTCACCTTGGCCTCCCAAAGTGCTGGGATTACAGGTGTGAGCCACCACGCCCGACCTAAAACATTATTCTTGGTGGAAAAATCTTGGAATTGTCAAATGCCCAAAGAAATCTTGACCTATGAGGCTGAAATGTTGAATGGGAATATTTAAATCTAATATGAAAATCAAAGTATTGATCTATTACACAGCTATCAGAAGATAACTGATTCTTCTTCTTGATTTAATTCCACATGCAATAATTCAAAAACATGAACAAGTGGACATATTTCAGCTCTAAGTATATTTATGACAGGCAATAATTTCCTGGAGGAAAAAAAAAGATTTAGCAGAATTAGAGCTGCCTTTAAAGGCAGTAGAATGTAAGATAAAATATATTTTTGTTGGTGTAATTCAGGTTCAAATTAACAACACTAACATCCTTAAAGTAGAAAAGGTGGAGCAGTCACAAAAATGTGATCCACCCAAGCAGCCACACTGAAAAGGTGAGGATGCCTTTAATGGTGGTAAGTGCCCCACTACCTTCTTAACATTATGATTCTATGTATTTAAGTTGCTAAGAAGGACCACAATGACTTATTTGTGTTTATGTGTGCTGTTTAAGCTGCAGCCAGAGATGTTATGCTGGCTTCTTTCCTCTCATCCACAAAGTCCTGGTTTCCTAATCTTCTACAGTGATCCAGACCCTAGGATAAGGGGTCAGAGGATTTATCCAGAGTTGCATATTCCAGAATAGGATGCAAAAAAAAAAAAAAAAAAAATTACCGAATTAACGAAACAACAGTGTGAATAGGCCTGAGTTAGAAATTGGTGTATTCATATTAGAAAACTATAGTCTCTATGAAATATATTCCTCTATGAAATTCTAAGTACTGTTAGGGAATATTATAGAGTCCAATCTTGGCAAAGCAAAAAATAGAATAACACTGATTTATCATGTTGGAAATGTTCAAACTATGTTCATTGTAACTCTACCAGAAAAAAAAACTTTTATTAGAAAAAGTATGACACCAAATTTTCATGCTGAATAATTTTAAATATCTTACTTTAACATTATTTTTATATTTTGTATATTTTTTCCCCTCTAATTAAATTGTAAGTGTCTCAAATGCAAGAAGTCTTGAAAAATACAAAAGAAACGAAAACAGCGTATCTTATGCTGCTTATTGGAACAAATTTAAAGAATTCTAAGACGCCAGGGGTGAATCTTGTGCATGGGTTCTTAAGTAGATGTTAATTATAAAGCAAAGGACTGAGGCCAAACTATTAGAGGAGTAGACTGGTCAAAAAGTGAGTGTAGGCACAATAAACCATGAGAAACCTACCATTGTATTGTGCTGAGAAGTGGGAGTCCTATGGCCACAAGTCTCTTGCGTCAGCAGAGAAACTGGCTGAAATTCCTCAGAGTGAGGCTTGTTGGGAAAACTCACATGCAAGGGAAGGTGAAAGGCTGGGAGCCCGTCACTCTCCTCTTCTTCCACTTTCTGTCTGCTTGTCACCATGGCTACCTCTCCATCTGCTTCCCCATACGGAGAGGCTGGTCGCTTGGAAGACATCCTGGAAGGAACAAAAGAGGAGAAAATAATGAAACCTCCACATAAATCCTTAATGCCGTCATTGTGTGGTTAGGGGCCATTGTAACAGAAATGCCTTTTTGTGCTAGCAGAGAGCAGGAAACCATCCAAATACCACTGCAAAGCACACACAATCAGAAACAATGGCCAAGCAGGTAGCAACAGAACAGTGCTTGTTTGTTGTGAGAATAATACACTAATATAGCACTCTCTTGTATTCTGGCTTCTTAAACAAGAGAATTCACCTAAGAACACTGCATAATGAAAGACCATTCCATTTTAGAGGGAAGAAAAATACCCATCTAGTTTTACACTCTGATAGACCTTATTGAAGACAGAACATCTGTGAATAGCAAATACTGTTGGCAGTTTAAAAGAAGAGAAATAACTAAAATTTCTTTCATCAAAAAATAGACTCAATATATAAATGATTGCCATTAAAACAAATTTACATTTTATTGAAAGTAAGATTATTGTAAAATGTAGAAATATTGGTTATAAGCAAACCTCACAGCAACTGACAGAAAGTTTAATATTTGTTTAAAGCTTATTAAGGATTGAATAAATTTTACAATCACTGTTAATCTTAAAACATTTGAGAATTTTCTTTCCCTCATCTCCCCAAATTACCCAATTTGGGCATTTAGTTATAATAACAAAGTTGCAAGGTAGTAAAAAAAAAAAAAAAAAGGTGAGAATATTAAAATATTTCAATTCTATTTTCACAACTCTATGAATGATTTAGATGTGAATAATTCTGACTTATTTATCCTTAGGATACTTAAATAAAAGAAAAAAACCCAAAGAAGGATATTTTGTTTTGATGAGCTAAAGTCTACATGAAAATGAGCTTAGATAATTGAACAAGAATTAAACATTTTCTTTGTACGTGAGTCTGATTCAGAATATTATCAGAGGTTAAAAATATGTGGCAAATATTTTAAATAGAAAATTCCTTTTCCTTTCATTAAATTATTCCCATAGAAATAATGACAAGTTAAAATATTTAATTTAAAAAACTTTCTTGTAGTATTTACAACTTAATCTGACCTTGAAAAAGCTGTTATTTTTTGTTCAACAAACAAAGAGTGTTTACAAAATCATTCATTCTTATTCTAGACCAGTGAGATGGGAGGCAGGGAAGTATTTACTAACTACCACAACACTTCCTTCATATAGATCACTGATTTTTAAATTTAAAGTGTGTTCCCCCAAATGCCTCTAATCATTGATGAATAATGTTATTTTTAGTGTTATAAGTTTCAAAAGAAAACATGCATTCAAGTACAGGAGATATTCTATTAAAAATATTAGGACAGTAGAAAAAAATAAGGGCTTTAGAATCAGACAAGTCGGAATGAAAATACTGATTCTGTCACTTACTAGCTGAGACTTAATTTCTCTATCTCAACTTACTCATCTTTAAGGTGAAAAATATCTACCTCATAAGGCTTTTTGAAAATGGACTATGTATCATGTGACAAATAATTAGTGTATTATTTAACACAGAATACACAGTCAATATATAATAGCCCGTGTTTATTTAACAGACTAAAACTACAGTGCAACCCACCCACCCTCAAAAAACAAAAACACTCAAACATGAGGAAAACAGATTGCCTAGTAAAGGGTTTCACTATACAATCAACATAAAATACTAAGTTTCCCATTAGATAAATGCTCCCTGGCCAGCAATACTTAACAGTAAACCGATCAGATGTAATAGCAAGTGTTCAAAACAAAATCTTAATAGTACAGGTGTTGATCAGCCAAAGAAACAGACAAAGAGGAGGAAATAGGGGCAGCTACCATGTCAGCATTGTCTAAAGGAGAAGTAGATTTGGATACCACATTTCAAGTAATTTTAACTATTTCCAATCCCATGAACAAGGCCTATTCCAAGTATACTCTAAGTATGGAGAAGCATGTGAGGAGCTGGAGTTAACAAAGCCAGAATAGTTCTAGTTTCATTGGCAATACCATATCACACACTAAATTGATATATTACATAATAACATAATAACCCATGACACTAGAGATATTTAATTCCCACTGTTCTGATTCGATGTTCTACAGGCAAACTTCTGATTCTCATGTAAAGAGTTTGTGGACAGAACAGGCTTTAAATGTTTAAGGTCTTTGTGAAGTGATTTATTAAACTAATAAGGAAACTTTTAATTATTTCTTAGTTTTGCATGTAGCTTGACTATAAGGAGATTATCCCTTTGTTATACAAACGTTAGCATTTGTGGTCTGAGTGGGCATTATCATTCTTACTGGAATTAATACACTGGTATTCTGGTGTCTGCCTCAGACTCATGTATAGTCTCTCAATGTCTAAAAACTCTAGTCTATTGACAAGAGCCAGTTTCTGAGTCATGAAAGCAGAAAGCAAGATCAGCTAGCCTTTCCTAAGTTAATACAATTCTATGACCTTCAGAACCATGACCTTTCTGTTGATTTCTACTTTATTAATATCATTATTAACATCAATTATGAAAACTGAAAGTCCAAAAGTAGACACAGGTTGTTAAGGTAGACTGACAAGACATTGATAGTTTTATCAAAACTTCTGGTTATTTCAAAACCTAAATTAACTTTCTATTTAACTGAGTGTGTATTCTCTATATATAGCATTCTAGAGAGCAAAAAAGGTTAAGGTTTATAACACTGAACGTGAAAGCGTCATGATGCCGGAAGGCAACTGATCCTAGAATGTCACATATTTCATACTTATTTCAATTCCATTTTCAGAGTGTTATAGAATGTTCTCAATGCATTGGCCTTGAAAGTATTTATAATTCAGGTAAAAGATTGCTTAAAGATTTGTTAAATCGTTATAATAAAAGCAACCACGGTTATACTTCAATAATAGGCTACTAAGTCAGAAAAGTAAACTATATAACAAATTACATATAGATATATCAATCTGTTGGTTGTATTATTCATGTTTACTATGACCCATAGTACTTCTCAAAAATATTGACAACAAAATCACCAATAACATTAGATTCTTAAATTTTTGTCCATCTATCAAAGTGTTGAAACACTTGGGCAGAAAAAAGTCTCATTAAGAAGGCACCACAGGCCGGTTGCAGTGGCTCACGCCTATAATCTCAGCACTTTGGGAGGCTGAGGCGGGCAGATCACATGAGTTCCAGATCAGCCTGACCAACATGGAGAAACCCCATCTCTACTAAAAATACAAAATTAGCTGGGCATGGTGGTGCATGCCTGTAATCTCAGCTATTTAGGAGGCTGAGACAGGAGAATCACTTGAACCTGGGAGGCAGAGGTTGTAGTGAGCCGAGATCACACCATTGCATCCAGCCTGGGCAACAAAAGCAAAACTCCGTCTGAAAAAAAAGAAAAAAAAAAAAAGGCACCACAAGTGTGCATATATTTATATAGCTTACATTATATGACTTACACTAACTACATATCTGTGTTGCAATTTGTAACAATGTGAGCATCTAGGCTGGCGTATGCTCTTATCCTTTAGAGATGATTTTTATCACTTCTGTGGTGCTAGGCTTACCAATGAACAAAACTCAGACTTCAAAGAAACTGACATAAGACAGACAAATATAATCTAATGTGAAACTGCCTTGGGGAGTATGATGACGTAACACTGGTCTTAGCTCACTTTGTGGTCAAAAAACTTTCTTGAAAGAAATGACATCTAATTTTAAGGCACAAGCAAAATCTTCCAAATCATCAACAACTATTTGATGATCAGCTACCATGTGCAAGACACTTATTTAATGGGAATAAAAAACCTATTTCTCGGCCTCTGGTTAAAGAAGCTTATGAGCTGGTTGAGAATATTTTAAATAAAAGAATAAATACTAATGAAAGACAGTTCAGTCCGTAGATCAAATGACATTATAGCTAAGTATCTGAGAGCTTCTTGAGGACCAGAGTATCCTTAAATGCCTCACAGAATTGTTGAACCAGTTGACTTTCAAGGAAAAAGGATAAACAAAAGCCTGAGGATAAATAGACAGGGAATTTCATATAGGAAGTAATAATAAAAGCAAAGATGCAGAGATACTTTTAGAAAGTATTATATAAATTTAGGGTTCAAGCTTACTTGAAAAAAAGAAGAGATTGAGGAATATGGATCAAATCCCAAATGTAGCCTGTAACACTCCTGGAATTGCTGAGTTACATGAACAAAATAAGAAACATGCTCACTTGTAAAAAGCAACTTGCTTTTACAGGAGTCTCCTTCCCTTTACTTCCCCTTGTAGCATCCTGCATAATTAAGCTACTCTTGATAAATGTGACAGTAAATAGAAAACTACTGGGGTCTTTTGCTATTGGCTGAAGGCTGTCCATATGCCTTATAATCACTCTGCAAGTAGGCTGTCTCCAATGTGTTCAGACATGGATGGCAAACTTAGTGGTAGGGTAGAAGGTGTAAGACTGCAACAGAAAGATAAAGCAGTGGTTCTAAACCTTTGCCTGCACATTGGAATTACCTGGAGAGGTTTAAAAAATACTGATCCCTGGGTTTTACCCTTAGAAATTCTGATGTTATTGGTTCTGGAGGGTGACCGGGTATCAGAAATTTTTAAAGCTCCCCATGATTTTAATACACAGTCAATGTTGCAAATAATTTGTAGTAGTAAGAATAATGCCCACCCCCAGGCCAAGTGCAGTGACTCATGCCTGTAATCCCAGCACTCTGGGAGGCTGAGATGGGTGGATCACGAGGTCAGCCCAGCCAACATGGTGAAACCCCATCTCTACTGAAATACAAAAAATTAGCCGGGTGTGGTGGTGCACACCTGTAGTTCCAGCTACTTGGGAGGCTGAGGCAGGGGAATCACTTGAACCTGGGAAGCGGAGGTTGCAGTGAGCTGAGATCGCGCCACTGCTCTCCAGCCTGGTGACAGAGCAAGACTCTGTCTCAAAACAAACAAACAAAAAACAACAGAAGAAAGAGAATAATGCTCCCCAAACCAAGATGTCCAGGTCTTAATACCTTACATGTCAAAAGGGACTTTTTGCATGTGTAATTAAATTAAGTATTTTGAAATTTGAAATGGGGAGATTATTCTGAATATTGTTGGTGGGTCCAAAGAAATCATAAACACCCTTATAAGAGGGAGAAGAAAAGTCAGAGTCAGAGGAAGAGACTGGATGATACTATGCTACTGGCTTTGAAGATGGAAGATGAGGCCGTGAACCAAGGAATGTAGGCAGCCTCTACAAGCTAGAAAATGCAATGGAACAGATCCTCTCCTAGAGCCTCTAGAAGAAATGTGGACCTGACAACACCTTGATTTTAGGACTTCTGACCTCCAAAACTGTAAAAGAATACATTTGTATTTTTTAAGCCACTATATTTGTGATGATTTGTTACAGCAGCAATAAAAAAGGTAATAATATATCATTGATTTAAGCACTTTGTTTTCATAGTTGATATTTTAGTCAGTCTGGAATCCTCCTACCCTAGACATAACGCTTGCCTTCTTCCTCTCTTCATTTAGTTTTCTGCTCAAACGTTATTTCCTCAGTAAGGCTTTCCTTGGTCATTTGTCCTAAACCTGCACTCCATTCCATTCTTAGTCCTTACGCCATTTTGTTCGCAGCCTTTATAATCACTTGATATATTTTACACTTATTTGTTTATGGTCAATCTCTCCCACTATGAGATCCACATAGGCAGACTATATTTTTGTTCACAGCTACTTGCCCAGTACTTAGACCCTTTCTGAAAATAATAGTCTTCCAGTGTACATGTTACATGAATAGCTACTAAAACCAGCAACCCTCTGATTATGCCCTACCTAGGTATAGCTTTAAGATTAAATCTTATAGGACAAGTATGCTTCGAATATGTCTCAGTATTGTCAGAAATAAGAAAATAGAGTTCAATAACAGTATCCTTTTTTAAATAATTTCAGCATAAAGGAATTGGTAAGCTCTAATAATGTTTTCAAAAAACTTGAGAAAAATATTATAGCTCTAGTTAAAAATGTTATCTTTATTTAACATGTGTAAGTAAAAGATTATAAGAGTTAAGTAAGTTTACCAATAAGCACTACATAGTCAACTACTAATAGACTTATTACTGAGCTATCACCTACTTACTGCTAAAAACTTTAAAAAAAACTTTTAGGAAATGTTCTTTGGTACAATTATTCTGGAAAATGACATGTACAGAGTTAAAGATATTCTGCATTTGGAACATTATAAAATGAAAGACTCAGAATAGGGATTGCTTTCCTTATATAGTACATTCTTTTTTAAGTTTCTTTCTTTAAATATTTTAACCTTTGACTAGATAATACACAAATTAAAATCCTAGGATGCAGTGCCTTCTACTGGTTGTTCTTTCGGCATGATAATATTATTTATCTTAAAGTTTGCAGTTATATATAAAAAATTGCAAAAATAAATATCTAGAAAGAGGAAACTCAAATTCCAGTTCTTCTACAAAGCCATCCCTTCCTACCACCATGGCAGAAGCAACATTGTCCAATCTCAAACTATATCATCAACTTTTTCAGTTGCATGCATAAAAAAATTAAACATTTTTTATTAGTATATACAGTATCTGAAACTACAATAGAAGCATCTGGAAAACAAGAATGTCATTTTTAATTTCTTCAGTTCCTGTATCATGTAGCGTGTCTTTCATGTAAATTTTTTTCAAGTACAGTTCTGTTTTTGACCATTTCACTTTATGTCACCAAAATTAATGCAAAGGATGTGACTTTATGTGTATGATAAAGTCCTTTGCAAATTGCTCTGCATTTGTTTTCCCAAATATTCTAATCCTCTACACCAAATGAGACACAATTAATAATAGGGCAGTATAATTCCTAGCACATAGTTGGCAATGTATTTCTTTTATAAATAAATTAACGAATTGAATGAGTCCCTATTTTATGCCAAGCAAGTTACCTTTGTGTCATAAATAAAACACGGCAACTAAGATATGACGACCCTTCTGCTTTACCTTTAAGGAAGTTAGAGTTCTGATGGAAACAGGAAATATATACCTACTCATCCATTTATCCACCTATTCATTCATTAGTGGAAAAACATTTAGTGAAAGATACTATGTGCCCGTTAGACAGCAACATAATTAATAAATCAAGAAAGAATATTGTAAGGTGCATGCCTTTTTAAAAATATGAGTGCTACAGGAGATAGATAGATAATAGATGATATCTCACTAATCAGAAAATGCTTCCCAGAAAATACAATAATTCAACAGGGTAATGAAGAATGGGTCAGACACAGAGGGCTTGGTGTGGTTGCTCACCCCTTTATTCTAGCACTTTAGGAGACCAAGGCAGGAAGATTCCTTGAGCCCTGGAATTCGACACCAGCCTGCAAAACTGGGAGACTCCATTTCTATAAAAAAATTTCAAAATTAGCCGGGTATGATGGCCTCCGCCTGTAGTGCGAGCAACTCAGGAGGCTGAGGTGGAGGATTGCTTGAGCCCAGGAGAGCAAGGCTGCAGTGAGCTATGATAGTGCTTCTGCACAACAGCCTGGGCAACAAAGTGAGACCCTGTCTCAAAAAAAACTCTTTTAATTAAAAATATTTAATAGATTGCATCTTCTGAAGGGAACACTGAATATGAATATGCAAAGCAAAATAAAAATTGGCAATTCAAAGAGAATAATACTTTCCTGGAAGTTATGTGCCTTAAGTTTTTCGAGTAGCAAGACTATTTGTTCAGGACATTTACATTTACTTGTCTGGTTCCTGTTGTAATTAAGGTTGTTGTGAAAAGGCTAATCAATATTAGGAATTAAACTTTACTGTGTATTAAAGATTGTTTCACAATAGAATGTTACTTATCCAATATGGCAATTCAAAACATACATTGAGCTTGAATAGAAAGGTTTCTAATTCAAATGAATGAAACAACAAACACTTTTATTTGATGCATAAACAGAATTACACAAACTTAGCATATCACTTTAATAAAAAATATCAATTTCATTACTCTTATCTATGAATTTCAATTATTATTATATCTTATAGTTCATGCTTTCCTTTTCTCTCTTACATGTTTTGAACATCTTTATTTTTCTAAGTTGAGAGTTTACTCTGTGAGCATTCCATGTAAATTTTTATAACCAAGTCTGTCATATATAATATTCAGAAGCCTTTAAATAGAAGATTTATTTATGGTAAACATGCAGTCTTTCAAACTTTTATACCATTTTTCTTCTCTTTTCTCTAAATCCTCCTTGCCATCAGTTTCTGATATAGAACATGCCAATCTCCATACTTCTCTACCCATTTCTTCCCACATACAAAAACCTGGTTCATTATACCGTTATTTAGCGGCATGAACAAGTTCATCAGGTCCTGGCATAAAATATAAATTGAAGTAGAAACACAGATTTCAAAGAAATATAGAAAAAGACAACATAGAATAATAAAAAAGATAAACTTCCTTGTAATCTTCACTATGTATTTCACCAGAGTAGAGATCAACAAAATTTACCATAACATGTAAATCTAAAATCAAAACTACTTTTGAGCTATATTTACTTATGAATAAATTAATATTCTGTATTTAAATATAATCTGAGTTTATACAAAATATTTTATTATACATTACAAAAGTTCAAACTGTATTTAAAAACATGTTCATCAAAAATGTGGTCACCAACAACTTTTGAAGTGATCTTCATCAAGGTTGCCCCCTATGTTTACCTTGCCACATGTTTAGTTTCTGAGATGTTCTCTGCATTGAGATCAAGTACTTCGTTACACCTTTCCTTCTTTCTGATAAGAAGAGCAGCACTTTTCACTTCTTCACCACCTTTTTGCTCTTCTCTTTGCTAGCATCACTACTTTTACCAAATAGCTTTTCCCAGCCTCTTCCGTGCCACCAAAGTCAGAGATGGAGGGGAGGATTAGATGCGCAAAACAATGTAAAGGTACAAGGTTCTCCCAGGAAATGGTATAAAATGAAAAAAGAAAAACAAAAGCAAGTTGAAGATAAATAAGGAAAGGCTCAGAAATAGAATCTGATTCTTGTCATTATCTGAAAGAAATAAATGCTTCTTTACTACTAGTTGGACACAGAATATTTTAAAAGTTTTTGAAATAATGTACCTAAAGTGAGCAGGAAAACTAACTAGAAAATGTCCATTTTTGTTTTGTTAATTCCACTTCCACTGTTCTATCCTTTTCTAAACAGGGAGACAAACATTTAAAAACAGTTTATGGCAGCCAAATTCCATCCTACAATGATTCAGAAATCACAATTCAGGTCTTCCTTTGCTACCTTGTTTTCTTAGTGCTTCACTAATAACTGTAAATCACTAAAATTTTACTCCAAAATTAGGCTTTGTCTTATTGGCTGGAGACACCCAGAAAATGTTCTAGTAAGAAGACTGTTTTATTATGAGTAACATAATAGCTGGGCTGGAGGGTTAAAATTTATCTAAACAAGTATATCTGCCAGTTAAAATGTCTTTCTGTTTCATTACATTATTTTGATATTAATCCATACTTACTATGTGCCTAAAGCAACAGTAGTCCTGATAAATAAAACAGAAGAAAAAATACTTAATTAAACTCCACTGAAATCATTTTATAATGTTTAATACTTGAAAAAGATTAATTAGAGTTAATTGTGATAAATACAGCAAAACTGAAGGAAAACTAGTTTACAGGAACATTTGTGACTCCTATGTACAAATGTGCTTTCATTAAAAAGAGGTAGTAAATGTTTTAACATAATTCTATATTGTTTTGAAAAAAATTATCAATACTTTTCTCATGATTTACAAGAAAGAGTATGGTAATAAGCACGTTCTACTAAAAATTCTGCCTAACTTTACCTTCGATCATTAAAAATTGTAATAATTTTATTTCCTTATCTCAAAAACAGAAACACCTTTATCTGAGATAAAACATTTGGTCACAGAGTCTCTCTAATCATCAAAGATTCTACATTTCAATCAAGTCACTTGAAGAAAAATAATAGAAATGATTAAGACTTTTAAGTATCGAAGAGAAATTTCTTTTAAGTTATAGATAAAATGACCAAATGCCTAAGCTTGGGAGAAAACAACACAAGTCCAATAGGAGCATTTTGTTGTAAATTATTTAATTCATGTATTGTTATACATTTGTCATTAATCGCAAACTGAAAAATATGTTTAACCTTCAGCCATCTACAGGTTAAAAATGTCAAAGTCCTTTTGTTCCATTTATCTATAAATTACTTAGAATAATCTAGCATTAAGATCTGTGATTCTAGAACTTTTTATTTATAGTTAGAGAATGTATACTTTTTAAGGAAATAAAAAGCTTTTTCCATTTGAGCATGGGTTTTGCCTTTCTGACAGCTCTAAGTCCACAGGATGTGGAGGGATGATTTAAATTTTACATCAAAATTGTGACTGCACTAGACTTTTTTCCCCCTTCTCAAGGGAGGCATTGTTCTTGCCTTTCCATAACCAGGCGTGACAGCGCCAGACTGGAGTCATACGGCTGGTCTCTGAGTCAGCGTGAAAGTGCTCACCTCCTGAGTTTCCCCAGATGCTCGGCTCCTTGTGTGTCTGAAAGCTAAGCAGAGTAGCCACATACCCCATTCCTGGGACAGACACAGGATTGTGGGGAAGAATCTAGAGATTAGTAAAAACTATCTCTTCCGATATAGGCTGTAAAAATCTTTTATTAATAATATGAAGTACTAAAAAGCAAAGCCCCATATTTAATATAAGTACAATTTTTCTGACCCAAAAGTTCAGAGGATTGATTAACAAATTGATTAACGAGGAATAGTGTGCTTCCGGGTTAAGGAAATAAAGACAGTATTAAAAATCAGAAGCCTTTTGGATTTTTCTGAGACATATGGTTGCCATATGTATAAATTTTAGGTTATAGACAGCCGAATAGACAGCCAAAAAAAAAAAAATACTGTGTGAAATGCTTACCCATTCTCAATATCTCTAATAAGGTATCTTTAAAAATTATCTGCAGAATCCCTGCTACAGGGACAATCTTTTCTGCTTTCTATCAGAACAATTGGTAGTGAAAAAGGAATTAATTCCATTTCTATTGTTCTATCGTTGAATAAACCTGTCAGGCCTAAGTTTGGGAGGTGTCTGTGTCTTGTTTATATATGCAACCATGTGTGTGCATGTGTGTATGTGTGCACACGTGCGTGCAGAGAGAGAGAGACAAAAAGAGGAATTAGAGGAAGAGGAGGAAGAGGACGAAGAGGAGGAGAAGCAGAAGGAAGAGAAACTTTACTATCTAATGATATGTTAATGAACATCAATATTCTTTCTTTTTTTTATGGAACCCGTCTATTAAGGGTTGGACCACACCACCTTAATTTAATCATGATCTGATGCTAACAACTTTCAATAATATATAATTCAAAACTATTTGAAAGTTTTGTGTATTTTAAAGGAAAATAGAAGTAGAAAACTCCTTCCAATTTTTAACCCATGAAAAGGAAACTCAAATGTTATGTAATTCCTAAATATTACTACTACAATTAGTATTACTAATTTCTTAGTAATTCCAATTTTTTCATGTTATCCTTATGAGAGTGTTTTAATGTCTACATAGATCACAAATGCGTATATATGGGAATGTTTGTAATAATCTGTAAAAACAGCTCGCCATATTCACCATATTCATCATGGGAGAAGATGGATGTTCATTCATGGATAACACTGGTCAGGTGAGGTGCATAAGCAAAAAAAAAAAAATGTTTCGAGTAGGAAAGAATATCTATTCAGGCTTTATAATACTGCATCCTCTATAAAAAAATCATTTTACTTGTTTTAATGACTTGGTCATTTTGACCCCTTTGGGACTTTACAGTACTGCAATCGCAGAACTGCAAATAGGGAATAAAATTTTAGATTCCAAAATAATATCCTTAGGTACATATTTTGAGCATCTTCCCTGACTTCTTATCTGGGATTCTTCCTGTTAAAGTGCCCATCCCCACTCTTGCTCTCTCCCTCCCATCTCACATTACTGGCTAAGTCTAAATAAATAGCGAATTGTTCCATAATCAAAAGTGACTTATTCTTAGCATGGTCTACGTCTTGAAATAAAATCTGTGGCATGTTTAATTTATTTAGGATCTAATAATGATGACAAAAATAATTAAGTAACCAGTCTAGTTTTAATTTCTTTTGTTTTCAAAGGTCATTGTGAAATCAAGCAAGTTAAGCCGTCTAAAGAAAACCTCCAGAGAATGCTTCCCCCCAGCAGAAATGAGAAAGGAGGCCCACAGCTAAAATGAGTACTGAACATCAGCATCAGATTTGTTGAAAACTGACTGTCTAAGTAGTCCAATGAAGAGAAATATTATGACCCCCTACCCTCTTTGGAATCCAAATAACCCTGACAAGGAATCGTTTATATATTGCTAAATTCTGGCCAATTTAGGGGGCTCACTCTTTCTTTCCATGCCCCATACAGACTTGGTTACAGCCTGTTTCTACAGCAGCTGTTGAAAATGTACAAAGTAGAAAATATTTATGTTATATTCAAAATAGACAGCAAGGAACGTATATACAGTGCACAAATCTTTTCTCAAACAACAGCTTCTGATGTGAGAGACAGGCATACTAGACAGAGATAAATTTTCCGAACTTCTCAGCAAAAATAAAGAATATGCCATCCTAATTAGGAAAAGTCCAAAAGTAAGGGTGCAGTGCCAAAGACGATGAGCATCTATCAACCCAAACTCCAAAACAGCGGGATGCAGCTATGGTTGATGTTACAAGAATGCTGAGCCTCTTCATTGGCTCCTTTCATGCCAAAGCTCCTTTGCTTGGATGAATATGAATTAAATCCATAAGCTTTCCTATTTTTCTAGCTTGACCTCTAAACTCATTTTATGTCTTAACTGTTTATCTTCTTTCCCCATTAATCTTTCTAGTTTTAGCACATGCCCTGTTGTTTTTAGAAAAAAAAAAAGTTTAAAAGCATGGTTCATACTGCCACTGTGGGCAAGTTAGGAATGCTAACCCCCAAAATAAAAATTCAAAGGTTGTGGCATATACTGCAGAGAAGAAAATCATCAAACTCCAGCAATGGTATGACAAGTATAAACACACAATAAGACCCCAGCACAAGATTTGCATTATATTTCAAACAGGGCTAACAGTAATATTACTATTAAGTTCCCATTTGTTCATACTTTAAAAGTACGTCATAGAGATAAGCCTTTTGAAGTAAATAGCTTTTCCTGTATGCTTTCTCTTTTCAATCAGTTCTATGCCTTGGCACATACAATGGAGGTGTTTTCTGAAACACTGTAACTATAATATGAATATCTAGTTTTAGATGGTAATATAACTGAGTTCATTCTCATCATTTGTTAGAATATAGCCATAAGAAATTTTACTGATTAGCACAATCAATTTACCCATATCACCACAAAATCTGTCAGTACAAAAATTGAAACAAAAATTGTAAAAGTGTTCACCTTACAAATCTGGAAAAGAAAAACTTAATCAAATAAAAGCAAAACCTTCAAGTTGGAATCTTGCACTTCAATACAGTATTTACCATTTACCATTTATAGGTACTCAGTCTGCCATCTTTTCTGCTGTTCTCTACAGTTTCCCCCTTAGCTTAACAAAGGCCCAGCTGTATAAACCAGTCCTGTCAAAGAACATAGTTAAGGGATGGATAAAACAGGGAGGGGTGTCTAACATGCTGACCACTGTCTGAGCTTATGAGGATAAAGAAGCCTTGATGGAGAAAAGTAATCATCCATTGCTGTTTTCTTTTTTTTTTAACCTCATTACCACATGCTAGAACATTTTTTTTCCACTACCCAAACACCCCCATTCCAATCCCCGACAACTGAAAGACCTTTGTGTTCCAAAGGGGACCAAATCCACCCCAACCTCTACTTCCATCCTCTTTTTTTTTGTTTTTTGTTTTTTGCTGCTGGCAAGTTTATGGAGGCATGATCATTTAAAGACCTCTCAAAATACTGGTTTCCTCTCCATCACACCATCCACACACAGTTCCCTGAAAACATTTTTAAAGGCTACATAAACTTACTTGCTTTGGATTCCTTTTTTACTAAAATATTATCAACAACTTTTGATTTCAAGATAGTTATTTATGCTAAGGACTCTAGAAAATGATACATGCCTTAAAAAGATATTAAAGCACATATAATAGAGGTAGAATGAGTGCTGAAATCTAGGATATATAAATTACATTTTAAAGAATATGTTTCTTGTAGAATATGTATTTCAAAGGGAGTTGGCTAAATGCATACTCAAAGTGTGTAGCAACTGTAAGATATGATTCTGAAATTTGAAGGAAAGTTAGGCTAAGCTAATTAATCCTTTCAAAATCCTAGCTCTCATGTGTCCAAGAACATCAAACCATGTGGAAGATTTCCCGCAGGTTTAAATACGCATTTCCTATTTTCAAGTTTGTCACTCTTACATTCTATGCTGACATTATTTATAGAGGACTGAAGCCTAATCCCCCAAAGATAGCTACCATAACTGTATTAGTTAGTAAGCAAAACACAATAAATGCCCAAGGAAATCCCAGGGCAAGAGCCACCAGACCTATATGGAGAGAGCTGTATCATCTGTTAAGTTAGTTCTATTTCAGGGTGCCTTTTGAGGTTGGGACAAATATTTGAACATTATTAAATCCTCTATTTATCCAAAGACTTCTGCAGCTGCAGTGTAAGTCTTCTTCGTACTGTCCTGTCAGTGATCTAAAGGGATTATCCTTTTTTAGATGGGGTAAAATGTGATTTCTTCCCCAACCTGTGTATTTTTCTATTCAACATAAAATGTATATTTATAACAGAAAACATAGTCTCCTCAGAGTAAACTATTATCTATAGTTGCTTTCAGATCCACCTCTTCACAACATTCGCAGCTGGTTTAGCTACAATAGCAACAGCTACTCTTATTCTAACTTGCTTCATGTAGTAGCCCACTTTCAGAAGTAATTGAGTAGTTACTTCCTATTATTTTTTCTTATGAAACAGATATTTTATATCAAAGCATATAATAAATAATACCTGCTAATGTCATATTCAAATCATAGTACAGAAGTGAAATACAGAAGAAAAACAAAAAAAAATTCCATTGCAAAAGGGAACAATATTTAAACTCACCTCCTTACCATCATAAACATCTCACCTTGCCTTTCCTTAAAATACTTACTTAACTTTCCAGAAATACATGTGGATAATCTATCCAATACTTACAAAACCCCAAAAAAATGTTATTTTGAAAAATAAAACTAAACCACTAAGGAAGACACCATTCTGTGACATCTCAAGAGATGTTAGATATTAATTAAAATGATCATGAAATATAAGCCAAATTTTTTCAATTTCAATATATTTCCCAGAGAGTCAATTTTGTTTATACTACAGCATGTCTTCATGTTAACAAACTTACAAAAATGAACAGCAGAGCCTTAAATCTGCTCAAACTTGTTGTTCGGTTTTTCTTCCATGTCTTTGCATTTTTGTTACTGTAAATGACTTATTAATAACATATAATGATTAAAACCTCTCTGGAAATGTTTTTTTAAATGATGTATACCTTTTATTCCTTACAGTTCCTTGCAGAGCAGTAAGAACAACATGTGAGAGAGACCTAAAGATAGGTTCTAGTACATATTCATGAACTTTGGTTTCAAAGTGGTTTGAATGACTCCCACTAATTATGCATTGATATGTAACAGTGACTGTTCTAGGTGCTTTCCATGTATTATTTCTGGTCACCAAAACAACACACTATTGGACCGTAGACATATATGTAAGAGCTAAAACCATAAACCACTTAGAAGGAAACACAGAAGAACATCTTCGTGGCCTTGGGTTAGGCAATGGTTTGCTACATTCGACACCAAACACACAAGTGACAAAAGAACAAAACAGATACATTGGACTTCATTAAAATTAAAAACTTTTGCACTGAATATGATGCTAACAATGAAGTGAAAAGGCAATCCAAAGAATGGGAGAAAATACTTGCAAATATATATCTGGTAAGAGAACTGCACCCAGAATTTATAAAGAATCCTGATAATTTATATATAAATATATATGCATATACTTATATACATGGAATTATTGTACAACACTTACAATAGAAAGATAATCCATTTTTAAAATGAGAAAAGGATCTGAATATACATTTCTCCCCAGAAGATATACAAATGATCAGTAAGCACATAAGAAGATGCTCAACAGCATTAGTTATCAAGGAAATGCAAACCAAAATCACAATAAGATGTCACTGCACATCTGCTAGAATGGCTAAAATAAAAAGGACAGACAATAACAAATGTTGGAGAAGATGTGGATAAATTGGAACCATCAAAGATTGCTGTTAGGAATGTAAAATAGCGCAGCCACTTTCAAAAACAGTTTGCAGTTTCTAAAGAGTTACCATATGACCTAGCAATTCCCCTCCTTGGTAAATACCCAAGACAATTGAAAACATATGTCCATGCAAAAGCTTGTACCCAAAGGTACATAACAGCATTATTCATAATAGCGAAAAAGTGGAAACAGGCCAAGAATCTGTTAAATGATGAATGAAAAAACAATACGTGGCATATCCATACAATGGAACATGATTCAATAATAAAAAGGAATGAAGTACTGATACATGCTACAAAACTGATGAACCTTGAAAACATTACGCCAAGTGAAAGAAGCCATTCACAAAGGTCTACATATTCTACAATTCCATTTATATGCAATGTCCAGAATAGAAAAAATTGTATAGAAAGTAGATTGGTGGTTGTCTAGGGTAGGGTATGGGGGTGGGGAGGGGAAATGGGGAACGACTGCTAATAGTCACAAGATGTCTTTTAGAGTAATGAAAATATTCTAAAATTAGATTGTGGTGATGACTGCACAATTCTGAAAATACTAAAATCTACTGAATTATACATTAAGTGGGTAAATTTTATAGTACTGAATTATATTTCAATAAAGCAATATGTTTTAAAACTACAAAGCACACATTATCACGTCCATTCTACTGATAGAAACTAGCTCAGAGATATTACCTAAGATGATAAAGCCTCACAGTTAGAAAGTGGCTGAACTAGAATTTGGCGCTAGACTTGCTCCAAATATTATCATATTTTCATTGTTAATTAAAAGTCAAATATAAAATTTTTTTATGAAAGAACTTAAATATATGCTTTAAATTGGATTTTTCCCCAAAGAATCAAAAATGTATTTCTCATTTCTATTGCTTTTATTTGAATACAAGCTTTTATTGAACATTGTTGTTAGATCTACATTAGGTACATGTTTTTTCTTTTCTTTTTTTAAGTTCTTTTTTTTTTAGCTCCTTTTCTCTTTGCCACATCAACTTTTTACACTCCTCATAGGCAAATATTTGACGACTGTTCTAAAACAAAGCACTGAATAGGCCAGGCACAGTGGCTCATGCCTGTAATCCCAGTACTTTGGGAGGCCGAGGCAGGAGGATCACGAGGTCGGGAGTTCGAGACCAGCCTGGCCAACATGGTGAAACCCCGTCTCTACTAAAAATACAAAAATTAGCCAGGTGTGGTGGCATCCACCTATAATTCCAGCTACTCAAGAGGCTAAGGCAGGAGAATCTCTTGAAACCAGAAGGTGGAGGTTGCAGTGAGCCGAGATTGCACCACTGCACCCCAGCCTGGGCAACAAGAGCAAAACTCTGTCTCAGAAGAAAAAAAAAAAAAAAAAGAAAGCAAGCACTGAATAGATTGACAATTCATTACTAATATTTACGTAGAACAGACAATATCTTGTTCCCCCATAGAACTCCAATGAAAGATTATAAATTTTTATATAATTGTTACTAATTTCTTCATTTATATGCTTAGAAAAGATAATATGGGTTATTTTATTATCCAATAGCTTAGTCTATAGTGGTCTGATCCAGCATTTCATCCTTGTTAACCCAGGTAAAGCTTTGGAAAGGTAACTCAACCTTCAGTTTGTCACAGGAAACTTCTGAAGGAATTAAAACCTTTGCAAACAACTTCTGGAATAATCTCCAAAATAATAATTATTAGCTGTTAATATCTGTTTCCTCTATCTCCAGAGCCCTAAATTAATTCATTTCCTACAAAATCAACTATTGTTGGTGCTCACTGTATAATGAAGTCTAATTTTTTTTTAAAACATTACAGAGGGTAAGTAAAATGGATAAGCTGATGGTTTTCTAAATTTTTTTCATAGTAGTTGTTTTACAAATACATTTCCACTGTTATAAAAGTAGAACATTATACTCAATTAATATACCATGATATATTCCATGATGCTTTCCAGTTATAATAGTAGTTGGAATTAATTTATGGCCATGCAACATAGGCTTAATTAAATAGACATTGATTTACCAGGGCAAGTAACTTCAAACCAATTTAGAAATCAGGATTTCCTTGAGGTATATCTAGAAGCAAGTGTTTCAATTTTATTTCCTTAAAAATAATTTCATCTCTATCACGGCAGAGGAGAAAGAAGTGAATTAGAGGGAAGAGGCACAGACATTTGAGTGATACCAATAATAACAACAAAATATGTAAATGTAAGCAGTAAAGCAAAAGAGCTTACTGATTCCCAAGGACCTGGATATTTAAAAAATCAATTACTAGTCTCATTATTAATTAAAGTAATTGTTTTTAAATTCTGTACTAGTAGTTCACATTTATTCATTTTTATCTTCTTCCAAATTTAGCTTAACTTTTTTATTATAATAAGTAATGTACTTGAAAATTCTAGATGAAAATACAAAACCTCACATTTCTGGTCTTTCTTTCCATTACTGAAACCCATCTAATAGACGTTTAATCCAGAAGAAACTCTTTAACCAAAATTAAAGTGAGTTTACTATTGGATTGTAAACTCTGAGCCAAAACCAATATTACTCATTTTTCAATCTAATGAAGGACCTAACATAAAGCATAATAAATCAAAGTAGAGGCATGAGGGCAATGTCTAAGAGCATAAGCTTTGATTAGACAGACCTAGACTGAGTCTTAGCTATGTTCTTTCCTACCTCTGTGACCTTGATCATGTTACTTAACCTCTCTGAGTCCCTTTTCCCATTACAGGAAACATAAGTAGTACATTATTTATGGATTTTTAGGGAAGTAAATGAGTACATATAGAAACATGTAGCACCAAATCAAACAGTATACATACTGAATAAATGCTATCTATTATTATTGCTGTTGTTCTTTGAAATTGAATTGAATATCATTTAAACCACTTAGCTCTAAACCATAGTTAAGGTTAGGATACGACACAATCTAATTAGCTATGAGAAGCCATCTGTGTTTAATATACTTGGACCTTTGAAAAGGAGTCAAGAGTTATTTTAATATTTTTATACAGCCAAAAATTTTACTTCTGAATTTAAAAAATAAGACTTAGAATTCGTGGTGTGAAGCTAAGATTTCTGAATCTTGCTAGAAAAGTGAGTAATCACGTTCTTACAACTGGCTCTGAAGCATCCTGGGCCTTCAAATAACGTTAGTTTCAATTAAGTTTAAAACAAATCACTTGAATGACACCGAGAACTATACTAATAGTCTTCCTACTACCAACATACCAAAACCCCATCCCATTACTAGGAATTCAGAATATGGTTTTTTGCTACACGACATTTATTTCCAAATAACATAGATAAAAGAAATTCCCACCATGTGCTTCTTTAGGAGATGCTGAATCTCCTTAAAATCAAGGACAGTAGGACATGTTATTGTAAGATTCAGTCATTGTGAAAGTTTCATTCGAAACTGCTATTCACATAAACAGTGGTTCCCTCATTCTATGTGCAGGACTTAAGACTTCCAGACAAAGAAATGGGTGTCTATTGTAAAGAATAAATGTGGGACACAGGTGCATTGTATCACTGAACTTGCTGCACTAGCATTGCAAGAAAAAATCACAAACTCTTAAGTTTGGCTTAGATTGATACAGTGCATTTTGAAGAGCCATCTGAGGACCATGAGGTTAAACCCAAAAAGGATGATTTTTGACCAGAAAAATCAAGCTAACACAAGAAATAAGAATGAAAAAAGAAAAACTAGTAAGAATTTCCTTTTCAATCTATGTAGCTATTTAGCTACTGAAATAGTTGATTCACCCTCTTTCTTACACACTATCATCAATAATTTTGGCCATCAGCATTCCCAAAATGACCATGTTGTTCATCTAGAAATATTTTATACTTCTAATAAAATGTTTGAAAACAAAGGAGTGTAACCGCACACAATCCAAGAGAAAACAATTGAACTAGAATGCTCCATCAATCATTTGGCAAAAGAAAATCAATAGAAAATGTGCAGTTCCAGGTAGATTTCTGCAGGCTATCAGCAAAAAGCAGGATGAAATAATAGCTACTTCAAAATGGAGTGATGTCGAGATAGTTTAAACACCACCAATTACTTGCCATATGGACTGTCTCCCCTCAGCTCATGGAGTATATAGAAACTATTCAGACTTAATAAGCACTGCTGTGGGTGTACTGTCAAGAAATGTAAACCCTCATTCATATTTTGGAGATAATGTGGATAAATATAAGAAACAATAAAGAACTATAATCTAAGGGAAATTTATACTTCAATGTTACCAATATTGTTTTAATTGCAAACATTGGGTAAAATGTATTTTATAATAAATAATCAATGTAGCCTTTCCGGTTCTTAGAAACCCACAGGGAATTATCAAGGAATGTAATATTAGAATTCCCAATTCAGTATCAACATGGGCATCAATCCAGAAGCTACCAGTAAAGTCTAGGTTTTAAATATTTTTACCAACTCATCTGGTGATTACTGCCTATGGAATTTCTATCAGGGCTTTTTAATATCTAAAAAAAAACTAACCGTTAAAATTTTATACATGGATATTTTGTGTTACATACAGAACACACAGCTCACTACACACATCTAAGAAAATTGTTGAAAGGTAACCATGGCATGGCATAGGAATTTCTGTATTTATATTATGTGGTTTTAGAGGACAGAACCTGAACTATTCCTTAATTCATTTAATATTTATTGAAGGTCTACTATGTACCAGGTGCCCTATCTTGTAAAGGCTAGCATATAAACAGATAATCACAATGCTATATAATATACAATAGATTTACATATAGAGATACAAGATTTTTTAAAATAATTAAAAGCATTATTGAGAGAAGGTACATTTAGGCTCAGTATTAAAAAGAAACTTCTGGCCGGGCGCAGTGGCTCATGTCTGTAATCCTAGCACTTTGGGAGGCTGAGGCGGGCAAATCACATGATGCCAAGAGTTCGAGACCAGCCTGACCAATATGGTGAAACCCTGTCTCTACTAAAAATACAAAAACAAAAACAAAAAATGGATAGGCCTGGTGGCTCATGCCTTTAATTCCAGCTACTCTGGTGGCTGAGGCAAGAGAATCGCTTGAGCCGGGGAGGCAGAGGTTGCAGCAAGCTAAGATTGCACCACTGCACTCCAGCCTGGGTGAAAGAATGAGACGCTGCCTCAAAAAATAAAAGAAAATAAATAAAAATAAAAAGAACCCTTTAGCAGTCAAAATGATGGCATTTTGCTTGCTTCAACAGGTAGTGTGCTCCACAACACTTTAAGTATCCAAACACAAAACAGATCATTTATCAGAAATGCTAGATAGAGGATTCATGGATACCTCCAAAAGGTTGGACTAGTCGACCTTTCTGGTTCCTCTTACTGCTGATATTTTACTCTTATTTTTGAAAAGTGGGTATGATTGGCTAATATTTTTATTATATTATATATTGTGATTAGCAACAGAATGTAATGGGTCTCATTTAAAAGTACAACATGTTGGGAAATGGAAATTATAATGGTATGAATAAGAAGTTTCAAGACAGTCCATCAATTGGGTATCTACTAATTATGAGTAATTCTTCATGATATGGTAACGAATGTGATATGTTATAAATTATACAGTATACGTTCCTTCATTTCATAAAATAAAGACTACAAAAACTGGTAGTAGGTTATATGAGTTATATTCTAAGACTGATGGGAGATTTGAAATGTTTACTCTTTCTTCATTCTTCCTCTAAGACAGCATGTATTTATATATTATGTATGTAGACAGATACATGAGAATATTATATGCATGTTTTATGCCTACTAACAATACAACTGTAATATTTTCCTTAACTCTGTTTTTCCATTTCATAAGTAATTTTTACTGTCTTTCATCTGGCATTTTTTCGTTTAGTCAAAGTATTTTAAAGGACATGGTTCCTAGAGAGTTCTAATTCGGGGTAACAACGGCATACAATTTTAGCATCTTCTCTTTTCTCCAAATGTCACATATCCTTCTATTACTAAGAAGGGACTAAGTCTTAAATTACTAGTTAAAATACCTGAAGCTAGCAATAATCAATATTTTAGGATTAACTAAAAATGAGATCGAAAATTTTGCCCAATAACTCATCTCAGGTAATGAATATGGTTCTTTATTTGTTGATTATTTTTCTAGTTGTAAGGATTTGGCATATACTAGAGTTCTGCTATACTTAACCATGCCTTTCAAATATTTTACCTGCCTATATTTCAGGGACTGATATATATAAGAAAAATGGGCCGGGCGTGGTGGCTCATGCCTGTAATCCCAGCACTTTGGGAGGCCCAGGTGGAGGGATCACTTGAGGTCAGGAGATTGTGGCCAACGTGGTGAAACCCCGTCTCTACTGAAAATACAAAAATTAGCCAGGCGTGGTGGCACATGCCTGTAATCCCAGCTACTCAGGCGGCTGAGGCAGGAGAATCACTGGAACCCGGGAGGTGGAGGTTGCAGTGAGCCAAGATCGTGCCACTGCACTCCAGCCTGGAAAACATAGCAAGACTCCATTTCAAAAAAAAGAAAAAAAAAGAAAGAAAGAAAAATGGCCCCCAATTCTTCCATTTTACCCCAAACAGCCAAAATTGTATTTAAAAAATCACACTAAAAATCAGGTCACATTGCAGAAAATCACAAAAATCCAGAGACTGAAAGGTAATTAATAGGTAATATCAATGAGTAATGAAGATGACTGAGCAAATGCCTGCATTGTGCATGTGTGTGTTTGGGGTGGTGGGGAGGTTTAAGTGACAGGTAAGCTGAAGAAACCTGAGCATGTGCCCCAACTAGAATGGCTCCTGTGACCTCACTGAGGTTCACAGTTTGCAGGTGAAATTGGTAGTTTCATGTAGCTAACTCATACAATCATGAAAAACCAAAAATCTGGATTTTTATGAGGAATGTCCAGGTTTTTAATGTTAGTATAATCAAAAGAAAAACAAGAAACACCCATAGCCAGTACATAAGTTTGTGACCTTTGGTTTAATGTGAATTAAACAGTAACAATACATTCAATATTAGAACTATCTCAAAATATCTTGGTATTTGTTGTCACTTCAGCCATAGTTCTTTCATCTAAATGTGGTAATAAAATGCAGCTAATACTTATATAGCAACTAAGATATCACACTGAGCTATATGTCCATATCTGGCTATCTACTTATTTACCTGCCTACCTATCAAATCTTTACAACCACCATGCCAGTGAGTACTATTCCTATCTCTACTTTACGGCCAAGGAAGCCAAGGAATGGAGGTCAGGAGATGCCAAGGATCAGAAGTGAAGTGATTTGCCTGAAGTCCCACAACTTCAGTAGCAGGGCAGGATTCGACCCTGAGCCTTTCACCTCACAGTCTATGCTTTTAGCCACTACATGGTTTCTACTGGAGATTTTCTCTGAAGTGCATTACAGACAGAAACTATCTTTTACAAAAATAACCCTAAAAATGGCATATCTTCTGGCAAATATATTTGTACCAGTTATGAATGAGTGAGACAGTTTGAAAAATACAGAGTCCAAAATGGAGAGACTTTTGGATAATTTGGATGGTTTTTTATTATATTTGACACTGAAACTGTCCCAGAAAATCCTGTAAACAGGATTAGTAGACTCTGTTATATATCTCATCTATCTTCCACAGTCCTATTGCCAAACATCGGCATTTATTTAATCAGCGCTATTGCCTAAAAGTCTACTCACTTATGGCATTTTCCCTTCTCTGAAAACCTTTTCTAATCTCTGCTAAAAAAAACCCCACAAAAGTTAGTTTTAATAAACTTCGAAATAGAAATTTCCCAATACAACTAAATGTTTTCTACAAAAAGCGATAGAAAAGAATGTTTTTAATAATAGTTGCCTTTTGTTTACTTTTAATTTACCTGAAGTCATTTTCTAATTCTAAGATATTGTTTGTATTTCACTTAGCGATGGCCCTTGGTGTATTTCAAGTAAGAGACAAACTTTAAGACTGCCTATTACAATCTTTATGAAAATGTGGTAGCCTAGATAGATGACTCTCTAGATTAGTAATAGACTAGCTCTAAGACAAAATTCCCAGCATGGACTACTGGCACTTCTGCTTCTTTTATCTTATTTCCCATTTTGATTTAGGTCCAAGTTGAGTATAGGAATCACAACTTTTGGGCAGATGACATATGAATTGGAAGTAGAAGCTTCTTGACATTGTTTCCATGAATCTTCTCATGAAGAGCTAAAAGAAAACAAGAATACCATTGCTTTTATCCATGGACCTACTCCTTATGCAATATGCTTGCCAAAACTGTCTATAAGTGGGAGAAAAGAAGTATGTTAGTGGAGAAAATCTGAAAAATCTTACCTAGTCCTGAATTTTCCATAGTTACTTAATTTGAGGTCCTCCAAAATAAGCAGTTTGTATAATATATGTATGCAAAATAGCATGATTCAAAACAAAAGTATCCTGTTTACAAGGTCTATTAATAATAGTGATAATGGCTAAGAACAAGTATTATGAAAAGGGCATATAAAATTTTTAATGGATAACTAGATAAAGCTACTATTTACACTATAAACTTTATGAGACAGAGATCATGTATATTTTCTTCATTTCTATATTCTTTGGGCTAACACAGTGTCTGATACATGAAATATTTGTTGAGTGACTGTCCAAATATCCAAAATAATTATTCCATCTATATAGTTAAAACAATTACTGGTACATAATCCACCTAATATGCTCTCAAGGGAACCCAAGTTAGAATAGTCCCTGTGCTGCCAAGGAAGCCTAATAAAGAAGTACAAAATAATCAACAGGAGCAGTGCATCAATCAGAAGAGGTCTGATCATGATTAAATACGAGCATTTTTAAAACCTCAAATTTCCGTTCATAAGTAGAATTTAAAGCAGCTGTTCAGCACTAGCACAATGTACGCCCTATGAAAGGCAAATCATGGCAGCAGTGAAACTATTGCTCTAAGACCTCAAAGTTGATATGATCTTTAAAAAAAAAAAAAAGTCAAAAATCCAAAGGGACAATTTTACATTTTCATATTGCACAGCAGACAAAAAGAATTTGGTATTCCAATGTTGGGGTCTCTGTTTTTACACATGAAGCTGAGGTGTTTCCCTTAGAAGCAAAGGTCTTAGGGGACATGTCTGTCACAGCAGTTATTTTCTGTTTCACTTGTTGGCAAACTTACATTTCAAAACAACAACAAAAACGAGCCTCCCCAGCTCCCTGTAAACCAAGGAGGTAGAAACAAAAAATATTTCAAAGCAAGAAAGCAAACAGACTGTGAGGACTGAAACTCAGACCAAAGGCATCTGCTCTCTAACTCACACTCCCCACAACCACCCAGCCTTCTTACAATCTTACAGATTTTCCTAAGAGATGTTGCCATTTTCGCTTTGTTTTTCCCTAAGTTCTGGCAATACCCATCACTGCAGGCAAGGCAGCAAAGCCACTAGCAGAATCCAAACCGGAAAACAGAAAAGCTGTTCTGTCTTTTCTTCCCTGCCACTCCATTACTAATTTATTTTTTTCAAAGTAAAACTCCCTCATTCTACCCAAAACGGCAATCACTAACTTCCAGCATATAACAATTATTTCATTAAGGGCAAAGAATACAAAAATGATTATAGTCTGCAGGGCTAAAAGACGGACTAGCCGAAACACCAGACAACTCCCCCCCTGGGCTCCCACTTTTTTCAGGGAGGAATAATACTATAAACCAGCTAGTGTGTTCGTCCTTTAAAAAAGACCAAAGCAATCTTTGTTTTCACTCCTTTCTGGTACACCTCCTTCTGAATCCCACCCAATGTGGTGGTTGCCAATACAGCTTCCTGTTCAGTCTTGATAAAAAGAAAGAAAGAAAGAAAGAAAAACAAAATAATAGGAAAGAACAAAATGTCTAATGTCATGTGTCCATTATCAATATATCATTTAGAATATAAGAATTTCACTATGATTCTTCAAAAAACATCATATTTGAAATTCAACCCCTACACAGTGCTTATATTTTTCTCCTTTAAATTTACAATTAACAGTCCACAAACTAAACCAAGGGTTTTCTGTCAAGAAAAATATCTTTGAGTACAAAGAAAAGAACAGGAAATCCACCTGCATTCATGGGTCACTTGTGTCTTACAAATATTACTCTCTGATTTACTATATTTTGCTTCATATGCACAGGTGAAGTTGAAACCAGTCTTTAGACGCTATTACAGAGAAAATGAGATCCGATAGATAAATGGTTTCCATAACATTTATATGTAACATGTGTCATATATATCCTATGTTAAAAATAAGTTCAAGTGCTATTAAATCTATATTAAGTTTGAAAACTCAATCCAATTCAATAAGTACTTCTGTAGTGTTGATATTGTGCTTGGCATGAGGAAATAAAGATTAATGAATTTTAGCTGACGCACTCACAATCTAGTGACATTGCAGTCTCGTGAGGAAAAACAACTGGTAAACATACTGAAACGGGTAGAAAGAAGATTCTGTGCGAATCCCAGAGGGAGTACACGACTCTCAGTTAGTCAAGGGAAGCTCCTTCTTTTTTTTTTTTTTGTTTTTGAGACGGAGTCTCACTGTGTCACCCAGGCTGGAGTGCAGTGGCGCCATCTCGGCTCACTGCAAGCTCCGCCTCCTGGGTTCCCGCCATTCTCCTGCCTCAGCCTCCCGAGTAGCTGGGACTACAGGCGCCCGCCACAACGCCCGGCTAATTTTTTGTATTTTTACTAGAGACGAGGTTTCACCGTGTTAGCCAGGATGGTCTCAATCTCCTGACCTCAATCTCGTGATCTGCCCGCCTCGGCCTCCCAAATGGCAGAGATTACAGGCGTGAGCCTCCATGCCCGGCCAAGGGAAGCTTCTTAAAGGATGAGGTTAAACCACCCAAAAATAAATGAATGAATGAATGAATGAATGAATGAATGAATGAATACGTAAAAGCATAATGTAAGCTAATAATTAAAAGAAATATAGAATGATATACAATAGCTAGAGACTAGAATGCAAGGTAGGGAATCGGTAGACAAACAGCTAGATAAATAGATAAACAGTTAGAAGGTGAAATTAAGTTCCGATTATTTAATAAACATCACTTGAATGTCAAAAATATACCTAGCACTGAGCCATGAGGATGCTGCAGGCAACTTAGAGTTATCACATGTCATTAAATTAAGAAGTGCCATGACCAAAAGATAGTTTATCATAAACTCCATAATGCAATCCCCGCCCCAAGCTCAAAGAACAATACTTTTTATTGCTTATGAAATAACAGCCAATTTTGGGGTTTAGGGTCTTCCATAGCCTGTCCCCAGCCTATATGTTTTATATCCTGTATCTGAGTCACACGAGATTCTTGCCATGTTCAAAGCTGATCATGATTACGTGATTTTATTTATGCTGGTGCTAAATCTGAAATGTCCTTTCAACCCTATTCTGGGGTGCTCCAAAAGCCTATACAACCTCTAGCTTGAAAGCCACCACCATTATATAACCTTCTTTAATCTTCAGAGTTTGAATTTATCTTTCACTTCTTAGGACTTCAATGACATTTTATGGATATCTACTGCAGTTGTTCTATAAAGTGGTCTTGTGATGCTTATATAAACCTTTCTACCACTCAAATGAAAAACATTGAGGGAGAATTTTTGTCATACCTTTTCCACAAATGTTGCCTAAAAAAGGCTTTGCATTTAGTATACATTCAACAAATATTTACAGAATTGTACCAAGATAAAATATTTAGTATGTTAGACTAGCTAAGTGATCTTAAAAATTTATGAATGTTATGGAAATATCAAAAATCTCACATGAATTTAACATCAGAGATTAAGCTGCGAGAAACGTATCATATTATTGCTTCTTTCACACTTGATAGGCTACGTTGTCACTACTTCCTCAGCCTGTAGCTACTGTTGTAGCAATTCTTCCTGCATTTTTTTTTACAGACCTAGGACCAGACTTTATCATCAAGAAATTACACAAGGTGACATGGTAGATTAAAATTATGGGAAGCCAGATTTACAAAGGCCTTATATAATTTGACAAATTACAGTGAAATTTTGGTGAAAGCACCAAAAATGCTAATATAATGTTTTCTTCCCTTTCTATCAGAATGTCCTTAGTTGTAAGTGAAGGTGATGCAGGTTTAAATCAGGTGCAACGGAGGAATATTACATTTGTAAAGTCTATAACTTGCAGGCTACCAGTATCTCAGCCTTCCATTTTTGTTATCATTCCTAGAGGATACTTACTAAAATGTGAAATTTAAAGGAAAGGAATTTTGAAAAAAGATCACAGGAATTCACAGAATTGATATAGCAGGAAGTTGCTTCGCGTTGGTTTTTCTTAGGTATTTAAATTATTACTATTGACTTCAGGTCATCAAATACTTGACACTTCAACAAGGTCAGTATTTTTAACTGAAAAAAAAAGTTTGGTTAAGCTCATATGATTAAATCCCTATCATT
This sequence comes from Homo sapiens, assembly GCF_000001405.40. Taxonomy (NCBI): domain Eukaryota; kingdom Metazoa; phylum Chordata; class Mammalia; order Primates; family Hominidae; genus Homo; species Homo sapiens. The sequence continues at coordinate 23,924,868 of NC_000012.12, forward strand.
TTAATTTTAAACTTCTTTCAGTCTTGCTCATAAAATAAGTTAATAGAAAACCCAACTTTGTTCACTTGTTTATCTGCTGACCTTCCCTCCACTATTGTCCTGTGACCCTGCCAAATCCCCCTCTACGAGAAACACCCAAGAATGATCAATAAAAAAAAAAGAAAACCCAAGCCATGGTGTATTGTTCATGTATCATGCCAACAAATTATCACAAATATATTACCATAGGTATGAGATTTTATAACTATCCTAGCAAAATAATATTTTCATAATGTAGCTACAGATCACAATTATGACCTCATAAATCAGTACAATGCTTTGGCTCTCTATTTTAGGTAGAATTCAATGGAATTTCTCTCACAAATCAAAAATGCATAGTATGTCTTGATAATTCTGTGTGTGTTACATTTGAATAATTTACTGAATAGAGTTAATGTTAATTTTTAGTAGAGGGCAAGTAGTACATCAGTGTGATTTTTTAATATGTCACTAATATCCAATTTATAGGAGAGTGGTTCATAGCTGGTCCGTGACATCAACTTCTGTAATACTCCTGTCTTATACAACAAGAAAAACTTCACAGGCAATTTCAGAATATAATTGGTAATTTAGTGATAGGTGCCAGAAAAAGTATTTTCCTTTGAAAACTCCATCACAAGGTCAAGTTAAATATGAAGATGAACAGTAAATGTAAATGGTGACTAGTAATCTGTATGGAGGAAAGTTATTACAGGGTTGTTTTAAAATTATATTGAAGAGGTCTATAATCACATTTTATTGTTTGAGGCTGAATATTCTAGGCCATAAATGATTTTAGCAAAGGAAATATGTTCAAGATACAATAACATTTTTGGGGAAGTGATATAAATCTTATTTGTTTATCCAAGTTTTCCTATAAATAAACTGATCTTAGAAACAAACTAACAAAAGTTATGCTGGTATTTGTTGCTCTGACAATGTTATGAATAATATTTCACTTAACCCTTACAATCACCTTTAGTGTAATTAAAAATGATAAATAAAATATCTCACAAAAAATATAATGTGGCACCAACCAATTAGAATAAATGTTGGCAATCAATAACCAATATAACCATACTGGTTATAGCAACTAAGTATCAGCCCTGCAGGCTGCTGTGAGAACAGACTCAGTAAGGGAAGTAACATGCTGGAGTTATCCATAATCAATTTGATAGTTCCAGGACACTGGGATGGCTTGGTATTTTAATTGCTAACTGGCTCATATTTATTTACTGTAATACTTTTTACTGAAATTAGTTGAATCTGTAGATGTACTCCTCACATTTTTAGAATCTCTTTAAATAGGTATTTTCAATTTTGTATTCAGTGGTACATCTCCTAAGAAGATGCACTGTAAGAAGAAAATTTCTCTCACCAAATAAATTAGGGGTAAGCTACATGAAACAAGTTTTCTTTCTTTTTCTTTACTGGACGTCTCAGAGTCTGTAATATATGTAGTAGGAAGGAAGAAAATAGGTAAGCTGTGCTTTTCAGGCAAGAAATCATCTACATGGGGAAAGCGAGTATTATAAAGATACAAAATACTACTAATTCATAGGTTTAGTATATTTTTAATCAATGTTCCTGTGAGGACACCTGAACTTATGGATTATGTTTAGTATATTCAAAATCCTATGCTTTATCTGAACTTATGGATTATGTTTAGTAAATTCAAAATCCTATGCTTTACCTGAACTTTTGGATTATGTTTGGTATATTCAAAATCCTATGCTTTTTTTCCTGATAGCAATTCATTTCTTTGTTTTAAAGAACTGACACATACATTTTTGTCCTACAAAATAAAGCATAATTTTGATGACAGATTTGAGTGTTTATTTAATAGTGTCAAACAAATAGTATATGGCTAAGGCTGTCCATGAGATATGCTTGTCAAGTCATAAATGATCTACAGGGAAAATGCCTTTGAGAAGCACAATTCTCAAAATACTTAGATTGCAAGGTTCGTCAACTTTAGGAGAGAGTGAAATACCAAGAAGAAGCCTATCCCAGAGGACTTAAAATCCATCTGCATTGGGTAATAGGATAAAGAACTTTTTGTTGTATGCCAGAAAGGACCTCACAATTCTTATTTGTCATGTTTACTACTAAAAAATGAAAAAGATGATCTGCTAATACAAATTTTAAAAATTAGAACAACCACTATTAGAGAACCTAATTTTAAAAACTGGACATTCCTTGCTTTGTTTTTCCAAAAGGATTATAGTCTGGATTTTATGAATCAACTTTATAAAACATTCTTATAAATTAGCAAACTTCTTCACTGCCTTTAACCATTATAGCAGTTATTCAAATTCACCTAAAATAAACTACGTAACCATTCTGGGGGAGGCTCTTGGCTCTCTGGTAACTTCTACTTACGGGAGAAAGAAGGGCTATCCTTTCCACTGGAGGTATATCACTTTTGTGAAGAATTCATACCATTTTACTAAAGCCACTCCTCATTCTTCATCACTATCTCTATTTTTCTCCAACTTAACACCTCTTTCTCCTTCTCTCTCTCCTTTTTATCTCCCTCTCTTTCATTCTCGCTTTATATACACACATACATACATATGGACATACATATAGGCAGGGCTACAGGATCTAAGATCTGAGACAATATATTTTCCATAATTAGTGGAAAATCCTTCATCTTGTTAAAATAATGATGATCATGACCAATAGTTATTTCAATTTTCCTGTTTACCTCACAGACTATATAAAGTCTAAAGTCTCTCCATCATAGTTTAAGGACAAGTTATACCATCTATAACATCATTTTTTTTTTCTAAAAAAGAAACTACAATGTTAAAATCCATCTTTAACAAATATGTAAGATAGTACTTCGGCTTGATTGCACTTTGTCTTCAAGAACCATTGGTATGCTGCTGTAAATGACTTACACTTTGATGATCACGAGTAAGACCAAACTCTATTTATACCTTTCAGTGTGCTAATATCATGTTCCGCAAAACATAGAGATCCTCACAAAGTCACAAATAAGCTCACCTTGAAATTTATCTGTCTCCAGAAAAGCATTACATTTTCCAGAACCCAGAAGATTTAGTAGCCATTAGATGGCTATGAAATGCACTCTCCAGTAGTAAGAGCATCAAGGAGCAACTGGAGAGGATGGAACCAGGGCGATTAACAGTCATGGAGCTCCCCAGTGAAAATCTACTGGGCACATGAGGAAGGACAGTGGAGTACAGCACAGCTCCCTGGAGAAATAAGGTAACAAAACCTGAAGGGAAGCCAAATGAGCCCAGAGAAAATACCGGTGAAAAGCTAAGAAGTCTGAGTAGGGCTAGGTACCAGGAAAAACATAGGACCTACAGTAAATCCAAACAGCCACGAAAACCAGGATCTCAGAGATTCAACATCCATTAGCAGAGGGCCCTTTTGAAGCAGAAATGCAGATTTTCCTCTCTATCCTTAATGTTGCTCAGTACTCGGGTGTGGCCAAGGAATTTTATGGGAATTGATAAGTTACACTTTAACTGAAATAGAACTCTTTAATATTAAAGCCCAAGAAACTGACATTCAGAGGATGTATGAAACCTAATGCCTTTAGTATCATTAGACGTATGAATTTCTAAGCATATAAAAACAATTTTATGCATTTTATTCATTGTTAAGCTGAAATACATAAACTATAGAAAATTATAAATTTATTTATTTTTAAACAATAAAGTAAAATAATAAAACAATAAACAATAAAAGCACTTTTCCTTAATTTTTCATTATTCATTCCATATACAAAATAGACCAGCCATTTATAAACAAGGAAATTAATGTTGCTTGCTCTTAGAGTAGGAAATATACCACTTTCAAATTCCTGACTTTTAATTTTTAAAAAGTTATAATTTTGACAATTATCTTTAAGCATCTAAGGTCTTATGGCTAATAAAAGTAGCAGGCAATAGGTAAAAAGTAAAAATTTGGAACTTAAAGATCAAGAACCTAAAAGAAAATTGCTTATTGTATGGGTGTTTAATTTTTATTATCCACTACTATGTTTAAACTGTCAATTCATTATCAATTAGCTGTTGCTAAATTATTGCAAGTAAATATAATTACTAAAATAATATCTGAAAGAAAATTATAATAAATTAAGTGACTGCTCTGGTAGTGTTTTTTTAAAAAAATGCCTTCTACGAAACAAAAACACAGAAAAGCTTAACATGAAAGCCATAGCAGTATTACAAACATATGTATAAATTAAAAGTGGAACAATCAGAAGAGATTTTGAATTATCTCACAAAGAGCAACTCCTTAAACAACAATGCATTTCCTTCCAAATATGGATTATTCTCACATTAAAGTCTGTAAAAAACCAACAAACTAATATAAACTCTGAAAGTATGTTACATTGTGGAAACAAAGTTATATATTGAACGATGATATAAATGAAAGAGAGTTTTTAAAGCAAAAGCAAAACTATCAGTTAAGAAACTGTTAAAAAGGATAATGTTGCTTCATTATCTCCCACCCTCATTTTTTTCCTGAATAAAAACATTCTGTGCTGTGAGCTGAATATCAGCTAGCCAATTACATTCAGGGGTCTCCTAAGTATGAGTCAAAGTTCACACATCATGGGGCTAGCATTTATCTGAGCATTTGACAATAAGTGTCCAATACAGAAAAGAGAAAATGAACCTTTTAGCCATTAAAATTATTTAATCCCACTGTGAAAGAGGAAAAAAAACAACAACAACCTTTCTAACAAAATCCAACTAGTCATAATTAAGCTCACAAAAGGAGATATAATTAAATAGCATACATCAATATAATCTATACTTTTACAATTCTTAATTTTTTTAAAAAATACGTGTTTCCACCTGATATTTAATACCTGTGAAAACAATTTTTAGAACTACTACTTTTTAAGACATAACACGACAGCTTATATTGAACCAACAGAAAATGTTATATTTAGAAATTTTGCAGTTAAAAAACAGCATTGAAGTTTATCAGAGTCCATCCATGAAGAGGATAATAACAACAGTTTAATCAAATTAAATCATTCTTTAGCATCTCCATTTAATAAAAGAGGACAATCAACAGGCTGTTCAAAACCAAAGCTTCCCTACAATTTCTCTACTCATCCTCATTCTGACCACACAACATCTTTTTCCAATTCAAACCACGCATTCTGGAGCTCCCTTTCTCACCCCTCACAAACCTTAGTGGAATGAAGGGCATTAAAAGTAAACAACCAATAAATGTAACTGCGTTACTGAGTCATGTGGGGAGGAGGGCAACATGCAGAGAAAATGGCTAAGTTGTTCACACTGGTAAAGCAGACTTTGTTCCAGAAACTTTCCAAGAACATTGGTAGAATGCTTCATTTTTAATTTATTCAAACCCATTTAAAATTTACCTGAATGTAGCAATTTGGCTAGGTTATTTTTTGCTCTCACAAAATGCCATTTTTATTAATACACCAAGAAAAAATATAAATATGCTCAGTTTGATATTCAGACTTGTGTTTTGAAGATCAGGCTCAAGTAAACCTACAAAAGAAAGCTCTGTATATATTTATAGAGGGAGGAGGATGAAAGCTGAAGGAATTTGCAACATAGACTCATGGTACAGTCATATCTAAGGAATAAATTAAGGTGTTTTGGGTCCTTCAAGTGGTTTACTGGTGTTACCAGGACTTAGTACATGCTGAATCCTCTGATAATATAGTCAACATTTATTAGGTACTCAAAAGGTGAAAAGGACAGTTCTTAGTTGTTCTTAATCATCTCTTTTAATTCTCAAAACAACCCTGTGAGGCAGGTACTATTATTATCTCCTCTTCACAAATGAGTAAACTGAGGAAGTCCCAGGGAAGTTAAAGAATTTACCCAAGGGAACTCGTCTTGCATATGGTAGAACCAGACTCATAAACTATGGAGGATTTTACCCTACAGGCCACACTCCTGGCCCATATGACTGTCTAGGTCTGGAAAATGTATCATTCTTTGCTTTCGGTTCTCACCTTCTCCTCAGAAAGACCCTCTCTAACACACAGAACAGGATTAGGACTCCTTGTGTTCTACCATAACACCTGAACTTACTTCCCCATTCATATTTTCCTTCATTGCAATTGCTTGCTTAGTATGTCTCTCCCACCAAACCATAAGCTTCATAGGGACAAAAGCTATATATTTTTATTCATTTTTAAATCTCTAGAAACTAGCAGTGTCTAGCACACACAAAATATTCAATAAGTATTTCATGAAAGAATGCACAAATATTTCACTACTGCTTTAAAAATCTGTTCTAATGTCCAAGTGCTATTCAGGAATCCCTATTAGTTACTGCAAATATTGACAATTCATCATCAAGAATATTAATAGCTACTATTTATTTAGTGCTTACTATATACGTGGTCCAATTTCAAACAGTTTACATACATACAATTACTTACAACAAAAAAACCATTTTACATATGAGGAAGATGGAATTCAGAGAGGTTAAGTAACTAGCTTCACATCACACAGCCAGTGAAATGTATAGCCAAGATCTGAATAGAGGGATCTGACTCTAGAGCCTGTGCTGTACATTACCTCTAAAGAGGGGCAATTTTCAAATTGATAACTCTTCTGTTTGAATAGAGAGGCATGGTATAAAGTAGTTAGAACACAGAAGTAGGAAACTTTGGTAACGAAAATGTCACTCCATAGATCTTGAAATATATTTCTTAAAGAGCAGAATAGTAGAGTTAAAAGAGAATAGCCTGTACTTGCTTCTAATTTTTTTCAAAATTTATTAAATGTTTTAGAAACTTTAAACAAGATTATTTCTGATTTTCAATTTGTGAGAACAGTGAATGACAAATGAGGAAATGAGTTGAATCTGTTCTGACTGAGGTAAGTAGCATCTAGCATTTTTTCATAAAGAACAAATGTTGTAGTTCTAAGTATGAACTCTAACAAAATACACTTATACAATGTCATGTTATTACACGGACTTTGTAATCAATATTTTTAGATTACCTGCAAAAAATGGTATTCATGGCTATCTTCAGAGTAGACATTATGAATATGTGGTAATGGTTTCTTGAACTAAGGAAGCCCTATTTCCTCAACAAGGGTCAGTTAAACTCTATGCAAGACAAATCACCATAGCTCAGATAGCTTTCTGAGAACAGATTAGATTTCTTAAAAATCTAAGCCAAAAAAAAAAAGTTTCCATGAACCTGGTACACCAAAATCTGAACTTGGTAGGTACTTACTTCTGACAGATCTAATTACAATCTTAAGTGATATAAAAAAGAATGATGGTCCAATACCTGTCTTAAGAGCCCTGTATCTAACCTGAATCTAACCATGAGGATAAAATCAAATCCAGATCGTGAGACATTACATGAAGCAAGTGGCCTGGACTCCTCAAAAATGTCAATGTCAATGTCAAGGCAAAGAGATGGCAGGGTGCTATTTATACTTTAAAGGGACTAGAAACTAAATGCAATATCTGATGCTTGACTGGACCCTTGATTTTAACTTTTTGAAAAAGACATAAAAAGCATTACTGGGACAGTTAGAAAATGTGAATATGAACTGTATGTCAAATGTTATTACTGTATTAATGTTAACTTTCTTGGATCTGCTAATATTATTGTGATTATATAAGAGAATGACCTTATATTAGGTATGTTAGCCTTAACTTACTTTCAAGTGAATCAGAAAAGAAAGAAATAGAAAGTGAAGGGGGCAAAGTTAATAGTAAAAAGTATAGAGGTGTTCATTGTGTTATTATTTCAACTTTTCAGTACATTTGTTTTTTATTTTTTTTGAAATAAAAAAGGAGAAAAATGAAAAAGGTTTCTGTATCTGATTAAATGAACATTTTTTAGGTGACCACAATGTTTTCGGTTACAGCAAATGTAAAATCAAAAATCTTCTTGGTTGATCACTTAGATTTACCATCATGATCTAAAAGTACCTAAATGTTGTCATAAACAGAAGTTCTAGAATAATTATGCCACAGACAAAACCATTAGTTTTGAAGATAAGTGTTACTTTGCAAGTGGAAAAGAGCAGTATTTTTAAGTAATATTCTCATATTGATAAAATGATAAATTGTAAAATGTCCTTCTTATTCCCTACTCTTCCCTATAGTAGCCATCTCCACTGCTTTCATTCACACTGATGTGTACTTTTGTCCTGCCAGATGACTTGTATTAGATCCCCTTTTACATAGTTTTGCTTTCTGAAGTTTCATTTACCTACAGTCAACCAAAGTCTGAAAATGTTAAATGGAAAATTCCAGAAATACACAATTCATATGTTTTTAATTATGTGCTGTTCTGAGAAGCAAGGTGAAATCTCAAGCCATCCTGCTCCAGCTAACCCTGGACCTGAATCATCTCTTTGTCCAGCTTTACCCACGCTATATATCCTGCCTCAATTATCAGATGGAAAAAACATAACATATACTGTACAGAGTCTGGTACTATCCATGGTTTCAGGCATCCACTGGGGGTTGTGGAGCATGTCTCTTGCCTTGCAGATAAGCGGGACCTACTGATATTCACATTGTAAGTGCTCAATAAATATTTCTAAATGAATAAATCAAAATGGAAATGTTTCTATGTCTACAGCACTCTAAATGTGCAAATAAATCATGAGAAAGCATGTAAAGTTACCTTATCTGCTAATTTAATTTTTAGGATGACTTTCAAAATTAAGTCAACCTGGAGGGCCCAGTGAGATGCAGTATTGCTCAAAATTTGCAGAAATGGCAATGGATCAGAACAGTAAATATAAAGTTTTCATGCTTCAAATGAAGACAACTTGTGCTATGTTTACAATATCGAATTCTAGGGTCTCACCAGGATGCTCTTCAGGTACTTGAGCAGATCCAAAAGTGTTTCCTGAGGAAAATTCTTGCTTTGTCTCTGTATACTCTTAAACCTGGAGCAAATTTAAGGACAGAGGTGGGAGTGCCCTCAATCTCGGCAAGAATACAACTCAGTCAAGAACTGATTGTTCCTCATCTCTTAGCAACAGCCTGGATGTAACAACTGTTATTTAAAGGAGATAGTTTAAAGGACTTGTTAGCCTTTTCTTAGATCTCTGCCTGTATCCTTTCACCAAGAAATCTACATACCTGGCAAACATTAGTTTAGCTACTTATAGAAATGCCTCCTTCCACTAAGTTAGTTATCATTCAATATTCTTTTTCTTATCTGGTCTCTACTAAAAATGGCAATGTGAACAATGCCTCTGAATTTTCTGTAATACTTCTGTTGAAGACATTTTAAGGATTCATAAAATAAATTATTCCCTCAGATATCAGGGCTCCCAAAACAATTGTGATTACTGATACAATAGTGAGCTTCTTTCCATTAGAAAATAATAAACATAAACTTCATTATGAGTCAGGTAACTCAGAATTATTCCCAGCTATGGTTTTAGTTTTAGAAATTCTCTTCCCCCATTTCACTTTATATATACACATACATACATATAAAATATTCATGTCAAAAATCAATTTTATATATTATACATATGTATATGTATATCACATATGATGTGTATATATGTATACACATTATACACATACATGATGTATATGTATTATATATTTATAATATATATGTCTAATATATAAAATACAAATGATTATACAACATGAATATTTTATTTTAAATATTTTTTCATCCTCTTAAGCAGCCATAGTTCTGATAAATCCTGTATAAACCACCAGTTTATACAATACATAATGTTCAGCATAATTTACTTGATATTTATACATCCATAGGTAGTTCAATGTTACCTACCATATTATATGGAGTATTCTTAGAACTCTTTCTACATGATTAACATCTGTTAAAGAATAATCATAACATACATTTCCTAAACATGCTAAGTTATAAATGATTTCTTATTGAAGCACTAAGATGACCTATAATATGGGAATAATTATAATCTCCAATTCACAGATTAAAGAATTAAGGCATGCAGAGTTTATGTAAATCGCAAAGATCACAGAACTAATCAATAATGAGGCTATAAAATAAATGTAAGCAGTCTGACTCCAAAGTACTCTTGGAACTACAAAGTTAGATGGCTTCTCCTTACTAAGGTATCAAGAAATCAGAAAAAGTAACAGAAGCCTTGGACATATCTGCATGAGGAACACTTAAAAGATTAAGACTTAAAACAGAGATCCATGGATCAAGCCTACATTAACGCATATTCATCCATCAGTAAAACTGAAAAATCAGTGGCTGAAAAACATGAGGTTCATTTCCATTCCCCAATGCCTCGTTACCATAAAGCTGCAATCATATTATCAGTCACATTATTTTATCATATCTAATTGAGTTTTCTACTCAAAATTACCACACTCTTCCTGCTACCCAAATAAAATCAGTTCATCATGGCTACAAATTAAAGAATATCCTATTAATTATACCATTATTTACCAATTCATCATCAACTTTTCTAAATCAATATCCCCACATGAGATGTGAACACTGACACACTTAAGAATTACTATACTGTAAAGAGGCTTTCTGCCTACTGAGCTAGCAAAAACAAATCAGATAAACTTTTTAAGCAAAAATACTGCCTGTCTGTAAAGATATTATTTCAATAGATGGCTTACTACAAAGGACTTGAGAAATGGATATTTGAGAAATACTACATAGTTACACTTCTCCCAGTAAGGAGAACTGGAAGTCAGTATCTCTCAAAAACAGTTCCAGTTAGCCATTACCAAGAAACCCTTTACGTAAGTGTATATATGCCTGGATATCCACCATCCAGCATATCACCTTGTGCAATGAATGAGTTAATTCATTCAGAAGAAAATTAGAAGTTTATATCACAATTATTTTATGTCATTTATATCATCTACATTTTCAATATTTATTCAGCATTTAATATAATACCTGGTATAGTAGGAATTTAAAATGTAGTTGTTGAATAAATAAAGAAATATCTGCCACTAAAATAAATAACAGATTATAAAGTTATGGTAGCACATTATTTTCTAGATCAATACTATAATGTGATGGTTAAGAGGGATAATTAGAGTTTGAATGTCCGAGTTTGTACCCCAGCTTTTCCACTTATTACCTAGAAATTAGGCAACTCTCTCTGTTTCATTTTCTTCATTTGTGAAATGAGGTAAAAAAATAAGATTGTTGTGAGGCTAGAGTGAAATAATGCATGTAAAGCAATTTATAACAGAGTCTGGCACATAATAAGTACATACTGAATGTTAGCTCTATCTTTATATCTATCTCTATAAGTGTATCTCCATATGTATAGAGAAAGTTTGGATCACATCTTGTGGGTCAATTTAAGAAACTGTGTGTAGTATCAGCTGGGATACAAAAGCTGAAGGTATTCTTACCCCTCCACAAACTTCTTTAAAACTCAATAGTAAAATTAAAGATACATATAGTGGCATTTCAAAAAAGTAAATCTAATTTCCCATTTCAAATATATAATCTCTAAAATAATTTAAATAATTCTTAAGCAAACATCTTCCTTTCCATTGTAACTCCATGGAAGTTTGAAGAAAGTGACAGTATTCATGAGGTAAACATTCACATCTGTGAATGTGAGTGTTAACTACTGTAGCTTTTAAAAAAGTAATAAAATTCCACTTTGTGGTAGAAGAAGGCTAAGAATAAAGACAGTTAATAAACCCCTAAGTCTTTCTAACTCATTGCTACCATACTGAGCTATGAACCACTAGAATCTAGATAAAGATAGAAGTTTTGATTTCCCTCCATCCACAGGAAGCTATAAAGCAGCACCATCCAATAGAAATATGAGAGCCACAAATATGAGGCACACGTGTAATTTTAAATTTTCTAGTAGTCATATTTAACAAGTTTTTAAAAAGAGATAAAAATAATGTTAATATAGATTTTATTTGTGCCAATATATCCTACTGTCATTTCAACATATAATCAACATTTTAAAACTTAGTAAGATATTTTACATTCTTTCTTTGAACCTATGTCTTGGAAAGCCAGTGCGTATTTTATATTTACAGCACATTTTGGCTCAGATTAGTCACATTTCAAACTTTTAATAATGATATGTGAGTAGTAGCTACCATATTAGAAAGGAGCACAAATAGAGAGGGACTCTGAGAGCGTTTCTTTATACTTTCCTAAATCACATACCTGTTTGTCAAGAGCTAAGAAGGTCTCAATATGTATTTTTCCATTCACACAACCTACATATATAACCTCAACAAATCAATAAGCTAACACATTCTAATAGCTTGATTTTCCTAATGTTTAAAAAGACAAAGTATATCTCAGCTAAAGATAATACAATAGGTCAAATTATTACTTAGTCAAAAATTTATGTTTTGCCTACTCTAATGCTAAGGAACAGTCTATAATAGCTCTTGCCAACTGGTCTACAAATGTAAAAGCATCTAATATATGATATTTACCAATACTCTTCTATTGAGCATTTCAGGATTTCTCCCTCACCTTTAGGTAAATGAAATGGGTCAAACAATTAGATTTTGCCTATAATTTCCTATCCATAGCATGATTTTCCTTTACTGAAATAGTGATGAAACAGTACTGCTCTGATTTAATACTATAAATTCAGAACAAATGGGAAAGCATTAAATTTAGAAGTGCTTCTGGACCATTAACTTCCATGCTAATTTGACATGCACCATAGTATTCAGGCAACAGATTCAGGAATATAACCTATTCCTAAAGCAAACAGTACTTTATCTCATAACCATCTGGGGTTCTCATCCTAAGGGCCACTTGCTTAGTGTTGTCTGGTATTATTTAATATCCTGAGGCAGAGCACTAAGACCTACTTTATTAGTGAAACCTACTTTGCCAGGACAAGAAGACTGACATAGAAGAGATTATGGAGGGAACAAAATTTTGGCTGAGGCCCTTGTTTGCATTATTTAGCTGAAGAAAATCATTGGTTATACATGCATTCAAAACCCTATGGTTTTTCTAAGGTACCAATAAAAGTAATACCATTCTTAACGTGGACAGTGGTCTCTTTCATATAATGCCTATAGTCACAAACTTAAGTGCCAAGCAGATGGTTGAAATCTGTTTTGTATAAAATGTGCGCTTTTTTTTTTCCCCAACTGTGTTCTTTGTATTCATATTCAGCCTAGGTTTTAGCCATCAAAACACTGGCACTATGTCGATCATTAGCAGCATTTTAGACAACTGGCAACTAAGGTATTCACTGTTCTCCACAAAATGTTCAGCTAATATTTCCCAGATGTATAATTAAGGCAAAAGATCATCTTCTTAAATTGGTATCAGCACTTTGGATGGCTTCTGGCTTTCAACAGATTATATCAGTGAAAACAATTTTTTATCAAAAATAAGGGTTCTGTTTCTTAGGTGATTTGGTTTGCTTGTTATAGAGCTCCACATAAAAAGAAATCTATGTATTTCTTCAAGCTTAACCTACAGTCCAAAGAATATGTAGCTAATGCAAAACCTCTTATGTTGCTTTTACTATGAAAATCTATAATGTGCTAGATTAGTACACATAATTGTGTCAAGTTATTTAATGTTTTCTAGTTTTCAAAATGTTTGTACAAAGAATACTTTAAAAAGCAATAGTATGTGTGTGACTTCTTAGATTAACAGAAAAATCACTGTTTTCAGTTGTTCAATCATTTATTCTACGAAATGATTCATTTTCGTGATTATGCAAAAATAAGTGAACTTTAATTTGTGCATCTTAAAGCATAGGAATATGTTAAATCAGCAAATTCATTACTCAAATACTTAATATACTGATACTTGCAAAAATAACTATTAGTGCATCAGATGTCCTATATATAAAATGACAAGAGATGTGTTTTTGGAATATTTAATTATGAGCACTAAGCAGTTAGAGGAAACTACAGTTGCATTGCTGCTATTTAAGTACACGTTACCTGGGATCAATAATCATAAGTACATTTAAAACAATTATATTAACTACAAAACTAAAATATAAGTAAACCAATTTCTTACATGTATTATTTTATATGCTGAAATAATTTGCAGATATCTGACTAGTATGTTATTAAACAAAAAATCATTTTTATTAAAGTGCTGATCATTTTACATTTGCCAAAAATTAAACCTAGTTTTAAAAATCTGAATGCAGTAGCTTGCATTCAGACATATCCAAATATTTTTATGATTTTTTATAAGCTTAAGCTGGCTCATTTGCATTGGGGGATAAATAATTTTATATTTATTTTTAAGTCCATTCATAGACGCATGGCTGAAACCCAAACGATGCAAGTGACTTATACATCACAAAGTTCTAATTCTTGATTTAGAAACTGTAGGAACATATGCCAACTTTGTATATAGCTAAATGCTGGATTATAAAATATATTAGCAGTAAGTTGCCCAACTGGATGATTTCCAGATTTTCTTTCTGCTTTAACAGTAGGATATTTGCACATTTCTCTTTGGTCCTAGTTCTAAATGTAGTGCTGGTTCAGTGAGGTTATTTTCTTTCTTTCTTTTTTCAACATTTATATCTATAGAAGGAGAACAAGAGAATAATACCCATTCTTTGTGCCTAAATTAAAAGCGGCAGGAATCAAATAAAAAAATCTACATCATAATTATTCTGTAAAAAAAATTAATTTTAACATAGCAAATTCCTGTTATCTCAAATACATGAATCTATATTTTAAATATAAACTAATTTGTACAAAGATTTCATGATACCACAGACAAATTTTCTAAGTAGAGATAATGCGGAAGGACCTTAGATATGTATATTCCTGATGGTATAACTACACTGTTTTTCCAACACTGCATTAAAAAAACAGCATGCGACCTGCCAAATATATTAACAATATATGAAGCTTGTTCTCTCGATACAGCTTTTTAAATGCATACTTCATTGCTTTTTGCTCTACTCCCTTGCTTTGCAGAGTTTAACATTTCTTTTCTTGAAATTGCCAACTAGCAACTATAGTATAATGCATATCAAATTGGCTGGCCTGGTAATGCTAATAGTTATTTATTTTGAGAAACACTCAAAATTTTTCTTTGGACTACATGTTTGTAATCTTAGTTGATCTTGCTACTTTCCAGCCCAATGTTTTAATTATTCATATAAAGACATATACTGTCCATAGCCCCTGTGCTGTACTCATGCTCTCCTGCGGATTCTTCATATTTTTTCTTTTCTTTTATCCTTATAAACAGACTTTTAGATCCCTGACCTAAAGTGCCACTCGTATGCTTTTCATATTTCCCCATAGTGTCTTGTTCATTTAACCATATATAATTTATCTTTTACAATATTTATAATTGTTCAGAATAGTGATCTGATGCCTGAGAGTTTCAGGATCATAGAATGTGAATCTTATCTTTTGAAACACTTCAAATAGCTCAGAGCAAAGTTGGGCACCTAATCCTAAATAAGAATTATACATGGTATTTAGATTAAAAACTCCTAAGAGACACCATGGCTGCTTGTTCCTGTGTAATGATACCTAATTGACAGGTAAACTGAAGTGCTTCTATATGTAAAGGCTGGCTATAGAGATAATCTCCAAATAGCTACATAAATGCAAGAATTCTGACCACTAGAGTTAGGAGCTAGGGACACTGCAAATGTAGTTCAAAGTAATGAAATTTTAGAGTTAACTGATTTTAGAAATTATCCATCCTATCTTCTAATTTTACAGATGCATACTCTTAAGAGTCAAAGAGGTCTCAGTTTTTAAAGAAGAACTAGAACTTGAGATCTTAACATCTAGCTAATAGCGCTTTGTACTATGTTACATTTCCAAAAGAATCAATGAAGATACTGGCAAATATAAATCTTAACCTAGAAGAGGAAATTATTTTATTTACAGAGGAGATAAGTATTACACACACACACACACACACACACACACACACACACACAAACTCATTCATTTGATAGGTATGCTTTAGACCCTGAACACTCAACTTTCATATTATCTCAACCTAAAACCTCAAATATCCCCAAATGTTACTCAAGCATACCTTGATTCACCCAACGTCTTCGGTTCAAATTTTCCATTAAATATGCACCACAATACCACCTTCAATTTTTTCAAGATGGAATACTATTATATGTTCCTGTAGCACATGCCACAGGATTCTGAGCTGCAAACAAGAAAACGGGAATGAACCTTGTTTGTATTTCTATGAAATGTTTCTTCCTTTCAAGATTTTTTGAAAAAACTGCAGCTTCATTAGAATTTGGCAGGATTCATTCAAGAGATCAACTGCCCTATAAATGAAAAAGTTTCTCCTGGCTTTCTAACTTTTGCATGTGCACACACGTATAACTATTATATTCCCTAAAATAATCCTGCACATACCTGTTAGTGACTTCCAATTATCTTTTAATTTACTTATAAAAGTCCAAATATGTTGCCCCATCACTTTGATTCTTTAAATTGCTATCAGGATCTTTTGGATATGCTTTTATTTCTCTAGAAGAATGCTTTTAAAGCACTAAGTGTTCTTAAACTGTTTATAGGTCAAATTAGATCCATATTATTTTTCAAGTAATGCTAACATTTTTAGAAATAATTGTACTATAAATATTTATATATCATAATCCTTAGGGTCCTAAAAATAATACCTTTTCCTCTATTTCCCAAATTGTAGTTATATTTAGGACTGGAGGAAAACAGAAGTTCTACTCTCAGGAATAGCATTCATAGTTATCTTTCTTTTACCATTCCTAGGTGTTCTGCCTGACTATTGGTACTTTGTATATTACATAAAATATAATAATAGATAATGCTGTATCATAGATGACAAAGAATCTGAATCTGATATTTTATATTCAGTTATCACTCAAGATCAAAGTTGAATTAGTGAATGCATACTAAACTGAATAGTTTGAGCACCAGTTCATTCCGTTCTACACTAAATAATATGAATACTATACCTTATCCTAACGAATCTCCAACATAGACCTCTTAGAGTACAGATAAGAAAAAAGGAAGGAAATATTAACCTGAATTATATGTGACATCCCCCTGCAACCTCTTTTCAAACATATTATGAAACTCACTAGCTAATAAAAAAAAAAAAATGACAAAGGGACCTCAGGAGAGCAGTGAAAAAAAAGTCTTTGGACTTTGAAAACCATTGCCCAACAAACACTGGCCCAGGGCAAATAACCAAAGGAAGAATTGTAGGCAAACAAATAATACTTTAACTTTGCAATTAGAATAAAAGTGTTTTAGAACTTTGTCAAGCAACCTAATTAACTGTGACTGAAAAATTAATAGTATAATAAAGTATTACTTTTTTATCTTGTGTTCTCCTAGGTGAAGGAATATTTCTCATTTTCAGTGTCGTATTTCTTTTTCATTAGGATGATCTTTTATTAGATAAATATAAAATAGCTTAAAATGGTACGTGAAAGATCTTATGTAAAAGTTTCACAACCAGTGTTCAAACAACCTATCTCCCTGGTATTTCAATTGTACTTAATATAAAAACAAAAACAAAAACAAAAAGGCAAACTCAGTACTAATGTAAACACTGACAACATTCTGAAATAAATTTTGATTAAAAATATGACAAGAAAACATGATTTGGGTCTACCTCTTGTTTTACTCCTACACTAAGAAATTAACAACAGGCAACACAGGTTAACTCTTTCCCTTCTTTTCTTGAAAATGTTCCTGAAGCCCTGAATGAGAGGACACATCCTTTATAAAATTGCTGCTCAGTGTCCCAATTGATCTAACTCCCTTAAACTGCCAATATCAAAATCATATAAGGCTCTGAGGCTTTTTTTTTTTTTTTGGCTCTATGCAGTGAATTTCATTTCTTCTCTATTACACTTACTCTCAATGCATCTGATCCTTAGGTTGGTCAATGTGACAGAATTGATTGGGAAAGGTAGGGGAACCAAGAGTGCATAGGACATAATGAAACCCCATGCATCTCCACAATGAGAAATATTAAAGTGGAGCTACACATACATTTTTAAGAAAGATCATATCTTCTGTTTTTTAACATTTTCTTTTCTAAAACACACTTTCTTTCAAAGATGTGAAGAGCAGAAATAGAAACGCTGTTACATATGAAAGTTTCAACGGATTTGCTGCCAGCAGCTTTTCTTTATAGTGTTCCTCTTACCTACACTATGTGTTGGCACTGGCAGGTAGCCCTAATTCGTTAGTAGCCAAATTATTTTTGTCCCTGAAGTACGAGAAATCTCCATAGCACATGAATGAGACATGGTTTACTAGTTTACACACATTTTATAACTCCAAGAAACCAAAACTCATTCACAAATGCTTTCATTTCAGCAAAGAGAAGGGCCACAGAATATCAGAGATACCCACTTTGAATTCCTGGTCCCCATTGTCCATGAGTAAGTGAAGAGAAAAAAAAAAAATCTCTTTAACTTCAATAAAGAACTTTGATCCTTAATGCAAGAAAAATAAACAGCTTTCTGTTCACCACACTCCACATTTCATTTAAGTCAAAACATTTCAGTACAAGGCATTAAGAAAAAACGTCATTTAGTAATAAACCTAAATGTCTCCAGATAAAAATTCATCACGACGGCATAGTAGGTTTAGATAATGTGGTTCATAATAACCAGCATCCTCATATTGCATGATCATCAGATACATTTATACGCTGCTGTACCACCTTCACTAAGTTACAGAGAAAAATAATAAGAAATAAGCAACACTTAGAAAGAAACACATACTACAAAAATGCTGATTTAGCCACAGCAAAACAAATCTCTGAATTTTAAGGCAAGACAAAAGTAAATGTATTAACACTAGAGAGCCAAGTGACTAAAATGTTACTTAGATAAAAGAGAGGTTTCAAATACAATGAGCCGAGTTCAGGTTTGAATTGATTTAAGGTTTGACACTGATTTCAAATGTCTATGAACATCTACAAGCTTTTGTTTTAAATTTTCCTTCTGTCATGTTTTATGGGCAAAAACTCCTTAAACTACCTTGTAATAGATTAATTACTTTCAAGCTGGGTGACAAAAGGGCATAATGACCGGAAAATGATACAAAAGAAACAAAAAACGCATGTTAACAAGTTTATCAACAAACCTGGGTAATTCTCATGAAGTACAGATTAAGGTTCAGTGGTTCCAAACTGGCAGCATTCAAATTGGGTTCATATTTGGGTTTTTTGTTTTGTTTGTTTTTTTAAACCACCTGTCCTAAAACGACATTGTTTATGCTAATTATCTTTGTTTATGCCACAATTCTGTTTGTTTACTACATTCTTTTAAAATACCATATCCCTATAAACAGTTCTCACCAGAATTCTTCTAAATCTTGTTTCGGTCTGGTCCTTCTCGGCAGCCCACTGAGCAGAATGCAGCTCTACAATGAAGGCGCAAGAGCTGGGAACAACTTTGAGTCTCTGACTCCTCAGGCTGGCAAAGGGAGGGAGTACTGCTGAGGTTTTACTCCCAGGATCCAAGGGAAAAGGATACTGAATGTGGAGAAATGCAACACCCCCCTATTGGACAAGCAAAACCATACGCCACAATATCTCCAGAGAAGATGTGTGAACTCTCAATTAGTAAGTAAAGAAAAGAATAGACAACACTAAAAGAAAGAAAGAACAGCTTCCAAACTGCAGGAGAAAACACAGAGGTCAGAAAGAATAAAAAGGTCTTCTCCTAAACCACTATCAGTTCCTGATCATAATGAAGGAATATGTGGCATTCTCCTAAAGCATGTCAAATTTAAATATTTTCTCACTCTAGCAATATCACTTGATCCTGTTTATCTACATAGCAATCAAATTTCACATTTAATACAAATGATGATGCTATCAATCAATGAAAGAGAAGGAAGGAGATAATGAATGAAGGAAGGAAGACTTTGTTATGTTTTTGTCCATTTCTTGTTCAAGAAAATTTTTCATTAGGAAGGAGATATTTCATGGTTGGGTTAAACCTTTGAAAATCTTTTTATCTTACTGCCATCATCTGAGTCAGAGACCTGGCACATTGGAACTATACGTGAGTTAGTACAAGAGAAAAACTTAGGTTAGTTTCTTTCCCAGGCTGTTGGATAACCCCATTGAAATTATAAAGGAATAACAAATTATGAAAGAAAACAAAACTCATCAGTTATACTTATTTAACTAATCTATAAAAAGGGAGGTATTCAGCCTACATAATGCACATCTGCATTACACAATATACTCATTAGGTTGCTGAACAATTGATAGTGGAGAGAAAACAGACAATAAAAATCAGCCTTTACCCATGAATGTAATTTTGCTTTCTAAATGCATTAGGAGTATAATCCATATGAAATAGTTTCCAACTCTGTGGAGGACTAATGTGCTAAAGAATCAGAACAGGTCTTATTATATGTCTCTCATGTATGATGCGTATACAAGATTTTTGTCAAAAACTCCCTAAGAACAGGTAAATACTTTAACATGTGCTTATTATATTTGAGAAACATAAGATAAGGACACACCAATATGTGAAGTAATCATAATATTTGCACATTTCTGTGTCTATCAAACCTGCTAAAAACTGAGCAGTACACAATGTCACCTGACATTTAACCCTTAATTGTTCCTGGTAATCAGTCAGGTCTCCTGCCAAGTCTTCAGGACAGTATTCCAGCATGAGAGTGATAGAAATGTGGTTTATGAACTGCCTCATGCAAGCTGCATTCCAAACCAATGTCTTAGCTCAGTTAGCTTGCAAATTATTGACACGGTAATTAAAATCTATATTCAGTTGTAGACATTGTCTCCTCTACAATGTAGTAGTAAATAAAATATAAATAAAATTATCAAAGCCTATGAGAACATCCTGAAAACGTAAAATCAAACTTACAGGTTTACAGTTGCCATTAGGTGACAGAATGTGAACAGATAACTTTTCTGTGATTCACACCTAGAGTGTGCCTGCTAACCTGAATGTACTTATCACTCATGAGCACAACGGATTTTTTTGTTGTTGTTGTTAAGGTTTTTAATTAAGCAAAATATATCTGTGTCATAAATATTTCATGACTATGGTCAAACTTTAGGTAACTAAAATACCACTAATGTCAGAGAGTAGTTTTCTGCAAATGTCTAGCAGTAGCTTTTCATGGGAATTTTACGAATTAGTTTGTAACAGCACCTGATATATATTTCTTTCTTCAGAAAAACACTGAAAAGTGTCCTAATAAGAAAAAAATTATTTAGTCAGCATGACCAGAAATAAATTTGATGGAAATGTGAAGTAAATAAGTTAATTTTTATTGCAGAAGGTTTTACTATTGTAGTGTTCCTTTCAACATGTAGAAAATCTGCTGTCTGTTGTCTGCACCAATTTGGGAGAAGCAATCAAATAGGTGATACTAACAACCTAATTTGCATAATCCCACTACTTTCAATCCCAACTTTTTTTCTCCTTTCTAGACATTATCAGAACTGTCTTCTTAAGCAATCGTCTTACACTTGCTATTTAAGTTTCTAACATAAAGCAATTAGAAACTGTAACGGGAAGCTTAGACACAAAACTATTATGTTACAACCAAAGAGGACAGATAAAATTAAAAGGAAAGAAATAGAATATTGAGAAACTATCAAAAATGGACATTTTTACTTATCATGAACAAACTAATATTGACATTTAAGGCAAATATTTTCTTTTCATCCTTGAAATATCAAAAAGTAGGTGACATTCTCAAAGGAAAACCTTAAGTCACAATTTTTCATTATCTACTTTCAGTTAAATATATAAATTTATTGACTTCTTTTAAAAATGTGGGGAGACTTCGGGCGTTCATTCTAATGATGCTATTACTCACATTTAGACCATGTTGCCAGCTATGTTTCCTT
Source organism: Homo sapiens (assembly GCF_000001405.40). Classification (NCBI taxonomy): domain Eukaryota; kingdom Metazoa; phylum Chordata; class Mammalia; order Primates; family Hominidae; genus Homo; species Homo sapiens. The sequence goes on from NC_000012.12 coordinate 23,946,715, forward strand.
TAAACGGTAAAATGTAGAAGACTTTCCTTACAAATAATTTTTTAGAATATATACACCCATTTGCTTCCCACCTTGGAGTTGTGTTTTTCAGTAATCATAATCAGTTTATCACAAGAATGCTTGAAAATAAAAATATTTCAAGTTCTTTACCTTTTAGAATCACTGTTCTATTTGCACTACCTCCTGCATATTTTTAACAGACAATGAAATTGTTACTACTTCTTAACTATTTAACAACTGCTTATTAGTCTGAGAGTACTGACCATGTTCATTTCTAGGGATGATAATATAGACATATACAAATCTAAATCCAAATTTTGATCCTGATATTTAAGTTCTGAATATTCCTTAAAGTTCAAATAGTCTACAGGCTGGGAAGAATAAAAGATGGACAAGACTCTACCAATGAAATTAGTAAAAATGATCACATAAAACTTTTACAGTACATGAACCCTAAGCAATTTATTATGTCCTCTAGATCAAAGTTCTCTATTTCACAAAGAAATTTAGAAGTCTTCTTTTAGATTTCTAAGTTTAAGTGGGAAATTCATCTATAGCAAGTGACCCAATAGAATAAAAATTAACAGTCAATAGAAATGACCTATTTATTCAATGAAAGTTGCAAATAGTTGAAAAGGCAAAAAATCTAATTATATGTGATAGTTTAGTTACATCATAAATACCTCCTTTGAAGAATATAAATATTCAATATTGTGTCTACATGATACACTGTATCATGCATGGGTGCCTATAGAGACACTCACCCGTACAAATTCAATGTAAACAAATAGTAATGATTTGCTGAGATCTTTGTATGTATTACCAATTACAACCACAGGGGAAATTATTAAGGAACGTTATATTGTGTGACATTTTTCAGAATTATTTTAGCTACTAATATTTCTAAATATGATAGTCATACTAACAACCCTATTGATTATCACTTGCTTATTTAATTAGCTAGTTAGAAAAGCATGCCTCTGGGTGAAAAAAAAAAATGAAATTCCCACCAGGAGGAAAAAAGATGTTAACAGATTTGAGCATCAGAATAGGAAAGGGAAAAGTTTAGTTTAAAAAGAGATAATTGAAAAAAAAATACAAATAAAGTTCACAGCAGGAAGCTTGCCTATATAGAGAAATAGGCTACAGCCTGTTAATATGTAACTACCTTTTTATAAGTACAATCTGTTAACAGGCTTACAAATCAGCCTCAGAGTTGTATTTGCAAAAAGTATAATTAGAATTAAAGAATATTATCATTTAAGTGCTACTCTGTGCATTCTAGAAAACTTAACTGTGTTAAATTAGCAAATCGCTACATTAGGTAATGTACAGTATGTTCCACTATGAATAACTTCAACATCTACCTATGATATAAGGCTATATTTGCAAATAAAAGCTCACTAATTAAAGAGTTAATATATAGAAGTGAAAATTTTAATTCAAAACTGTTAAGAAAGCTCAAACATTCGCTGGAATTATCTAGTAAAGATGCAATTTAATTATTAAAAAAAAAAACACAGAAGAAATCAAAGAAAGATGACAGCACCGAAGTATATGTGTTGGCTATTTTACTTTCTTCCCTGATTTGATACTGGCTTTTCTAATATGTGACCACATTCAAGCGTTACTTTATCCTCAATACTCTTTTTCTCTTCCATTGCTTCACTTCTAGAATGTTTTAATCTTTGTCCTTTCTTTTTTCGTCTTTTCATATCAAATTCAGTCGTTTGAGCGATGAACAGCTTGACTTAGCATATTTTTAACCAGCTGGTCTAGCACCTAGCTTGCATTGCATAGTCAGATACAACAAATGTTTATACAGAAGGTAGCTTTCATGAAAATGAAAAAAAGCCTGGGTATCATGCATCCTGGCTTTTTTTAGCTTTTTTTTTTTTAATTCACCATACAGAATACAAAGTTTGAATTCTTTTTAATGGCAAACAAAATTCTATTTATAGTTCAAAAAAATGAACTTATGCTGGGATAAGAACTCAAATTTAAAAATTGCAATGTGTACTTATAGGAACATTAAGAGGGCTAAAATTCTTTCAAAGCCCTGCTTTACTTGCAACAACATCAAATAAAAGGATGCTGCAGATATTTCTCTAAATAGGAACAACTTAATTACAAATACACTATTCCCATCATAGCAAAAGGGGAAAATACAGTAAATTAAAATTCAGTCAAGACAGCTAACACAAAAAGTGGCCACTAAAACTTAGAAAGGGAACAGCTCCATTTATCCCCTTTTCGCCCCTATTTTTGACACTTAGGGAGTAATCTAATATAGCGATGATGTTAAATTTTCTTTGGGGGGAAAAAACGCTCTCTTATATCAACAAAAGGTCATGTGCTTTACTGAGCAGCTTCCAAAGTTTTACGGAAGGATCAAATAGGAACTTATAGCCTCCGTTTAAAGCACCACTAAAACCTTCTGTCACCCTAGAAATTACATGAGACAGAGATGCTGAAAATGGTAACATTCTGCACAAAAGCGTTTTTAAAAGGTGGGGAGAAAACAATCAATGAAGGAAGAAAGTAAGAGAGTGAATGAGAAAGACAGAAGCAGCGAGTTGGGGAGAGAGAGAGAGATGCTTAAGGTTCATTTAATTTGCTGTTATAGGACGCAACCTAAAAACATTAGCAGAAATCTCGGAGACTTTGCAAATCAGTTCAGTTTGGTCCGGGCAATCACAACAAAAAATCAGCTAACAAGATTGCAGAAGCCCTAGCTAAAGGCTTCTCTAACAAACACGTTTTGGGGGAGCATCTTCCAATGATTCAGAGACTACTGTAAAATGGGAGAGTTGTACTTCAATATATTAGGGGGAAAAAACTGTACTCACCTTTCAAACTCCTGAGGTAAATCAGGGTCAGTAAGCATGCTGGAAAAGCACAATTTCCCTTTGTCACAGCAGCCACCTATGATCGTCTCCAACTGAACCTGTCAAGTGAGTCCAAACCTTCTAAACCAATTGATTTTCTCTCTGTCTCTTCCCCCCCTCCCTCCCTCCCTCTCTCTCTCTCTCTCTCTCCCTCTCTCTCTCTGTCTCTCTCTCTCTCTCTCTCTCTCTCTTTCTCCCCCCCTCCTTCCCCTCCTCTCTCTCCTAGGACTCCTTGACCAGTCTCTTAAAGGGGTAGTGCACTTCCAGCAGCGGAGTCTGGCTGCTCCCCCCTCCGCGGAGCCACACGCTCCGGCTGCAAGGCTCTAGACAACCTCAGGGTGCCTGTCCTTTCCTTTTAATTCTCTCTTCTAGACATCACTGAATGTGAGAAGTCAACTCATTTAACACGTCTCCCATACTCTGTCTTCTAAATCATAAAACTCACACACACACATACACACGCAGAACAGTATGATTTTGTAAAACGTATTTGCTGCTGATTAAAAACCTAGTCTATATAATAACAGAAGCTCGATTAAACTGCATTTATTAACTAATTAAGCAAAAAATTTAATGTTAGTAATAGCATTTTTACACAAAGAATTGTTATTCCTTCTCACCCTTTTCTAGGCTCTCTCCGTTCACACACGGAAATACACGCACACACACACACACACACTCACACACACACAACAATCAGGCATTGTTCTGAGGGAAGAAAAGCAACTTTGACAGATTGAAATATAGCAGAGGCCCCTTCAAGGAAACCTGTAAACAACTTGTCACTCACTCTGTCGGTCTCACTGTTAGCTCGTGCTTTCCGCAAAGTGGTGCGAACGTCCTGGCAACCCGACCAAAGTTTCCTCAGCTCTAAACTCCATAAAACACGATGTGCGATGTGGAGGGGAATAGGTATCCACATGCCAAAATAACATACACGAGCGAACAAAAACCCAAAACGAAATCAAAACATAAAAACAAAAAGACGGTACTAACAAACTGTCCTGTTTGGGATCGCTGGGGAGGTCAGGAGTAGGAAGCGCCCCCCTGGCTGTGGATCTCTTTAATTTCCTCTGCCCAGGCAGCCACAGATAACAAGGTGGACAAACTATGGCTTTACAGATTCTAAGCTGGCTGGCAAGGCACAGCCTCCATAGCAGTTCCAATTATCTAGATAAAAATCTGGCAGCCGAGAAAGGTAATCAGGTAATGTACCTTTGACACGAAATGACAGAGGCACATACACACAGAGAGAGAGACACTTACACAGACATGCATGCAGAGATGGTGGCTGCCCCGTGCACCGCAGCATCTGGTCAGGGAGTAAGCACACACTTACCAACAGGAGATAGTGTGCATTCTTCACACACGCATGCACACACACACACACACACACACACACTCACTCACGCACGCTCTCCACTCCTACTGGGAGGGTTCATTCTGCACAAAAGGCTACATTACAGAGCCCGCCCCAATAAGGGAAAGAGAGGAAAAAAAAGCCTTCCATTGTTGAGAGGGCAGGTCAGTTGATTAGATTTTCTGTGGAGAATTCCACGAGGAAATTCCCTTCAAAGCCGAAGTGATTAACTGGGGGCTATTCTGGAAATGGAGCAGACAATGGCTCAATAGTCTGTACAGCCAATGTCCAGGCTGGCACTGAACTCACTTAAAAAAAAAATAAAAGCCAGACTCCCTGTTCTTTTCCACACATTCCTCCCCCCCAACCCCCTCCACTCCTTCCAACTTCCCCTCCCAATTCCTTTTATTTTGCAGCTGGACAACATTAAGGGCCTTTAAAACCACAAGGGTTGACCCCACGGCAGTTTGATTAGGTCCCACTTTTTTTTCTGGAGACAGGCAAACAGTAAGTTTACTTTTTTAGACATTCACAGTGATACATCATACACATATTCCAAAGAGAAAAAAATCAATTATGAACTTATATTAGTAAATTTATTTTTCATTCAAAGCTTATAAATTTTTAGACAAGTTGATAATAACTTAATATTTAATTCTATCATCAGGAGATGTTCTAAAAATATATATATACACACACACACACTACAAAATCAATGTGGAATAAGATTTAAGCATGTCACTATGGAGTTAAGACACTAACAAAACATAGAACTATGACCCACCCTGAAAAAGCTGTTAACAAGGGATGTGGCAAAAATGACTTGATGCTGACATGATTTTCACTTTCAGCAGTTGGGGAAGGGGGGAAGAATATTACTCACTATTCTTTCTTGTTGTTAGTCTCAAATTATTTTTTGTTACAGCAACAACCTACTCCCACACAGAAAAATGAAAAAATTGTTGCATTTATTTTAAATCTCTATTTTTTCAGCCCTTAAGGGACCTACAATCTAATATACTCTAATGGATAATGTATACAAAAATTATATTTTTCTTCATTTGTTAATGGTTGTTATGAGAATTAGGGTATAGTAGCTGCATAGCTATATACACTTTTAAAAATATTTAAAATTTTTTTCCTAACTAGGAAAAATCTTGCTTATCTTATATCAATAGAGAAAAAAAGTGAAGAAGGAGGATGGGTGAGTTACAGGGAGCCATGGGAGTGGAGTCAGGAAGAGGAGGAGGCGGGAGGAGAGGACGCAGAGAGAGCACAAGGAGACATAGTGGCAGCATAAAGATAGAAACAAAGATAATGGCCATAAGGCAGGATGCTGAGATCCGTATGGTCCCAGCTGCTGTCTTGCTACAGCTACTACCTCTGGTTGTTTCTTTGAAACTCTAATCTAGAAGGTCACCAGAGCAGGTAAGAAAGAGTATGAGTGTTTGAGGCCAACTATAGTATAAAGAAAAGATACTCATATTAGAATCTTCCTTATATTTGATTTTGATTTTATTGGCACTTAATATATGTATACATCTGTACATATGCCAAATAAACACAAAGAATATAGAAGAGAATGTTAAATGGTTTGAAAGTTAGTTTTTTGACTTCAATATATTCTGCAAACATTACTGTAGCCATTCAAAAGACAAATTATTTCTTGCACAATCATCTATGCTGAAGGAGTTGAAATAGACGAGGAACTAGACAGAAAATTTGCCAAATAATGATCATCCTAATAATGATAATTTGAACTAATGGAACTCTAAGATCATAAGGAATTTTGTTCACATAAATTAGCTCATGGATCTTACAGAGTAGAAAGGGGTAGGTATGTATTTCCCTAATTTTCCCACTGTTTAACTTGGGCAAACAGAATTTAAAGTCATTCAACTGGTTAGTAGCCCATTTGTTGCTTGAAGCCACTTCTATCTATTTCACTTATGACACCATAATGCAGAATAAACTGATCCTCCAGAATTTATAGTTAGATGAAAATCCCAAGATGGTACTCATACTTTAAGTGACCTGAAAGGCTTTCAGGTAATTGTTATAAAAAATAAAATTTATAAAAGCTGTCATTAAGCTAATACTGTATATGATGGTTTAATTGAATATTTTAAAATGTACCTCTCTAAGCCATAAAAGTTTTCTTTCATTTGAATCCTATATTGAAAATTAGCATTTCTGTCAGACTTTAGAATATCAGCAAAAGGAAAGACTGTTCCAAAATGTTTTGGTTAAATTTTGTCTTGGGTTATTTCATTAAATGATCAAAATGATCCAATCAATACAATGTTTAATATTAAAATACTGTTAATTGAATCTTTTAAATTTTGCATTAAACGTTAAAATGTTTAAATATTAAATATGTGTTCATGACTAGCGCATCTATTAAACCCAAATTCTTTTTCAATTATCAGAAAAGCTTAAGATATTCAATTGACTATAGATATTCTTTACATCACAACTAATACCGCAATGTGATGTTTGTTAAGGTTTCAAAATACATCTGGGTTGAGACATACTTTTGCATTCACTTAACATCTATTAAATGCTTACCAATATGTTAAGTGCTATGGCTTTAATAAAAGAATTTTAAAAAGTTATAACAATTCTAATTATATATATGTATATAAAACCAAATTTCAAATCAATTTTTGAGTATTCAAGCCTTCTGAGGCAGATGTAGTGAGAAAAGTTAAAACAAAAATAAAAAAGCAAATGAACAAAACATAGTGCTAAGAACTGAATAATACATAAAATGGTAAATAAGTATGATCTACAAGCACAGATACACAAATAAAATATATTTTCAGAGATGACCAAAGTGCAACAGTAACCCAATAAAAGTTTTACATTGAATGAGTCTTTTTGACACTGCCGCATCGGTATAATGGAAAATGGAATGAACATGAAAAAGTATGCTTTTGAGCTCATGTTGTTTCCATTGCAGATATAAAAAGGGGATTGACACAGGCTAAGGAATATAAGATATGCTAGAGAACACTGCTGGAAAATTCTCAAAGAGACTATCAAGAACTTTTAAAATCACAAACAAGTTATTTTCAAATTTAACCCCTTTTCAGGTATAGTTTCCAGCATGCATTTCTACTATTTTTGTCCTCATTTTAAAAGGATATATTTTCATTCCTCTATTTTAGATCAGAATCATTAAGTATCTTCTATTTTAATACCTGAAATAAAAATATGTGGTCATAGGTGCAAATTACACTTCCATATTTGATATGAATTCCTACCATCACCCTAGTTTTCACATCTCATAGAATTTGGAAAACTTATTTTGAGAAATAAAACTCTTAATATTATAATCACAATGTATTTAAAGCATATCAGTGTCAGACAATACTAACATTTTATTGCCTTAAGGTGACACAATGGGCATTAAGAAAATGCCTTTTGCCTGTGCTGTTATTTACTTTGTCACAAAAAATTAAAATTAAAAAGAGGACACTTCCTCTTTCAAAAAAAAAGAAAGAAAGAAAGAAAGAAGGAAACTTCCAACCAATATACATCTGTGAGTCATTCACCAGATGCCTGGTGAGCTCACTATTGACCTATCACATGTAGCTTAAAACTCTTAGACTAGTGTCTTGTAATAGTGGACTTCTTCAAAAAATACCTTAGGCATTCTATAGCCTATCTTCTTTTTTAAAGACCTAAAATTCAGTCCACCATAATACATGTATGCCAAGGAACTGGTACACAATAGCCTACAAATTCAAGGTTTTTCTAACTTCATACTCTTTCTATTGTCAGTTGGTTAGAATACACAGATGAATTGTTCTCAGATTGCATATTTGAAGAAACAGTGTTCTTCAGAAACACCTTCACCTTAGAAACTCTAGTTTCATACTTCTCTCAAAGAAATGATGTCATTTCCAGTAACTGCTTTCACTGTTTGATCTTAGGATTTAACTTCTTATTCAGAATAACTTGAAATAATTTTAAATAAAAGCTTTTATTTTATGAGGAATTTCTATCTATATGATACATAATAAAAGCCATTATCTCATTTAATAGTCAAAACAACTAAATGCGATATGTAGACTTATCCCAATTACGAATGAGGAAGTCCCAAAACTAGTAAGTGCAGGGCTGGAGAACATCAAAATTATTAATATGCCATATTTTCTGCATAGTTTTTAAAGGCAATGAATTTTAGTTCATCTCAAATACAGCATAATGGCAATTAAGTATAGAGTATACAGGAAAGTGCTTCATAAGTATGTTTCTATGGTAACCAAATGCCCAAATTTTGGACAAAGTTAGGATGAGCAATGACTGTCCCACTTTCACAAATAACATAAAAGATAGTTCATTCACACAATTAAAACAGAGAAGAATAGTATTCTTATCTCATTTGTAGTGATAACAATCACCAGAACTAGTACTACTCTTCACGTAATTTGGCTCTATTTTTAAGAATAATTTCTAAAATAGGTTTCCTTGCCTAATACGTTTACAAGTTTCACAATCTCAGGTAAAACCCAGGGGCCAATTTTCTGGTCCCCATGTAACTCCTTTGCAACGGAATTTCTGTCTTATAGAAAGAATCGATTATTTCAGGCAAAGGTTGTCAATTAGGAAAATAAGACCTACTCAATTTATGCTTTTCAATTTATTTTTTTACTCTCTACACTATCAACTCTCCTTGTGATACACATGGTGATGTCTAATGGTTTGTTCGCTTATGAAGATGAAAATGATGTAACTCAATCACCCTCGTGGTAAAAATCGGAAGGTTTCTTTTGAGTAAAAAAAAAAAAATCCATATAACCCATAAGAAGAAAAACCATTCAAGTGGGATCATACAAATAAAAGTGCTCTTGGCCTTCAAACTTTCTGCATTGTAATTTTTCAACCTGGAAAGTAATTCAGGGAACATCCTGCAAGACATTTTACCTAGAGGTAGCAGCAAAGTGAAAAGTGGCTCCATTATCTTGCTACAATGTAGTTTTGTTAGGTAACATTCTTGTTAGGTAATGTCTATAAAATATTTTAGTACACAACATTCAGAGAGGTTTTCCCACCGTGAATGTATACATTTCATTTATTAACTAATCAGAGGAGAAATGAGAGTTAAACCTGAGGTAAGTATGAAAATGTTTGAAAAATTTCCTTCATTTTTCAGTTGACTACATTTGTCTATTCTCCATATTCTCCTTTGCTTGTATACTAAGTGAATGACAAATCTTATTCATAGTAAAGGAGAATGTTGCCTATTAACAATGTTCAGTCTACTTGTATCTAGCACAGTATAGGGGAAGAAATTATGGCTAAGCTGAAAGTTAGGAAACCTGTGCTCTAAGGCAGGGATCTCCAACCCCCAAGGCCAGTACTGGTCCATGTCCTGTTATGAACCACAGCAGGAGGTGAGCAGTGGGCATTATCACCTGAGCTCTGCCTCCTGTCAGATCAGAGGCAGCATTAGATTATCATAGGAAGGCAAAACTTATTGTGAACTGTGCATGTGAGGGATCTAGGTTTCACTCTTGAGAGTCTAATGCCTGATGATCTGAGGTGGAACCATTTAATCTCAATGCCATACTCCCACCTCACCTAACCTCTCCCACCCCCATGGAAAAATTGTCTTTCATGAAACTGGTCCCTGATGCTAAAATGGTTGGGGACTGCTGCACTAAGGGAGCCTCTATTACTCCTTCCTTATTAATGCAATGGTCTTGCCTAAGTCTTTTTTTTTTAAGGGGAGGGGGACAGAGTCTCACTTTGTCACCCAGGCTGGAGTGCAGTGGTGTGACCTCGGCTCACTGCAACCTCCACCTCCTGGGTTCAAGTGATTCTCCTGCCTCAGCCTCCTGAGTAGCTTGGATTACAAACACATGCCACCACACCCAGATAATGTTTGTCTCCATGTTGGCCAGGCTGATCTCGAACTCCTGACCTCAGGTGATCTGCCCAGCTTGGCCTCCCAAAGTGCTGGGATGAATTACAGGCATGAGCCACCATGCCCGGCCATTGCCTAAGTCTTTAATGTCTCAGAGAATGTGATTTCTAAGGTCCCTTTCAATTACAAACTTCTGTTTCTATAATCTCTTCTTTGATAAATCAATTTATCATTTCAAAAATAAAATTTCTTGCCTTCCTAAGTCCTTCTTTACAGTTTTAAGACTATTACTTGTAGTTGACAGTTTATTTTGGCCTTCTAAACTATGGCATAATTCTACATTCATACAGCAATATAAGACAGTGAGGAAAATAAACTGTTACTAATTAAAGTTAATGTATATAAGTTCATTTAAATTAAAATGACCAGGACAACTTAATTGGTCCCCCAAAAAATGATGTTTTCAAAACTAATTTTATGACTAAGTTCATCTATTTGTGATTCTGAAAAAATTTCGTGCCTGAGATTTTAGTTTCTCCAAGTACAATTATATTTATTAGCATTACTTAATTCAGTGAAATAATTAAAAGCAGTTTAGTCTCTTACTACAGTAAATACCTCACGTGTGTGATGGAACTGTGATTGGCGTAGGGGGGAATAAATACAAGGGTTGTTGTCTCTATCAAAAATTTCAAAATATCAAATGACAAGTTCAAAAGCAAACTAAAAAGTTGTAATGTTAGAAATCCTGACAGGCAAACTGTGTTCAAGAAAACCTAGTTGTTATAATGCATTGTGTGGACACTCTGAAGAGCTGCTTCCATATAGACAACTTGCTTTTTTCATGCTGTTGTTAATAAAATGACTGACTGCCACAATTTAGAAAATAATTCAGAAGGACTATGCACAGGATGAAAATATAATATACGCATTACCAAATGAATGTAATCATTCAATTACTCAACAAGCATTTATAGAATCTTAAATTTATACCCGTATTTTAAATCATCTATATATTAAAATCTTAATGTATAAACTGCATATTTTCATAAATAAGAAAAAAGATAAATTAATGTTTGTAATTTGCCCTGATGCTGAAGAACTGCTTGGGTATCAAATGGTATATTACTATTTGAAAAACACCTAACTGTTAATACCCCTAAATAAATCATGGGTCTATAATCAGAAATATTTATTTTTAAATCTTGCATAGAGTCAAAGTGTAGACTAGAAAACTATAAGCATTTGTAAAATATACCAGTATCCTAAGCACATCTTAAAAAAATAAAAACATATATCTAAGGTCATCAATACTCTTCGTGGTACAGAAACCCAACTTCAGATTTACTCAGTTTTCATAACTGGGCCATTATTCTTAATCTTAGTAAACAAATCAACTTAATAAGCATTGTTCTTATATTGAGTGTGTGCCCTGAATTTTATGAGGCATACTGAGAAAAAAGGAAAGAATCAATACACTTAATGGTTTTTTTTCTGACCATCTTTTCTGGGCAGAGTACTCTCATAAAAGGTAGAAATGCAAAAATAAACTTTTTTCATGGAATTATGACCTAGTCCAGTATATGGACATCCTAGTCTGCTTCATTAACAATTATCAAGTTCTTATAACTAGAAATCAATAATTTTCACACAGATTAATTTAATTTTTAACAAATCTAAATAAAAATACAAGGACAAAAATTAACTAGCTTCTGATTTCACAGCTTGTAAGAGGCAGAAAAACAATTTGAACCAAAGTCTTTTGATTACAAACCTAGTGTCTATTTCACTAGGAATTGACGCTAGGTTTCTATAAGAAAGCCTATCTAAAATATACAATAAAATTATAAAAGTGTTATTTTATAAACAAAATTATGTGGGGATTTTAAGTAAAAAAAAAAAGATATCAAACTGAGATGACCAACTTCTAAACTTTGAGAATTTAGAATTAATTTGTTATACTTAGTAAAATATATATTAAAGAATCAATTTAAAACCCCCAGAAACCCTATGAGAATTTAGAATTACTGTGGGGAACAAAAGTAATATGTAGAAATCAATATCTTTCATATATATGATAACACCTAGTCATTAGAGATAATGGGGAAAAGACCCCATTAGCATTGGTAACATAGACAAAATATCTATGATGAACTCATTCACATACAAGACCTATTTAAAGAAAGCTTTAATACAATATGAAAAGACATACCAAGTTCCTCAATAGGTAGCATCAATGTCATAAAAATATCAATTCTTCCTAATTTAATGTATAAATGTAATGAGTTCAAAATTAAAATACTATCATATTTAAAGCACTAAATAAATTAATTCAAAATTTATATAAAATTAAACAAGAATAATCAGACAAATTTTGCAAAAGAAAAAGAATGAGGGCTTAATTTACTAGAAATTAAAACATAATGTAGAATCTCAATGAAGAAAACAATGTAGTATTGAATGAATTGAAAATACAATGGAATAAAAAGAATATAGAGAAAAAACCTAAACACATAGAGAGAATTTAGTATACACTGTTAGTCAATACTATAGATGGCATTCAACAAAATGCCCTATATGCTCAAATATCTAAACATAAAGAATAAAATCATAAACTATTAGAAGGGAACATGAGTGAACTGAAATATAATCTTAAAGAAGAGAGAGTCTTACTAACAATGGATCAAAATCCACAAGCCATAAAACAAAAGATTTATAAATCCAGCTATATAAACACCAAAAACTTGAAAGTGACAAAAGGCATCTATAGAAATAAAAAGACAACAATGACGATATCTAAGGAAAGGGCTACC